>NC_000007.14:47815999-48119029 GCF_000001405.40 Homo sapiens | reverse complement strand
ATAACGTATGGGGAAAAAAAAGAAAAGGCAAAAACAAAGAGTTCTGGAGCACATTTGCCTATGATCAGAGTTTTAGGTTATGACTATTTAAACTTCTTCCTCTTTTCTTAGATGCAGGATGCCTACATTTTCAGTGTCCTGACTGTACAGTACCTGATGCATCTCCAGGTGAATAGAGGAGGTTTGAGGGTTGGGAAGTAGGATGGATGAGTTTTGAATTGCTTCCAGAGTCACATTTTTGTTTTTGTAAAGGCTCAATTTATAAGACAAGGACAGTTGTTTGTAATTCCTCAAAGAACTGGATTGCAGCCCAAGTGATATCAAAGGGCTGACCTGTATCCAATTACATTATCTTCAATTTGCTCCTTTATATCAGGAAACAGATTTCCAAAGAGATAGAAATCGAAAGATTCCTATGTCCTACTACCATTTAACCTATAGCAATCCCATTACTGGGTATACACCCAAAGGAAAATAAATTGTTCTGCCAAAAAGACACATGCACTCGTATGTTCATCACAACACTATTCACAATAGCAAAGACATGGAGTCAACCAAGGTGCCCCTCAACAGCAGATTGGATGAAGAAAATGTGGTCTGGTTTAAAGCAGAGAAACAGTTCCTTTCTTTTTTGTTTGGGAGGTGGCAGATATGTGAAGGAATTTCTCTCCAGTCAGTATTTATCTCCCACAATCTACTTAAAATAGAATCAATCATCAAGAGAGCTATTAAAAGAAACCGTCCCATTTATCAGAGCTTTCTGTGCGCCGTCCTCCAACGCAGGATGATTTAAACACACTGATGGGAAGAGGCGAACCTCAAGGGCAGTGACAACATCAGCTCTAATGCCTCTTAAAAATAAAGAACAGGCCGGGTGTGGTGGCTCACGTCTGTAATCCCAGCACTTTGAGAGGCCGAGGCAGGCGGATCATGAGGTCAGGAGTTCAAGACCAGCCTGGCCAACATGGTGAAACCTCGTCTCTACTGAAAATACAAAAATTAGCTGGGCATGGTGGTGCGTGCCTGTAATCCTAGCTACTCGGGAGGCTGAGACAGGAGAATCACTTGAACCCAGGAGGGAGAGGTTGCAGTGAGCCGAGATCACGTCACTGCACTCCAGCCTGGGCAACAGAGTGAGACTCTGTCTCAAAAAATGAAAGAAAAAAAAGGAAAGAAGGAAGGAAGGGAGGGAGGGAGGGAGGGAAAGATGGATGTTGGCATTTCTTTGGTGGCCTGCTTGTCACCTCAAACATGTTAACTGATGAACACCTAAGAAAGCAGGCCATCTTCCTGATTCTTTTCTTTCAAAGACCTATATCCTAAATGACAGAAAACATGGAGACATCCATACCACTGGGCCAGGATTACCTTTTGGGCCCTGTAAGAAAAACATGGAAAGTCATTTTCAAAATAACGACCAAAGCCAAGTTACAGAATATGAAACATTGTTGTCAAATTTGCTTTAATACACATAAAAATATTAGCAAGTTTTGCTTTCTAATCTAAACTGTAATAAAGTTTCAATTTGAAGAATAAGATGAATAAATATAACTTGATGGAAATCTCATAAACGTGATTGCTTCGACATTGATTTAGTTCTTAGATTTGCAATGAAAAATGTGACAGCACCATGAAAAATGCTATTTTCCATTATTTTGGCTGCCCATATTTTCTCAATTTTATTATAATTGGTTTTACTTGGTTTCACTTATTTCCTCCTGCTATAAAATTTGGTTATATTTGTAGCATGCATTTTTCAGTGAACTTAAAAAAAAAAAAAAAGAAAATGTGGTCTACAGAGACTTGTGTGCTCTAGAGTGACCTATCCTGTCTAAAGGGACCTGTATGGTTTATGGGGACCTGTGTGGTCTACAGGGACCTGTTCTGTCTATAGGAACCTGTGTGGTCTACAGGGACACGTGTGATCTACAGGAATCTGTGTAATCTGCTCTCAGCAGCTCAGAGCCACCTTGTATGCCACACCACTAGTCCCCTTCACTGGAATCTTCTCACATGCCACGTTCATTCCTCTGGCATGTATCTGGCAAGTTCCTCTGCTGGAGCCACAGACTTCCTGTTCCTGTTCCCCCAACAACCAAGTGGGTATCATAACCCCCAACAATCATTCTAAAGTAGCCACTCCCAAAAGAACCCTCTCTCGTCTTCTGCCATATTGTCATTCTTCATCACCCGTGCCAGGGTCTGAAGCTCTCTAAGCATCTGCTTACCCAGCACTGGAATCACAGCCCCACATCCACCAGTGACGAGCCCACGCAGTGGGAATCGCAACCCCACGTCCACCAGTGACCAGCCTACACAGGAATAATCACAGCCCCATGTCCACCAGTGACCAGCCCACACAGGGGGAATTGAAGTCCCACGTCCACTGGTGACCAGTCCTCACAGGGAGAATCACAGCACCGCGTCCAACAGTGATCAGCCCACACACGGGGAATCGCAGCCCCGTGTCCACCAGTGACCAGCCCACACAGGGGGAATCACAGCCCTACATCCACTGGTGACCAGCCCACACAGGGGGAATCACAGGCCCATATCCACCATTGACTAGTCCACACAGGGAGAATCGCAGTCCCACATCCACTGGTGATCAGTCCACACAAGGAGAATCACAGCACCGTGTCCAACAGTGATCAACCCACACATGGGGAATCGCAGCTCTGTGTCCACCAGTGACCAGCCCACACAGGGGGAATCACAGCCCTACATCCACTGGTGACCAGTCCACACTGAGAATCACAGCCCTGTGTCCACCAGTGACCAGCCCACACAGGGGGAATCACAGCCCTGCATCCACCGGTGACCAGTCCACACAGGCAATCTCGGCCGTGTGTCCACTGGTGACCAGTCCCCACAGGTGGCCTGGTAAGTGGCAGCAACACAGTTAGTGGAAAGGTGATATGGAAGGATCATGATGTTCTAGTTGAAAAGCAAAGTGGGTAGAATTTTTTAAAACCAGATTAATTTTGAGCAACCTGCTCTTACACATTGGTTGCTCCTATGGAAATGCACACTTAAAAAATTACCTCTGACTGAAGGTCATTTGTTTTGGGACTAGGGCTGGATGTATCTGTATTACATCCAAGACAGTAGATCAACACCATTAATATTTATGTGCCTCTGTTTTCACAAGGCCCTCACGCCAGCTCCTTCTGGTTATAAGCTGAATTGTTTTTCCTCAAAAGTCATGTATTGAAGTGCTAACACCTAGGACCTCAGAATGCAACTGTGGTCTACCTGGAGTATTTAAAGAAGTGATTACATTTAAATGGAGTCATTGGGGCTGGGCTTGGTGGCTCATGCCTGTAATTTCACCACTTTGAGAGGCTGGGGCAGGAGGATCACTTGAGGCCAGGAGTTCAAGACCAGCCTGGGCAACATACTGAGACCCCATCTCTATTTTTTAAAATAAATGAATGAATGAATAAACAGAGTCATTGTGTTGGGCCTGATCCAATATGCCTGGTGTCCTTATAAGAAAGGAGATTAGGACACAGACACGTACAGAGGGAAGACAACAGAGAACACAGCAAGAAGGCAGCCATTTGCAAGCCCAGGAGAGAGGCCTCAAAAGGAACCAGTTCTGCCCACACCTTGATCACACACACAGACACACACACAAACACACACAGACACACACACACACAAAACCACACACACACACACATACGAACCATCCCCAAGTACTGTTCCTGGTATAGTTTGGATGATTGTCCCCTCCAAATCTCATGTTGAATGTTATTCCCAGTGTTAAAGGTGGGCCTGGTGGGAGGTGTTGAGTGAACCCCTCATGAATAGCTTGGTGCCCTCCCCTTGGTGATGAGTGAGTTCACATGAGATCTGGTGGTTTAAAAGAATCTGGGACTTGCTCCCGTCTCTCTTGCTCCTTCTCTCCCCATGTGACACACCTGCTCCCCTTCCCTTCCGCCATAATTGTAAGCCTCACCAGAAGCAGATGCCAGGGCCATGCTTCCTGCACCGTCTGCAGAACCATGAGCCAATTAAGCCTCTTTCCTTTATAAGTGACTCAGTCTCATGTATTTCTGTATAGCAGTGCAAATGGACAAACACAGTTTCCATCCTGCCTGTCCTGCCTCTCTCCCAACCTCCACCTCCCTCTCCTCAGCCCCCCGACCAGATGTCCTTCCTGGGCCACACTACCCTGTATCCTGTCCCCAGTGAGAAGCTCACCTTCCAGAGGCCAGCCTGGCGTGGACTGGGTGTGGGGCACGTGAACCAAAGCCCAGAGCTAGCCCCGAGGAGTGATCCTTGCGTGGGACTAGAAAGAGGGGACCCGCTGTGTCCTCAGTGAGAAGGAGGGCAGGGATGCAGGGGTGCAGCCCTCAGATAACAAGTGACAACTGGCCGGGCACAAGGAGGGGTGTTTAAGGTTGAGGTGAGACTGGATTGGCCTCAGGGAACTACTGCCACAGGAGGAAAATGTGAGCCAGAAAGAGGCCCCAGGGCAAATGGCACCAAGCTCAGCTATCTGGGGAAGAGTTTAAATCTGTTCATGAGCCCCTCGCACCCGTGCTTCTCTACCTGTGACCTCATCCCATCGTCACAAGAGCCCTGTGTGGTACATGGAATTTCGTAGGAAAGGAAACTGCTGTTCAGTGAAGGGAGGAACCTGCCCAGACAGGCCTGGGAACCTGCCAGCAAGGCAGTCCACCACCACGTCCTTTTGCCTCTGGCCGCGGCACACTGGAGGGAAGCCGTGGGGCCCTGCAGGGAACCCTGCCTTGTCCAGACTCTGCAAGGTGCCTCTGCAGGGCTTCTGGCGTCCCTTCCACAGGAGCTATTTGCAACCCTGGGAATTGTAGAGAACTTCTGTCCTGCCTGGAGAGGCTTGACTGCCCCTGTGGGCCCTGCTGAGAGGCTGGCTCTGCTTCCATCTGTACTTCATGCTCCTCACTCCGTGTGAACTCCTGCCACTGGGACTGCCTCTGAGAACCAGTCACAGCACCTGCCAGCTTCCCTCATGGTGAGTGCAATTCAGCAGCTCATGCCTATAATCCCAGAACTTTGGGAGGCCGAGGTGGGCAGGTCACGCGGGTGGATCACTTGAGGTCAGGAGTTCCAGACCAGCCTGGCCCACGTGGCCAAACCTCATCTCTACTAAAATTACAAAAATTAGCCTGGCGTGGTGGTACATGACTGTAGTCCCAGCTCTCAGGAGGTTGAGGCAGGAGAATAGCTTGAACCTGGGAGGCAGAATTTGCACTGAGCTGAGATAGCACCACTGCACTCTAGCCTGGATGACAGAATAAGACTGTCTCAAAAAAAAAAAAAGTATTTTCCATGTGTAAGGATAAAATGATGAACCTTTCTTGTGGGAGGTAGTTGCTTCCCTCCTCCCTCCTTAGAGTGCCTCCAGAATCAGCCGGGTGAGAGATTTTGATTTTATAAAGCAAGGTCTAGGGCCTTCTGCCCCCTAGAACTGGGAACACATGCACCCAAATAACTCAGGCACCCTCGGGAGGCACGCAGGGACTGTCACAAGATCATCCAGTCACCCTTCAAGGAGATCTGGGGGAAGTTCTCATTTTTCCTCCACTTCACTGTGTAATGTAAGACTCCCTCCACATAGTCCCCTCCCACACGCGTGGAGTCTCAGCACACATAACTGGGGCTTTCTCTCTCCTAGACTGGACATGGAAAGGCCTACCACTGGCGGGTTGGCTTTATTTCCATAACACACATGTTCATTTCATTTCTGTATGGCAGTCATGATTTTACCCTTTTTAAAATTTTCTTCCTACAAAACATTCACTGAAAGAGACCCTAAAGGAGAACTCTTACCAGCCCCCACCCCACCCCACCGCAGCACAGACTACGCTGGGATGCCAAGGACTGACATTCATACCTGTGTTCTCCTCTCCTTGTGAAGTCCAGAGAACTGAGTGCTACTCTTTTCCTAGTAAGTAAACTTCTGCATGGCTGTGCATGTATGACAATGTGTGCATGAATGTGCATGGAAACGCACAGGTGTGTATGTGTGCACATATGTGAATAACACACTGTGGCCGCACAGTCCCAACCCTCACACAGACCTGAGCCCAGGCTGTGTCCTCATCTGGCATTTGGGGATAACACAGATGGGGAGAGGGCCAGGCAGGATCGCTGATGGAAGTTCCACACAAGGGGCCTGACAACGATGGCTCAATACATATTAGCTATTATTAAAAGCTCACATCTGCAGAGCTGATCCTACTCCATGAAAATCGGTCAGAAATCACTCTCCTTCATGTACGTGGTAACTGAAAAACTACTAAGCACCAGCAGAGCAGTACTATTTTCTTATACTAGCACTGCTTCCTTATTTTATAAGTTGAGCCTAATGTCTGGGTGGTGATTAATGAGATGATATTCTACTATTACATACATACCAAGGAGTACTGAAATATGAGTAAGCTGCAATGGAACCCAGAAGCCCTGATGTGAAAGTCATTCCTAACCTAGGAAACAGAACATCTTTGATGTCCTTGGGGGTCCCCCCTCCTCCCAAATGCACCCTGCCTCCCAACAGAGGAAACTCCTGATCTCAATTGGGGTTTCTCAATCCCTGGTGGAGTTTTTTCCCCTAGTCTTACAATGAAATGCACGTAATCCTAAACAACATATTGTTTAGTTTTGTCCATTTTCAAACTTTATATAAATGGAATCATGTTGTAGGTACTATTCTACAATTTGCTTTTTTCACTTAGAATGTTACCTGAGATGGTTCTGTACTGATGGTGAAGGTGTCTGCATTTATTTTCACTGTTTTTCATCATCTGAGCACACCAAACTCATTGCATTTGTTCTCTGGCACATGGATATTTGGGGACTTCTGGCTTTTGTTACCGAGGCCTTTGCAATTATGAACATTCCTGTCCATGTTTCCTGGGCCACATGAGTTCTCTCCATGCAAGCCCAGGAGCAGGAGTGGAATTACCGGATAATACAATATATGATGGACACCTGGCTTTAAAACGTGGCTTAGTGCTAGGCTTAAGGATAAAGGTATAGGAGACGCACAGCTCATGCTCTAACATATTCCACTGTCCCTATTGTCATTTATAAAGACAAACCATCATCTCATTGTTTCTGGTCAAGGTGGCATTGTCACCGCTGTGATGAGACTGGACCGCGAGGAGGCAGCAGGAGGAGCGTGGCCACCTCTGCAATTGACACCAAAGCCCAACCTTTTATGTGAGAGCGTGGCAGGCTTCCTGAGGTAAACTCTTGACTAACTCACTAGTGACGTGCTGATTTTCCAATTTACAAAGGGCTGGATAATTATTAACATTTTTTTTTCACATTAGTGGGAGGCATTCTGAGCATATCACTTAAGGACTGCACTAGAGGAAAACATGGAGTGAACTCGCTGACAACGATTTTTGAAATCCAGGGTAATTAGTTCCATCAGAACAATCCCAATTACATTCCTAATTCTCTCTGCCTTGCTGAAAGCACCGAAAGTGAACCATGTTGGTGTCATTATATTCCTGCTCAGAAGAGTCTTTATCACCAGCGCTGGGAATGGAGGAGGGGTTGAGGAAGGGGCCAGTGCCCAGGTTGTGGGAAGCCCCCACAAGGGGACCAAGCCAATGATACCAGCGTGGCACAAGGGCCTGAAAGTCAAAGAGTGGCCAGTGCGGGGTGAGGAAGGGGACCAAGTTTCTGGTCGTCTCCCGAGGAATTCAAGTAACACTCATGTGAGGACATTTATAACGTCAGCTCCAGAGACATCTTGGTAGCCAAATGAGGAAAGAAAATAACTTTCATCTGAGGAATTTGAGACCTTTCAAATTATTACAGCCAGAGAGACATTAAAATGGGACAATAAGCCAAACACAGTGGCTCACGTCTCTAATCACAATGCTTTGGGAAGCCTAGGTGGGAGGGGCGCTTGAACCTAGGAGGTCAAGACCAGCCCGGGCAACACACAAGACCCCATCTCTGCAAAAAAATACAAAAATTAGCCAGGTTGTGGTGGCGTGCACCTGTATTCCCAGCCACTCAGAAGGATGAGGTGGGAGGATTGCTTGAGCCCAGGAGGTCAAGGCTGCAGTGAGCTGTGATTGCACCACTGCACTCCAGCCTGGGTGACAGAGCAAGACCTTGTCTCAAGAAAAAGACATCAATCACTCCCCCTTTTTAACTATGTATTCATCTCTTGGAACTGCTTGCTATTGCCACAAGTAGCTATAAATTAACTTAATAATGCCACACTGAATACTAGAACCCACACTCTATGGCTTAACAATGTGTAGCCATTGATCAATATCATTTCTGTAAACCAATGAGAATTCCTGGCAGACAGCTGTGTATCAGCCCATTCCCTGTCCCTTTTACCTTTAAAAATCCACTTGTAAGTGCTGCTAATCAGAGTGTTCATTCAGGGGAACTTGAATCTATGTTCTTGGGTTGCAGTCTTCAAGCTTGGACCCAGTTACTTCTCTACTTTTACCAATTTTGCCTCAGCTTCTTCCTTTTAGGCCGACATAAACTAATCCAACAAGTTCATGTTTACTCAATCAGAACAAGATGTGTTGTTCAACCGGCATTTCCTGCGTGTCAGGGGGTATAGAGTTCACCTGTAAGGTCAGGGATGTCGCCCGATTAGATCAACAGAGATCCACCTGGGGGTGGCTGATGTGCACTACCTCACATAGCCAGCAGAGGGCAGTGCAGTGCCAATAGCTGCAGCTTGGCCATTGACACCTGTAGAAAGAATCTCATGTTCAGAAGTCATTTTACCTTCTGCCTTGTCCCGGAGGAGGGTGCTCAGGCCACAGGCTCTGTGACAGCTCCCCCAGCGAGACAGACTTCCAGGCAGTGCAGAGACAAAACACCTCAAAAACAAACTAGCCCTTTTCTTACTAATAGCAGCCTCCTCTTTAGCCTTAAATTCTATTTCTGTGTGGTTTTTTTTCTCTGCTTTATCAAAGATGTCCTCCTAGGAAGTGGCGGGCCCACCTGGCCACACTTGCCTGGGTTGAGGTGTGAAAGAAATTAACCTGCAAGTCCCCTACTGCCTGGGGCAATGGTCCGCACCTGCATCCTCAGCCTGCCCCAGAGCCTGGTGATAAACATCATCTGGTTGGTCAGAGGATAGAAAGGCTATCCCACACTGGGTCCTGCACCCACAGGGGCATGGTGACATCCAGTTGAAGTCTGGGGGCACTTGGTAATTTGGAGACAGATGAGCGCACAATAGTAGCAAGTCCAGCCCCTGCAGCTCGTGCTGGAGTGAGAAGCCAGGAGCAGAGCCTTTAGCATGCTGCCCTGGGTGCACAGATGACTGCACAGCCACATCCCAGGACCCTGAAGTCTCCTTGAGGGTTCCAATTTCTCCTGGACAGCTTCAACAAAGGGACCAAGAAGTGCTGAGGGAGAAATGGAAGGAGACTCACTCTCCACCCTAAGCAAATCTGTATTACAGACCCTAGAGCTTGAGAAGGTGGAAGGGAAGGAAGTTTTTGATTGGGACAAGGATCTCTCTTGCTCTTAGCACTTAGAAGGGCATGTGGGCTCAGTAGATGCTGAATGACCCTCATTTTGGGTTGAATCTCAGAATCACAGGGAAGGCACATTAAAGAGTGCACAGACCACACACATGCACCCACACCAAGGTCCCCACACACCTCCCTGGCCACTCCAAGTCACACAGCAAACTGCTAAGCAGAGCCCCTGAGCATGGGAGTGTCCCTCAGAGCCCACCAGGAAATAAGCCCATCTCAAGGACAGGAAACAATAAATACCAGAAAGTGGCCACACTGATGTGGGGAGAGTTGAGAAGTCAGCCAGGAGCCTGGGCAACCCACAAGCCAGTGAAGACCCAAGACCCAGCTGCCCCTGAGCTGGGGACCTAGGCCTGCCCAAGTAGCTGCTGCCAGACTCACCCGAGACAGACAGAGGGGCCACCCTGGATTCTCCCCTCCACTATAAGGTGCAACCGAGAAGGAAGCTAAGAGACACGGAGTCTAGGAATGTCAGTGTGAGGCCAGGAATGAATGCAAGGCTGACAAGCCATGGACAGAAACAATAGGACAAGCTGTCTTGAGCCCAGGTGTCCCGTTTCCCATCCCTAGGTACTTGGATCAAGACACTAGCATTGTGGACAATGGGTGGGAGGATTACTGTCGTGTGATTAAGCTGGTGTGGATGGTTTTGGGAATGTGTGTGACTATAATTTGGAAACTGTGTATATGCCTGTTTAGGTACGCATTATTTCTCAAACACCCCTGCTGTCTGCTTCATTGGTTTTCAGTCATCTCTCATTGCAAGTGGTGCATGGAATTTTTTTAATGTATCAGGAAATTAGTTTCCTGGCACTATTGTCAGATTTCTTGTTTAGTGACATGAAATCTGACTACCATTAGAATTTTAAAGTCTGAAAAATTTCCCTAGAAATAGTACAAAAATTTGGTAGAATGTTCTTGAAGAAACCCCAAATCAGGCTAACATCATTGAAAATGCTCCAATGAAACTTCAAAAGGAAGAACATCTCCCATGCGGTTAATCCAAGATTCTCTGTCTCTTAATCGCGATCTGATTTTCTAGATTCTTGTGTAAAGTGTGCTCAAAGTCCACACAACAGGGGATTTTGGACAATGCTTTTAATGGCAAGTCATCACAGCAGGTCTGCGGAGGTGCAGGGCAGCGCTCAGGCCTTGCTCAGTTTCTTCTTGATGAAGTAGCTCACCAGCCGCTGCGGCCTCTGCTGGTACTCGCTGAGCACATTGCGAGGGCTGCTGATCTGGTCCCCTTCCAGGCGGTTCAGGAGGGTGACACACACCACGGCCGCTGCAAAGGACAAAGACCACATCAAGGCAAGGTGCCGGGGGTCTAACATTTCACAGGGACGGGATGAAGAACCCACGAGCTCTGAGGAGCAGCCTCTCTGCCTCCTCAGGAAACCAGGCTGCCCATGCAGTCAGGCGGGGCCGGAGGATGGAGTGCGGGAGGGAAAGGCGCTGGTCCAGGGGCTCGGAAGACTCCTCCCTCTCTGACACCACCCTGCCCTGTCCCTCCCTTATTCTCGTGCCTGCTTCCAAAAGGAATTCACCATTCCAGGACCAGCTCAGGGCTGCAAGCACCACCTTGAAAGGCACGTTTTGGCCGAGGTGATAAGGGAATTCTGCAGAGCTGTGAGCTGGCCTTCAAGGGTGGCTAGTACCTTGAGGGTAGATGAACCACAATTCAGAAAGCCAAAGCGCTTTGAAAGCCGAGTTTTTTATAGACCTGGTGGCAGCCTCATGGGGCAGCAAAAGCTTTTTTGTCATTTTTCCTGCACAAGGTCACTGAGAATCCTGCATTTTGTCAGGGTGTGACAGTCAGACATTGAACAGCATTGTGGTGACAACACATATGTCAGAAAGTGACTTGGGGGCAGCGGAAACAGAAACCAGAAATGGGTATCGGGGTGCCCCAGGAGGAGGGGCCCCAGCGAGGGGCTCCAGGAGAGCAGAAGTGAAGGGAGGAGGGGACGCCGAGGCCCATCAAGTGCCGCTTACCTTGGAGGCCGCAGGCGCTGCACATGGCGGCAAACACCGAGGACTCCATCTCGATATTGCGGACGCCGGCTGCATAGGCTGCCTCCAGATACGCCTGCTTGTCCTTCTCCGTGTAGGAGCAGAGAGCCCCATCCAGACGGCCTTGCCCTGAGGCACACATGGAGACATGAGAACCACATGCATGTGAGAAGCTCCTACAACACATCAGCGCCACTGATGCCCAGAAGGACACAGGGACAAGCAAGACCCATCCAGGTCCTGCCTATAATGACCACTCAAACGGGTCATTATAACCACTCTGGGCGAAGTGTAACTGAGACAGCAGCCTGGCAAGTGGAAACGCCAGTCCACAGCGAGAAGGCAGGCTCAGGGGACGGACCAGGGTTCCCTGGCTGAAAGATGCCTCCTCGTATCCGCTGCCTCACCTTCATAGAAGTCCAAGGTGCACATGGTGTTCCCCACCACTGTGGTGAACTCGCTCAGCTCTGCAGAACACAGCAACAGCTCCTGCACCAGCTTCTTGTTAAGGTCCGTTTTCCGGATGACCCGCTTCCCCAGGACAATCTGCTCAAACTCTGCCTTGAAGCAGGTATCCACTGCCTGCTCTGTTATGACCACAGTGCCGGGCTCCAGACCTGAGGAAAAAAGCAGACATCAAGATATGCAGGGTGTAAAACAAAATAAAATTAAAGCAGGGCAGCCAGGGAGCACACAGCAGAGCATATGGAAGAAAGAAGCAGATCCACCCACACATCCAAACACGAAGCATCCAGTACTGTTCTCAAATACACAGTGACCCATTTTTCCCATTCAACTTTTTTTTAAGCTATGAAAGTAATTAATGCATGATCATTATGGACACTATGGAAGAGAAAGGCACAAAAAACAAAGTAGAGGGCTGGGTGCAGTGGCCCACGCCTGTAATCCCAAGCACTTTGGGAGGCCAAGACGAGCAGATCACCTGAGGTCAGGAGTTCAAGACCAGCCTGGCCAACATGGTGAGACCCCATCTCTACTAAAAATACAAAAATTAGCCAGGCATTGTGCCGGGTGTCTGTAATCCCAGCTACTTGGGAGACTGAGGCGGGAGAATCACTTGAACCCAGGAGGCAGAGGTTGCAGTGAGCCAAGATCACGCCACTGCACTCCAGCATGGGCAAAAAGAGCAAACTCCATTTCGAAAGAAAAAAAAAAGAATAAAATAAAAATGGCCAGGAACCTTCAAGTACTTTGTCCCATATTTCTTGCTTCCATTCACGGCGATTTCCCACTGTTGTCTGTCACTGAACCATATACCATGATGTGTTTCATTGATCCCTGTTTCATACCTTGTTAATATTTAAGATTTCAGGCAAATACTTGAAAAGTAAACCAGCAAAAGGCAGACTAGAACAGTATAATGAAGTCCCACACCCTAAACCCAGGTGAGCTATGACCAACTCCTGACCTACCTGGCCTTCCTCTCAGATTGATGCATTATTAGGGTCCAGTTTCTATGTTCTGGGCGTGCCTTCCTGGAGTAGTTTCCTGTTTGTAGGGACATTACTCTGCCCCTTATTCTTTGTGTTATAATAATTTTAGATGGGATTTGACCATTGTTATGGACCTGGACTGAATGCTGGTTTCCCCCTCAAAATTCATAGGCTGAAATCCTAACCCTAAATGTGATGGTTTCAGGCAGCAGGGCCTTTGGGAGGTGATTAGGTCATGAGGGTGGAGCCTGCATGAGTGGGATTAGTGCCCTTATAAGAGGGACCCCGGAGAGCTGCCTGCCCCTTCTGCCATGTGAGCACACAGGGAGAAAACAGAGCTCTATGAATCCGAAAGTTAGCCCTCACCAGACACCAAGTTTGCTGACTCCTTGACCTTGGACTTCGCAGCCTCCAGACTACGCGATAAATTCCTATTGTTTATAAGCCACTCAGTCAATGGCATCTTGTCTATCAACCTGCAGGGACTAAGATAACTATGATCCATTTCTGATACTTATTTTAATGCAAAATTGGTTTTCCTAAACATGTGGGAGGGAACAAGAAGTCAGATCTTTTCCAGAGCTCCCAAGTCAGTTGTTTTCATGAAACATTAAAAAACATGGCCGATTGCAAAGACCTTTGCTTCGCTCCCCACATGTATCTGAACTCCTCTTTCCATTGCTACTCCTGCGGCTGTTCTGGGCAATTCAGAGTCTCATTTCAGCAGCTTCTCCCAGCACTGGGGCTGGAGCTAGAGGAGAGCTTGGCTGATGCCTTGGTGAACCCACAGGGCCTGGAGTGGTCAAGCCCCTTGGAATTCCAGCATCACTCACATTGGGACGCACAGGCCCCCTCCAGTGTCAGCTGCCATCTTCACCATGTCCCCCTGCACCTTCCTAGGAGTGCCTGGGACTCTTGTTCTCAGGTCTGTCCATCGCCTTGAGCTTCCCCCTGAGCAGCTGCCAACACAACCAGATCCTGAGGCTTTTTGTCTCCACCCATTCATACTTTGGGGTTTGTGAGGATAGCACATCACCTTTTATTATCAACTGTGTCCAGTGGTTTTTGGTTTTGCTCCCTAGTTGCTCTTTCCATTTTTACAGAGCAATTGAGGAAAATTCAAAATCTATACTACTCCCTCCAGAATTATCTGATCATTGTTTTAAAAATCACTCCAGAGCAAGAACTCAAGAACCATTCACTAGAGTTCCTGGCAGAGGCCAGCATGCTATGCACAGCTGTGTCAGGTGGGCAGCATCGGAGACTAAGCTTGCAGGACCGAGACAGCTCATGGCCGTTGGTGTGTTGTCCTAGGGACAATTTCGCTAAACTTGGAATTACAGTCATACAAACACAGATTTTATGCATCAATCTCTCTATATAACAAAAAGAAAAGAGACAAGATAACATATTCAAAATATTTGGGTCTAAAGCAAGTCCCCTTTCAAGGTCAGGACACTTAAATTCTAGAATTGCTATAAATCCTAGATAGTCCAGGCCCTAGACAGCCTGGAACAAGTACACACAGGCCTGGCCAGCAGCGGCAAAGCTCAACTTTCTCTAGGGCACATGCAGGCTTCTTCCCTGAGCTCTGAACACCTCGGTGGGAGCAGGAATCACTAGAACCCAGTTTTTAGCAGAAAGAATGGCACAGAGTTGGAACCCCAGAGAGCAAGACCACGTATTTAAAACAAATCTGCCTAACAGACTTTGGCTTACAATTCAACAATTTGTTAGCTTTTGCTTTCTCATTAAATCTCATTCTTTCTTTGCCATGTTTGTGGGGGTTTTTGTTTGTTTGTTTGTTGTTGTTGTTGTTGAGATGGAGTCTCGCTCTGTTGCCAGGCTGAAGTGCAGTGGCGCGATGTTGGCTCACTGCAACCTCCGCCTCCCGGGTTCAAGCGATTCTCCTGCCTCAGCCTCACCAGCAGCTGGGACTACAGACGTGCACCACCACGCCCAGCTAATCTTTTGTATTTTAGTAGAGACGGGGTTTCACCATGTTGGCCAGGATGGTCTCGATCTCCCGATCTTGTGATCCGCCCGCCTCGGCCTCCCAATGTGCTGGGATTACAGGTGTGAGCCACCGCGCCCGGCCAACCATCTTTGTTTTTTAAACAAAAAAAAAATGTCCCTGTTGAGGATAGGGACATTTTAAGCTAATTTAAGGACACTTATCTGAGTTTTGTACTGCGCCTCTCTCTTCCCCCCTTTGATTTTCCTGTGTCTTTTCTCCTAAGGTGCTTCAAAATCCCTGCAGGATTAGGGAGGAGGAAAAGTAAGCAAAGGAAAGGAGAGAATGGAGAAGAAGGGGGATTAGAAAGAATAAGACAGAATCAAGCAGACAAGAAGGCACAAATTGTGTAACCCCAAAAGGATGAGTTTCCCCCATATGCATGGTGTGGTGCCCTTCTACTGCCTAGCTCTGGGGTGCGGGTTGGGAGAACAGGTTGGACAAAAACAACAAAACAAGCTTCTTTTCACACCTCCTGTTAACAAGCTTCCCTTGAACAAAGCCAAGAAAGGAACTCTTTGTCTCTAATGCCACACCATGTAGAAGCTGCCTTGGCATGCCCCAGTCCCTCATCCATTCACAGGGCAAGAGGCCCCTCTGCAGACCTTACCTATCCCACCAGAAGTGCCAATGCGGATGATAGTGACGTTGGAGCACCGGGCATAGTACAGCAGCTTTATGAGCTCATGCAACATGATTGAGATAGAAGGAATGCCCATACCATGCTGGAACCAGGGAGAAACACCCATGTTAAGCCAAGGTTGTGACTTTGTCAATGTTCTGGCTGATGTTTCATGTGATGTAATTCAATCTAACATGCCCATTGACATAGTGATGAAAGATAAACTTTTTAAATATAAATTTAAGAACTAGTAACACTTTGGGAAACTTTAAAGTGTATGCAAAGCTGTCAAAGACAAAACCCCATTTGATCGACACAATTTGTCAAATAGGTAACAGCTGCGGACCCAGGGGCTCAGCAGGGAAGCAGCAGTCTGCTATTGCCAGGTAACAAACAGCTCCTTCTAGCATTTGAAGCCCTGCATAAATACCCACCCTATTCTCCCACACCCCACCACAGGTTAAAGTTTTATCTCCTTTCTCTTTTCTCCCTACACCCTCTGCTTCAGACAAACTAAGTAATCAGCTGGTTCCTCAGCCCACTGGACACAGGATGCTTTGCTGATCTTGTCTGCCTGTGCCTTTTCCTCTCTTTGGGGTCTCTGCATACCTCCTTCTCCTGCTCTCCTCTTCAGAGCACCCCCCCTAGTGTCACAACTTCTGTGATGCCTCTCCCCGGATGAACTCAGCACTTTCCAGGGGCTGTTCCTGTGGCAGAGCCATACAGTGGAGGCATCCCTGCTAGAATCGGTCACGGAGCCTTACACACAGGAAAGGCTTGCGCAGATTATCAGTAACCTAGTCATGTCTTGGCTCCCTGATATGTTCTAGTTGGTTGACATAGCTAGTGTCCTCAGCTGACTGGAGAGGTAGGGGTGCACATCTCAACAAAAGGGGTTCCCTTTCCTTACTCTGCAGCTGTTCATTTATATTGCTCCTGACAAAATCAAAACTGAAAAATGAAAAGACTTCTATGGTAGAATCTGGAGATTTCTGTGTTCACCATGCTCCTTGCTAAATCAAAATGTGTTTTGAAGTAACTCACTGTGAGGTGGTAGAGGGGATTAGAGGCCTGGTACTTTGAGGCTCTCCTTCCATCCTGCTCCAGGCAGGGCGCCCCCTACTGTCCTTCCTCTACACCCCAAGCACTCTAACTCCCTGCACCTGCCACCCTCACACTGTGTAGACAGACAGCGGTGTATATGCATTTGTGTACTTAGTCGCCCCTGGAGACTGAGCCTCAAGGACGATAGCCTGAGTTCAATAATCTCTGAATCCCAGCTACTGTGGGCTCACCCTGCTCCCAGCCATTTACAGTAAGCAGGTGTTAGGGGACCAGCTGTCTGTGTGTGCAGAGGGGTGGGGCACAGGGGGTTGCAGAGCCTAGAGACTGAGCACAAGGGAAGGCAGGTACTCACACTGACAGACAGCACCGGTCCTACTTTATACATGGCATAGCGGTCAGTTCCCGCACAGATGTTGGGATAGTCTCTACCTGGGCAGTCAAGGCCCAGCTCTGCACCAACGCACCTGATGAAGGCTTTCATCCGGGAGGGGCTTCCACCAACACACACAAACTGCAGCCAGAGAAGAGAGACCCCCATTAGTGCACTGTCTATAGCAGAGGTCCTCAAGTGGGGCCCCTAGACCAGCAACATCAGTATTACCAATGAACTTGCTAAAAATATAAGTTCACTGGCCTCACCAGGACCTGCTGAATCTAAGGGGCCCAGGAATCTGCTTTAACAAGGCCCCCTGGTGAGTGGTCAGGGTGGGCGGCCAAGCATCAAAAGGCAGTCAGCTCCACAAACGCAGGAATCCAGACCCTTGCTCTCTCTGAGGAGGTAATTCCAGGTCCTGTGCACCCTCGGCCTCCCTCCGTCATGTAGAAGGCGGCCTGTGGAGACAGCCTGGGTTTGAAACAGAGGGAGCAACTCCTCACTGTCCCTCTGTGTTACCAGGGCCCCACAAAATGGGCTACTGACCGCTCTCTCGCCTGGTTACTTGAGTGCCAAATAGCCAATGCTTGAGAAGAGCCAGCCGAAGCCTAGAGGAGGCTCAGGAAGTGATAGCTATTCTGGATGGGTCTCTCTCAGAGAAGTAAAAACTTTAATTTGCAGAACATCATGTAAGAAAATGTTGGTTTTGAAAAAAAAAATTTTTTTAAGTGAGTAAGTTTTTAAAGAGTTTGAAGATGGCTGGGCACAGTGGCTCACACCTGTAATCCCAGCACTTTGGGAGTGGGCAGGCAGATCACCTGAGGTCAGGCGTTCCAGACCAGCCTGTCCAACATGGTAAAACCCCATCTCTACTAAAAAATACAAAAATTAGCTGGGCATGGTGGCAGGTGCCTACAATCCCAGCTACTCAGGAGGCTGAGGCAAGAGAATCGCTTGAACCCAGGACAGGGAGGTTGCAGTGAGCTGAGATCACACCACTGTAATCCAGCCTGGGCAGTGAGACTCCAGGTCAAAAAATTTAAAAAAAAAAGTCTGAAGATAAAAGAAAAGAATTATTAATTATTCTCTAAACATAAAAAAGAAAATTCCATAGCCTGGAATAAAAATCACTACGGATTAACTTAATAGGATGAATGAAATTTTAATGAATTAAAAGCACATGGGAAGTTGTCCACCATTTGAAACCAACACTATCAAAGAACAGGATGATTGATAAGACATAACACTATTGTTTAATTATGATCCCATGTAGCAGCACTGGATTCTAGCGTCCTGGTATATTTTGATTTTTAATTCTACATGTCAGTTCATCTTTACCCATTAGACATTTCAAAGTCCTACGTTAAGATAAATCAGAACTAAGGGACTTAAGACTTTGTAGAAAAAGTTAACTGGAAGCTGCATGAAGCAAAATAAGACATTAAAGGCAATTAACTAAACAGAATATCAATATGTATCTTATATTACAAACAAAATACAATGACCTTTATTTACTATCCTTTGCTTCCCTAGGAAATTTTTACATCTTTCTCTTCTCTCAATGAAGCATTAGGAAGTTTATTTTATATATAGTTTCAAATGCATAGTCATGCCCCATGTAACGATGTTTTGGTAAGCAAGGAATCACATATACACAACAGCGGTCCCAGAAAATTATATAATACCATGATTTTACTGTAGCTTTTCTATGTTTAGATATGTATAGATACACAAATGCTTACCACTGTGTTACAACTGCCTACAGTATTCAGGACACTCACATGCTATAGAGGTTTGTAGCCTAGAGGCATATGGCCCAGGCAAGTAGTAGGCTCTACCACCTAGGTTTGTGTGGTTACGCTCTATGTTGTCCACACAATGATGAAATACCTAAGGCTGCATTTCTCGGACCGTATTTCCAGAGTTAAACAATGCATGACTGCACTAAATTTGCAAAAGATGAATTAGGGAACAATTTGGCACTACTTAGGATAGTTTTACTTGCTAGTTCACATACTTGAAAGTTAAAAACTTGCAAAAATTTGGTAAACATTATGTCTTCATAAACCTGTCAGCTGTGGTCTCTCAAGCATTTGTGGGTTGGTCTACCTGTATAATATAGGGGGAGGTTGATCTTAAGGCAAATTCCAAGGTGTCAACACCTGGCCTCTTACCTTCACATCTCCAAACAAGGCTGGGAAATTGTGTCTGCTAGTGGTGAGATTGAAATGATAGAGAATATCTTCTTTCATTTTTGCTATGTTTGGATTTAAAAGTCTGACGGGGCAATCACTGTTAAAAAACAAGAAAGTGGAAGGCTTATAGAACATCAGTGCCCGACAGCCGACATTATCACAGAAGTGGCCTATGTCAGACACGAGGCTCATGGTGGGAGAAAGACAGGGCCAGATCCCGGAGATAAGACAACCCCAACATTGCCAAGGTCCGCACTTGCCTCCCCTCTGTTCTTCCCCCTTCTCCTCCCTCTTAACCCCTGTTGCTCCCATGGCTCTGTTTGGAGGGCAACAGGGATGAAATCAGAAGAGCACACGAAAGTACACAGATGGAAATGTTTGATCTACCCATACAAGGAGTAGGGAGTATAGCCAGTTGCTCCTCTAATCAAGTTCATTCGATGTATAAACTTGAATTTATTTTAAAACTACTATGTTTACCATAGGAAATATGAACAGAAATAGAAGGAAAAACAACCTCTAATCCTACCTCCCAGAGATAACCTTTCCAATCTGCATACCTTCAATTTGTTTTTGTTTTTGTTACACTAGCTACCACTTCTCCAGCACGATATCCAATAGGAGTGACAAGATAAGACATCTGTTTATCTGCTAGAAAATGTGCTCGTGGCACATGCTGGTCTAGAGCAAGCATCAGCAAACTTTTCTTCATAAAAGGCCAGATAATAAATACATGTGGTTTTGCAGGCTGCATGATTTCTGCTACTTCTCAAGTCCACCGTAGACATGTGAAAGCAACTACAGATAGCACACAAATGAGTGAGTGTGTCTGTGTTCCAATAAAACCTTCCTTACAAAACAAATGCCCCAGGTCTAGATGAGTCCCTCAAGCCTGTCGAAGTCCCTTAGAGCCAGCCTCAAACGTAGCTCCTTCAACAATGTATGCCTTCTGAGTCCTAGAGATGGGTGGGCTCCCTTACAGGAAACAGAGGCAGACATGGGATGCTGATGTCAGAGCAATTGGGGACTTCTTTTTCTTCCTTCTGAGTCTGACTTTCTGCCCTGAACCCCGTGGTCATGTCTCCTCCTCATTCTAACTCATGAGAAAAGAAAAAGACACAAGAGAGGCAAGGTCTCAGCTGCCACGGATTTGGAAATAACTGTTAAATAAGGGATGCACCCCCCTCACAGACATTGTCCATTCTCTCCCCACACGATGCTTGTTACACCTTATCTATATTTTAACACTGGTATACATAATTAATGTAATAACTTTACCTCCAGAACAAAAATTTCTGGAGGCCATGACCACGTCTTATATATCTCTGAATCCCACGTAACACACCACAGACAAGAAAAACAAGGTTGAGATGGTCCCATCCTATTTTATCTATCATTTTATCAAATCCCTATTTCTATCTGGCACTCATCAACAGCAGACACCCAGGCTCCAAACACACAGATGGCCTATACCTGACTGCTTCCTCCTTTCATGACTGTCAAATGTTCCTTCCCATCAATTCCCCTAGAGTGGGGCCCAGGTGAGCTCACACCTGAACATTTCAGAAAGGCTGATATAGAAAACATAAGTACAAAGGGTTATACACAGAGACAGGGAGATCTTTGTATAAGGGGACAGGGGGCTAGGTGACTGTCTCCTGTATGGGCAGGCAGGGACTCTGCTGACTGCACTAGTGAATCTGCTGAAAACCCTGCTCAGGAAGGCACAGCAGCCTGCCTGAAGCACAGAGCCACACCCGCCTGCCCCTAAGCCCACCTCTTCCTGACAAGCTATTGGGGGGATCTCCAGAATCAGGGTTCATTCTACTCTGGGATGTGGGGCAAGGCCATTTTTCAAGCGACCAAATCCAGAATCACGTGTGGTAAGGACCATCCTTGAACTTTTCTCAGAAAACCTTTTTGATCTCTAGGCCAATCTGAAATTCTGACGATCTGCACACCCCACAGTATTTTAGGATCCTTTAGTGACAACTATTTTTCATGTAAGTAACATTTCCATTCTCCTCCTTCAGGATGTTAGAAATACACAGAGTACAACATAGAAGGGCTAAGAGTCATGCTTCAAAATAACAAAACAGGATGTGATTAAGACAACTTTGTCACATATTTCAAAATAAAATACTTGTCTTTTCTCCTTGATTCTGAGAAATGAAGAAGAAGGAAGTAGGGTGTAACCGTGAAGACAGGCAATTATTTTAAAACATGAAAATTTGGCCGGGTACAGTGGCTCACTCCTGTAATCCCAGTACTTTAGGAGGCCAACGCAGGTGGATCACTTGAGCCCAGGAATTCGAGACTAGCCAGGGCAACATGGTGAAACCCTGACTCTACAGAAAATGTAAAAATTAGCCAGGCATGGTGGCATGCACCTATAGTCCCACCTCCCTGGGAGGCTGATGTGGGAGGATCACCTGAGCCCAGGAGGTTGAGGCTGCAGTGAGCCCTGATCACACCACTGCACTCCAGCCTAGGTAACAGAGTAAGACTGTCTAAAAATAAAAAATAAAGTAAAATTTAAAAAGTAAATTTAACATGTACCATAATGAACCAGTAGATGCCCCAATTTATTTTTTGAAGGATTTTAAAATAACAAGTCAGAGACATACTACCTGGAAAAAAATATTTCTCTAGTCTACACATAATTTCAAGTGACTTTATTCTGCTTTATTCTACCACTTTATTCATCTAGCAAATATTCATTGAGCATCTACCATGTAAAAGAAATATATGAAATGAAATGAAAACTGTCTGGGCGCGGTGGCTCATGCCTGTAATCCCAGCAATTTGGGAGGCTGAGGCGGGCAGATCACTTGAGCCCAGGAGTTTGAGATCAGCTTGGACAACACAGTGAAACCCTGTCTCTGTGAAAAATACAAAAATTAGCTGGGTGTGGTGGTGCATGCCTGTAGTCCCAGCTACTCAGGAGGCTGAAGTGAGAGGATCACTTGAGCCCAGGAGGCAGAGGTTGCAGTGAGCTGAGATCACACCTCGGCACTCCAGCCTAGGTAAAAGGGCGAAACCCTGTCTCAATAAAAGACAAAAAGGAAAAAAAAGAAAGCAATGAAAACTGGCTTCTGATTCCAGGAGTTTATCAGCAGGGAAGAGAAAGCAGTATCAACCTTTATATAAACTTGCCCAAATAGCTTAGGACCAGCACATGTGGAGACAAGAAGAAAATGAGATGGGTGAGACACAGGGGCCTGAGGTACTGGGGAAGGGGAAGTGGGAGGGCTCCAGAAAATGCTGGCTGCATCTCGCAACAGCCAAGCATCCTGTGCTGGGTGTACTGAACATAAAGATGAGTAAGATCCAGTTCCACTCATGGAAGGCTTTCGACTTGGGGTAGAAATGAAGTTATTAATAGCTAGCACATATCAATTCATTTAATACTCTCAGTATAAACTAAGTACCATCAGTAACCCCATTCAAAGTCCAAGGTCACATCCTTCCTAAGAGGCTGTACTCCTGAGCTCTACACCTGACTGCCTTTCAGCAAGTGGAACATGATTAGCAGATAGCTGAGGATAAAACAAGGGAGGGTAAAATAATTACTGAAGAGAGGGAAGGGGAGGAAACCCTCACTGAGTTGCTTGGCACTTGGTGTGCCGGCCCTGTTTTCTCCAGCCTTCATTTCTACCACTCCCCTCCACCCCCACCAGCCTCCTACTAGGCCTCAACCTCAAGCCATGGCAGGAGGAGGAAGGAGGGGAGCTCCAGAAACTGGGGACAAGGCATTTTTGGCTGTCAATGACTGAAAATACCAGGAATACTATTAGTTCAATTAAAAAATAATCACTGAGGCAGGCCACAGTGGCTCACGCCCGTAATCCCAGCACTTTGGGAGACTGAGGCGGGTGGATCACTTGAGGTCAGGAGTTTGAGACCAGCCTGGCCAACATGGTGAAACCCCATCTCTACTAAAAATACAAAATTAGCCAAGTGTGCTGGCTTGCACCTGTAATCCCAGCTACCTGGGAGGCCGAGGCACCAGAATTGCTTGAAACTGGGAAGCAGAGGTTGCAGCAAGCTGAGATTGCGCCACTCACTGCACTCCAGCCTGGGCGACAAGAGCAAAACTCCATCTCAAAAAAAAAAAATCACTGCAGGGAATGTCCACAGGCACCAGAAACTCCAAAATGGACACCAGGACTTCTGGGGAATGGAGGAGGAGAAGAGCATTGTCCATATGGAATTATGACCTGGGTATGCAGCTGTCACATGTGAGACTTCAGAGAGGTCTCAGGGAAGTTACAGAGGAACAAAGGACCAGGAGTCCAGAGCAAGGGGGGCCAGAGGTCACCACAACCCTGGGTGGTGCCAAGGTCAGAGGCCACCAAGACTGGGGAGAGGCCATGGCGGCAGGACAGAAGGCCTGCCCAGGTAACCCCAGCAGAGGTGGGAGACAACTGGGGGGGTGAGAAAATAAGAATAATCAGCGGATTAAAGTTCACATAGGAATCAGAATGAAGACAAGAAATTCTTGCTTTTCTAGCAATGCCTAAACACAAGTGGTGTCATGCCAAGCATACCAGAAGTATGACAAACTGCAAAGAAATAAGAAGGCATTTAAAATTCAGAACCAAGGCAGAGCTGAGTGATAAGCAGGGGATTTTGTTTAAGAAATTGGCACATAGAGGAAAAACCTACTAGACAGAGATTTGAGCAGGGACTTGTCTGGTTTTCTGAAACAACATGTCCTAAGAATCAAGAGCTGAGGCCCCAGCACCCGACCCCGGAGGTCTTTAACCATCTAATGTACGAACCTCCTGAGTCATTAATCCCTCCAGGCCTCAGTCTCTTTCACAAGCATCAAATGTGTTAATATATGTCAAGTCCTTAGAAAAATGTGTGGCACAACATATGCTCTATAAACAACCCAACCCCACCCAACCCAACCTGGAATGAAATGGAGCCTTACTTGTGACTTTCAGCTTTCTCTGCATTGGCTCCCGTGGCCGCCATTCCGCCAACTGAGGCAGGACCCTAAGGAAAAAAAATCACAGAATGGAGTGAATCCACTCAGTAGAAACCAAGATCGTGCAGAGCCCCACTAATATGTAGAAAGTCAGTGCAATGAAGTGGAATTCCTTACACACCTGATGTAAGTGTGTGAATTGTGTGAGAAATAGAAACAGAGAGAGAGGAGAGTGTGTATGTGTGTTTATAGCATTGCTAGTTTCAGAGAGGAGGTGCTGAAAATGTGCCAAAAGCCTAAGTGGACAGGCACCTCACACCTCCAGAGAACCTGTCCCCTTTATGCCTGTAAACCCAGCACTTTGGGAGGCCAAGGTGGGTGGAGATCATGAGTTCAAGACAAGCCTGTCCAATACAGTGAAACACCATCTCTACTAAAAATACAAAAATTAGCCAGGTGTGGTGGCAGGCGCCTGTAATCCCAGCTACTCTCAGGAGGCTGAGGGAGGACAATCGCTTGAACCTGGGAGGCAGAGGTTGCAGAGCGACACTCCGTCTCAAAAAACAAAACAAAACAAAACAAAAACCTGTCCCTTATTCCCAATTTCCCAGCTCAGCAAGTCAAGACTCACTGACCCAACACACCACACCTCTCTGCCTCCCTTTTTTTAATAGAGACAGTCTCGCTCTGTCACCCAGGCTGGAGTGCAGTGGTGCCATCTCGGCTCACTGCAACCTCCGCCTCCCAGGTTCAGGCAATTCTTCTGCCTCAGCCTCCCGAGTAGCTGAGACTACAGACACACGCCACCATGTTCAGCTAATTTTTGTATTTTTAGTAGAGACAGGGTTTCACCATGTTGGGCAGGCTGTTCTCGAACTGCTGACCCCAGGTGATCCACCAGCCTCGGCCTCCCAAAGTGCTGGGATTACAGGTGTGAGCCACTGCGCCTGGCCTCTGCCTCACTTTTCTAGAATCTCAGATGCTCTTCTCCCCAGGAAGAATTGGGTCAAAGATGGGTAAAAGTTATCAGCTCCAGGGGGAGCAGCGGGGACAGGGGACCACCATAGGAGGGAGAGGGACTGAGGCTGACCTGAGTCAGCCCACGGCCCCGTCTCCACTGCAAAGTCCCATGAAGGAAAAACGTGGCGTACCTGAAGTTATTCTACTAGGGCTCAGTAGTCAGAAACCCCCAAGACCACTTCTCTGTGTGGAGAAGGGCAGGGTTTTGCCAGAGCTCTTTGAAGGAGGGTGAGACTCACGTTTTGAACTCAGTTAATAAAGAAACAAATCCCCAAATGCCCTGTAATGGCCAGGCCCCCAACTCCCTGGAAAGCCTTGCAGAGTGGGCAGGATTCATGCTGAGAGGAAGAGAGTGAAGCACTGGGTCTACAGGATGATCCAAGGCTCATAAAGACATCAGTAGGAGTCTGTGAAGTGAAGCTGCTTTCCTGAGGTCAAGCCAGTTGTTTCCACCACACGGTTCTCACCTTCGTAACTCAGCAGTCTCTTGTCACCAAGCTAAAACCCAAAAGGTCCCTTTTTGGAGAATGGGATTTATTATTACCATAATATAGTGATCATTTCCAGCAAATTTTGAATGCCAGGGAAAACTACAGTTGTTAGGTGTGGAGAAAAATGTTCCCTCCAATTGCTGCCTTAAATCTCTCCACCAGGCTTTCATTCTCCCTTAGCATTTACACAACACTTCTTTGGAAATCCCAGCCTACTGCAGTCCAGCTAAGGAGAGCTAAGAAGGGGAATAAGGTGTGGTGTTGTTGATTTTTTTTTTAATTCAACACTTTATTCTTCATTTTTTTAGAAACAGGGGGCCATGCACAGTGGCCCACGCCCCTAATCTCAGCACTTTGGGAGGCCGAGGAGGCCAGATCACTTGAGGTCAGGAGTTCAAGACCAGCCTGGCCAACATGGTGAAACTCCATCTCTACTAAAAATGCAAAAAAGTAGCTGGGTGTGGTGGCGCATGCCTGGAATCCCAGCTACTCGGGAGGCTGAGGCAGGAGAATCGCTGGAACCCAGGAGATGAAGGTTGTAGTGAGTCGAGATCATGCCACTGCACTCCAGCCTGGGTGAAAGAGCAAGACTCTGTCTCAAAAAAAAAAAAAAAAGAAACAAACAGGGTCTCACTCTGTTACCCAGGCTGGAGTGGAGTGGTGCAATCACAGCTCACTGCCGCCTCAAATTACTGGGCTCACGTGATCCTCCCACCTCAGCCTCCAAGTAGCTGGAATTACAGGCATGAGTCACAACACCAGTGTGAAGGGAATGAGTTTTAAAAGAGGTATCACACCTTGGCCCCCGGTTCACCAGGGGCCAAATGAAGGACAGTGTAGGGATGAAGCTTCATGAATAGGCAGAGCTACCTCTCCCTACACATGTGGAAGGAGGAGAGAGAAGCCAGGGCAGTGCTTCTTATCAAAAGGCACTACAGGAGGATCCCGGGGCGTAGGGGTCTGGTCATGATTTCAGGCCTTCTTCAGGATCCATTAAGCAGACCTACCGACTGAGGGAAGAAGTAGGGTTTAGGGTCAGGCAGAGTCCTGATCCCCAGGGCCAGTTTCTGTGGGGCAGGAACATTCCCCCGTAAGAGTGGCTCCTCTGAAGAATGTGCCCTCTTACAACCTCCCCTAAAACTCTGCCCCCTCCAGGCTGCTATTTTTGTCTTTAGGGGTAGGGAGCTAATGGGAGGGAGCAGCCCCCCAGTGAACCAGGCAGGGGAAGAGCTAAGAGGTGAGCTCCCTTGGGCCAGCAGCTGAGAACATCCCACTGAATCAGAGACTGCTGAGTGGCCCCCGGAAAGCTCTCCAGAGAGAATCCAACCCCGTTTGTAGAAAAGGAAACCAAGCCAAAGACAGAACTTCCCGTCTGGCCTTGTAGAGTAAGGATGTTTCTCTCTAGGTTTGGTTGCTTTTCTTTACTCTGAACCAGAGAAACCAAGGCCACATCAGCAGAGAAATCAGTTCCCTTGTCCAGTCACTGCTTTCCGCTGGCTCCTTCCTAGTGGGCTCCAGGACCAGCCTCACTCTCTCTTTCCCTTTGCAATCTTAGTACCTGCAGGATCCCCCCTCCTGGGTGTGAGTGTCCCAAGAACTAACTTCTCTCCACTTTTCAGCCCTGCACTCAGGGAGGGTCTATTTAACCACACCCACGTAGGCAGAGAAAGTTGCAGATGTCTGCAGTGCTCCAGTGGAAAAGACCCTGGTGTTGAAGATGTCAGACTGCACTGATTTTAGAAAACCTTTCTCCTAACATTGTACCACAATGTTCTCCAACTTCCGTAAGGAAATGAAATTCAGTTTCTCAACAAGTCTTCTCTCACCTCTCTAGAAAGCCATGCTCTTCGCTCCCCTCCCCACATAACAGGAGAGTTTTGCTGGTTTTACCTGGGCTGCAAATTCTACCTCCCAGGGAAATCCTAAACCTGGCTTAGGATTTGGCTCCCCAAGGAAGAGTCTTTTCGGTGATCACCTGGGGCTCTCTACCTATTACCAGCCAGATCCATCTTACTTAAAAAAAAAAAAAAACTGAAGATGTTTTTGATTTTTTTTTTTAGTTTTAACCCGTTAAACTCAAATCAGATTGGTAAGTTACTTGCATAAATAACTTAGCTTGTAAACATTTAAAATACTTTTTTGAATGAACATATTTCAAAAGCAAATGTGTGTGAGAGAGAGAGGAGAAGGAAGAAGAATGTTTGTTGTTTATCTTTAGGGAAGAGGAAAACCTAGAAGTTTCATTTTCTGTTATATATTTGATTTTTGGTTTTTGGGTTTTTTTGTTTGTTTGTTTTTACAATAAGTTTGCGTTAATTTTAAGATCAGTAAAGTCAACAAAATTCCACTTTGACAAAAAGCCCATGTAAAGAAACACTAATTTATCCTTCTTAAATGAAACATGAATGCCCACCAGTGCTGAAAGTATTGGAACCAAGAATATAATTTGTGCTCGATACACCTGTGCTGAATTAAAACGGTCTGCGGTGATGAGGTTTAATGCAGAGGACTAGAAGGTCAGGGTAGCCTCTGAAAAAAGAAATAATGTAAGAGCAGCTGAGAAATGGGGAAAGCTTGGGCCAAAATGCAGATGGGCAAACAAACTGAAAGGCGGGAGAGACAAAGGCCTGCCCTGGGAATGGCTCAGCAGCGCTTGTAGAAATCCAGAGTAAGACATTCTTTCTATTCAAGGAAGTCACAAAGTTTTTTAAAGACCCGCGGTTACAGCCAATGAATGGAACCAATGGTCTTTTTAACCAGAAGACCCCAGGAAGGCAGAAAATGAGCCAAAGAAAGGCCAGGCAGGGGACAGTGGGGAAAGGAAACAGGGATGGAGAAGCAGAGAGGGAAGTGCAGAGACAGGTCACCCAGGCGCCTGGAAACTGCCTCTATGGCCTTCACGGGAAACGGCCTCTTTCTACTCCGGATCCCAGACTGTGTTTCTTTGAAACTGACCGTCAGAGGAGAGCGGCTGGAGGCGGACAGACGTCTGCAGTGGGAGGCGCTCCAGGCGTTCCAGGCAGTGTCCTGCCGGCGAGTCACCCGCGACCGCGAGTCACCTCACCAAGCCCTGAATTGGGACAGGAGACGAGACGTGTCGACGAGCTGCGGAGTTCCTCGCTTCTCTGGGCCCTGCCAGGTCCAAGAACAGGTTGCCATATAAAAGAATCGTGAAGGGACCCCCTTCCCCATGCAAATTATGTCATATAACGCATATGCCTGTGAAGTTTCTCTGCGGAGCTGCCAGATAACTCGATGACAATATTTTATGCGGTAACATTTTGTTAAATGTTGACTCGATGGCCACTTGACGCCATCTGAACTCTGAAAGCTCGCGTAACAATCATCCTCCAAATGAAATTTTACCCCCTTCTCCCTTTAAAAGGCGGTGGGGACAAAACATCACTTCGTCACTTAAGTCACCATCTCCTTCCTCTTATCTGGGGCTCCCAGCATAGTTCTAGGGGTTCCCGCACTCCCCGCCCGGGTTTGGGCTGCGAGAAGCGCCCGCCTGCGCCCTGCGGGACCTGACCCTGCCGGCTCTGGCTTCACCCTCGCTGCGCCTCGGCCCGGTGGGCTCCCCGCCCAGAGCCCCGCGCGCTCCGTCGCCGGGACGTGGGAGAGGTAGGCACGGGGTGGACCCGAGGAAGCACATCCCGCCCGCGCGCTTCCCCCACGCCCACCTCGCTCCGCACACACCAGCCCCAGAACCTCCCGGCCGCGCGCCCGCCTCCCCGCGCAGCCGCGCCGGGCCGCTCTCTGCTCCTCTGCAGCTCACAGCCAAGGTGCACCAGAGCCTCCGTCACCGCCCCTACAGGTAAATGGGCACGTGGCCAAGGCAGGGGACGGGCTAGACCCCTGGGAAGAGAGAACGGCGGGAGCCGGGCCGCGGGCGACTCACCACTCGGCCTGCGCAGAGAGCCGCTACACCCGCGGCGCCATCCTCGCACTGCGACACCGGCGACAAACGCAATGCTCCAGGGCCGGACGAAGGGACGGCTCTCGGGAGGCTCGCAGACGGCGGGGCGCGGGTCTGTGCGCCGGAGCACTCGAATGAGGGAACCACCTGCGAGGTGAATCTCATATGGAGTCTGCGAGCGGCCCCGCCCTGCCCGGGGGTTACCGCTAGGCTCGGGCCCCGCCTGCCCTGGGCCGGCGAACTCAGCTGACCGCATCCTGGGCCATCCCGCAGACAAGCCCCGCCCGCCCCCACCTTCCTCTGCCCCTCTGGCCCCGCCTCCCCCGCCTTCCTCCTCTCCACCCTCCCGCGAAGGTCCCGGGAGGCTCAGCCCGCAATTGCTTCTCGCCTCTGCAGAGCAGCTGGGCAATTGTAAAGAACCAGCAGCCAGTTCTGTTACTCATTAAACAGCCCCTACTACAGAGGAAATCTTCTTACCCACGTGGTCCTAACCTGGGGCGGAGGAAACCGGGCTAGAAGCGGCTCTAGGACTAACCCAAGGTCACGCCGCCAGGCAGGATCCCCGGTCTGTCTGTCTGGCGGTGGCCCCGCGGCTGGGGCCAGCGGAGAGAAATGACAGCGTGGAACCAGCCCTGGCCCGGTGGTCGGGAATGTGGAGCTGGCACTGTCACTGTGTGTACCCTGGATCTCTCTGGACGGCCTCGGCTTCCCCCCTGGGGAGTTTCTCTGGGACCTTCCTGATCCTGGGAGTTCCCGCTTGCTGGGGCAAAGCCAGGAGCTCGCCCGAGGAGGGGAAGTGACTCATTCACTTCGAGTCGCAGCTAAGTGGCCGAACTGCCTCAAACCGGCGCTGCACTCTGACCCCCAGGGGCCGGACCTGCCTGCCCCCGGCCGGTGCCCACTCTCCGTCTCAGGCGTCTTTCCTGGTCCTCTCCCTGCTTCCCGAACGCGCACTCTGGTGAGAGCACAGAGCCTGGGAAAGAAGACGACCTAGAGGCCCGGGCAGCCCAGCACCTCTGTTACTTGCTTCCTAAAGGGAACTCCAGTTCCTGAGAAAACATGGGGTTGGGCCGGGAGTGGTGGCTCACGCCTGTAATCCCAGCACTTTGGAAGGCCGAGGCGGATGGATCACCTGAGGTCAGGAGTTCGAGACCAGCCTGCCCAACATGGTGAAACCCCGTCACTACTAAAAATACAAAAAATTAGCTGGACGTGGTGTCGCGTGCCTGTAATCCCAGGTACTAGGCAGGCCGAGGCAGGAGAATTGCTTGAACCCAGCGAAGGATGCAGTGAGCCGAGATCGCGCCATTGCACTCCATACTGGGTGACAAGAGTGAAACACACAAACAAATCAAGGAAGGAATTAAGGGTTTTATTGAAAATGAAAGTACGGCCAGGCGCAGTGGCTCACACCTGTAATCCCAGCACTTTGGGAGGCCGAGGCGGGTGGATTACAAAGTCAGGAGTTCAAGACCAGCCTAACCAAGATGGTGAAACCCCGTCTCTACTAAAAGTAAAAAAAAAAAAAAAACAAAAAAAAAAACCTAGCCGGTCACAGTGGCAGGTGCCTGTAATTCCAGCTACTTGGGAGGCTGAGGCAGGAGAACCACTTGAACCTGGGTGGCAGAGGTTGCAGTGAGCTGAGATCATGCCACTGCATTCCAGCCTTGGTGACACAGTGAGACGCCATCTCAAAAAAAAAAGGTAAATGAAAGTACACTCCACAGTGTGGGAGCGGGCCTGAGCGTAGGGGCTCAAAGGCCCCATTCCAGAATTTTGGGGAGTTTCAATGTCCTCCGCTTGGGGCACACACTATGTAAATGAAAGGGATGATGCAAAGTTACAAAGTCATTTACTTGGCCTACGCAGAGGCTATTTCCTGTCATAGCTAAAGTGTGAATCGGCCTTATGTTCCCTGCCTCCAGACCCTATTTTGCTGCCTCAGACTGAAGACTGAAACTGGCCTGGTTAGGAAGTTGCTATTCTCTCTCTCTGAAGGTAGATTAACAACTTAGTTTTAGTTTTGTTACCGGAAAAGGGTCCCAATCCAGACCCCAAGAGAATGTTCTTGGATCTTGTGCAAGAAAGAATTCGGGGCCAGGGTGAGTCCACAGAGTAAAGTGAAAGAAGCAAGCTTATTGAGAAAGTAAAGGAATAAAAGAATGGCAATTCCATGGGCAGGGCAGCCTCTAGGGCTGCTGGTTGGCTATTTTTATGGTTATTTCTTGATCATATACTAAATAAGGGTGGATTATTCATGAGTTTTCTAGGAATTCTTCCTTTTAGAACATATAGGGTAACTTCTAAATGTTGCCATGGTATTTATAAACTGTCATGGTGCTGGTAGGAGTGTCGTTTAGCATGAGAATGCATTGTAATTAGCGAATAATGAGCAATGAGGAAGACCAGAGGTAGTTTTCCTCACCTTGCTGGTTTTTGGCAGGTTTTGGCCAGTTTTGGCTGGCTTCTTTACTGCATCCTGTTTCATCAGCAAGGTCTTTGTAACCTGTATCTTGTGATACCACCTGCCAACCTTCTATTTCATCCTGTGACTAAGGATGCCTAACCTCCTGGGAATGCACTCCAGCAGATCTCAGCCTCATTTTACCCAGCTCCTATTCAAGATGAAGAGTCTCTGAGTCGACTCCTGCTGACATATTTCCTGACTCTACAACCCTTAGGATTAAGGGTTCCCTTGTAAAAGGGAAGGGGGAATAACCAAATAACTCACCCCTTTCTTGGAAAACTCAGGAATAATCCACCCCTTGCTTAGCACATATTCAAGAGTAATCATAAAAAATACCCACCAGCAGCCCTTGGGGATGCTCTGCCTATGGAGTAGCCACTCTTTTATTCCCTTCCTTTCTTAATAAACTTCCTTTTACTGTTCTCTGTGGACTCACCCCAAATTCTTTCTTGTAGGAGATCCAAGAACTTTCTCTAGGGCTCAGGATCAGGACGCCTTTCCAGTAAGTTTGGTGACCTGAAACGTTAGCATGGGTGACTTTATTTTTATTTTTAGTCTTGTCTTTTGGGGCCTAGTGCAAGAGCTTAGTCTAAAACAATGGCCTCCTATAATTTGTGTTTAACATTTGTCAGGTTAAAACCTTGTCAGTGTGACAAACTGGAAACAAAATTGTGTCGGGCCACTACTAAACCACACCCAAAATACCTGTGTCATCAATGTTTGCAAGCAGAGAGCAAATGCAGCCCACCAATGGCCACCTAGAGCAGCAGCTGCTAGAGGCAGGAAAGTCTGGAAGAGACCCAGGGCTTGCAGGCTCAGCCAGGATCCCCCTGCTCCTCAACAAGGTCTTTGGGCTCTTTCAGAGATGCAGTTGGCCCTGAGCTCTGAGAGGTGGGGAGGGAAGGGGCTGAGAGGCTGAAGGCCAGGCCACACCAGATAGTGACACACCACTGCCCTTCAGGTTTCCCAAATCTAAGTAACTTCAAACTCTTTGAAATTCTCCCAAAGCTAATGTGTCTACCTAAAAGAAAGATGAGACAAAATTAACATAGAGAGTTTATTTGTGCCCAGGTTGAGGACTGTAGCCCAGGACACACTTCTAAGTTGCCATGGGGAGTGCTCCAAGAACAAAAAGGAGGCTCAAGTTTTTAAAGAAAAAAGAACAACTCAGGAGATGGGGCGATTGCAGAGTTGTCAGGAATCCTCATTGGTTTACAGAAATAACATTGGTTAGTGATTGCCCACACAGTGTTGAACTATAGGGTGGATGGCATCTTATGGCTAATTGGCCTCAGTTATTCTACAGCCACATAGCAAGTGGCTTCAAGAGGTAACCACTTAGCTGAAGGGGAAGTGAGCCATGACTGCTGTTCTGTTCTAAATGTTCTCTGGGCCTGATAATTTAAAGGCTCACCTTCCTCAGGAAAAGAAATGTGTTTGTTGTTTGTTTGTTTGTTTTCTTTCTCAGATAATATTTTAGAGATAGTAGCTGAGGCTTCTTCTCTGTTTGTCCTCACTTCCCAATTCCTCATGCAATTGCTCTTTTCTTTCCAATCCAGCAGCCATACAGATTTCTAGAACACCCCTCAGAGAGGGCAGAAATTGAGCCGCAGTGTTTTCTAAACAGCTGCCTGGTCCATTCGTGGGTCATGAAACCCATGTGGTGGGTCACAGCTAGCATTTTCATTGTCAGTGAGACAGAATGGAGTGAAAAAGCCTCTGCCTGCTTTCCACACCAGAGCACGTACTTTTATCACACGAACTATGACTCAGACACCACAAACCCAGACCAGGCCTCCAGGTCAGAAGTTGACTCCCCTGAGGCCTGTGGTGAGACTACAGCATGACTCAGACCCCTGAGATTTCAAATTCTTGCCAAAATACAAAAAGTGAGATTCTTCCCGCCAACTCTCACTCATCATATAGAGCTACTCAGTCCCCTGACCCACCCCCAGCTCAGATAGGCTCACAGTGGCAGGCCCACTCCCCTGGCAGCTGAGTCCAGTCTGATGAGCCATCACTTTCCCAGGTTGCTGGTCCTAGTAGTCAACAAAGAGAGTCAAACTCTGTAAAATATTTGAAGAGATTTATCCTAAGCCAAATGTGAATGACCATGGCCCGTGACACAGCAAACGGCCCTCAGGAGGTTCTGAGGACACGTGCCCAAGGCGGTCAGGGTGCAGCTTGGTTTTATATGTTTTAGGAATGCATGAGACAGCAATCAAATACATTTAAGAAATACATTGGTTTGGTCCAGAAAGGCAGGACAACTCAAAGCGGGGTAGGGGGCAGGGTTCAAGGCTATAGGTAAATTTAGACATTTTCTGGTTTACAATTGGTTGAGTTTGTCTAAAGACCTGGATTGATAGAAAGGAAATGTCCAGGTTAAGATAAAAGATTGTGGAGACCCAGGGTATTTGAAGTCTTATAGTGGCTGCCCTTAGAGACAATAGATGACAAATGTTTCCTATTCAGATCTTTAATAAAAGGTGCTAGACACTTAGTTAATCTCTTTTTTTTTTTTTTTTTTTTGAGATGGAGTCTCACACTCTCACCCAGGCTGGAGTGCAGTGGCGCGATCTCGGCTCACTGAAAGCTCCGCCTCCCAGGTTCATGCCATTCTCCTGCCTCAGCCTCCCGAGTAGCTGGGACTACAGGCGCCCGCCACCACACCCAGCTAATTTTTGTATTTTCAGTAGGGACAGGGTTTCACCATGTTAGCCAGGATGGTCTCGATCTCCTGACCTTGTGATCCACCTGCCTCGGCCTCCCAAAGTGCTGGGATTGCAGGCGTGAGCCACCGTGCCCGGCCAGTTAATCTCTTTAAAATTGGGAGAGCCTGGAAGAAAAAGCTCTAGCTATGTTAATAGAGATTTTTTACAGATGCAAATTTCCCCCACAAAGGACAGCTTTGCAGGGCCATTTCAAGATATGGCAAAGAAACATGTTTTGGGATAAAATATTTTTATTTTCTTCCCTGTCTCGTAATGTTATGCCAGAGTCAGGTTGGAAAGTAAGTCACGATATATAGGGTTAAATAAAACCCATCTCATGAGAATTCATTGTTTATAGGGCATGACTCCCCAGACCCCTTAGATAAGAATTGGCAAGATAAAAAAAAACGTCAGAGCTTAGTCCTCACAGTCAATGGCTAGCCTCCAAGGAAGTGGAGGATTCCCACAGGATTCCAGCTGCCCAGAGGCTTCACAGGCATATCCATGTTTACAGAAAAGATACAGGCCATGAGATATTTATACAAAACACTTAGGAGTCACAGCCAGCTACCCAACGGATGCCAATGGCTGACTGGTTCTTGCCCTCTCAGTCTTCACCTTTAGGAGAGGTGGTGCTGGCAGGATGTGGTATTTCTCATTCAGGGCCTCTGGAACCATCTAATCTAGGAAACACCCTTGTCTCATGCCTTGCTGCCACACAGCTCCATTTGCTCTCCAGTTTTCCAAGAAGCCTTCTACCTGACTGGTTTTGCTCTAAACCACTATCTCAGACTGAAATTCTTCACAAATTCCACCCAGGAATAATAAGGGTTCATTTCTGAACTGGACTCAGCATGCCATATGACCCATGGAGATATTTTCCTCATGAGATTTGACACAGGGGTCATTGGCCATGCCGCACCCTAGCTGATGACTGGGCAAGTTACCAAAAACCATCTGAGCCAGCCTCCTCGTCTACGCAGGGGAATAATATGGTTCTGCAGGATGGTTGAGGTCAGGGAAAAATGTATTCAAATTAGCAAATTCTTGCCAAAATACAAAAAGCGAGATTCTTCCCACCAACTCTCACTCATCATATAGAACTACTCAGTGCCCCATGTATACAAATGTAACAAGCCTGCATGTTGTGCACATGTACCCTAAAACTTAAAGTATCATAGTAATAAAATTTAAAAAAAAAGAAGGCTTTTCTGGTTCATTGTTCTGTTTGTTATTCTGCTGCTTATGTTTAGAAAACACGCAGAGAGCTAGGATGAGGCATTCTTGGAGCCACCTCGTTAGAAAAATGAAGTCTGCTGCCTTGCTTTCACAATGGCTGGTAAGAGTATAGTTTTAATCTATCATTGTTTCCTTATGCTTGCTATCTCACATGCCAGGTAAAGCTATTTGCTCCCTCGTCTCACTCTATCCCATTTGTACCCCTAGGTAGGAGAATGTGGTCTGGAAAATGAGGTGTCACTGGTGATCAGACATCATCACTTTTCTAGTGACTGTCAGCTTAGTTTTGTCCTACAGTTGTCTTGATTTCCAGCTAGGTAATGAGTGTGACATATCTTTAAGGTTTGGGTGTGCCAATGTACTGGAGACAGAAAATTGACTCACTAATTAAACCATAGCCTGAAACTTGCATGTTCAATACAGGCCTGCAATTTCCTTTACCTAGGCTTGGTCTCAGGTATTCTTCATAGTAAAGGTGATATTGCTATTGTATCACTATGACTCATGGTGTTAGGACACCAAATTCCTCATTACATCTTTATTTTAAACTTCTAAACTAGTATAGCTCCTAGGATTAAAAGGATTGCAGATTTTTAATTTTTTTAAAAAAGAGGCAGTATTTAGGTGTACCTGGTAGGGGAGAGAACAAGCATAAGGAAAAATGAATAAATTGGGGCTGTACTGTTACCAGCCATTTTGAAGACAAGGTAAAGCTTTTTCATTTTTCTGATGAGGCAGCTCTGGGAATGCATTATCTTGGTTCCCTGCATGTTTTCTGGGCATGGGAAGCAGCATAACAAACAGAACAAAGGAGTAGAAAGCTTTCTATTTCTTACCCCATGCAATTGTTTGATTTTGAGATTTGAGCTAGGTATTTCAAGGACTGCCATTAACCAGCTATGTAACCTGGTGTTAACTGTTAAGTTTTACTCACTTCAAATTTGCTTTTGTTTCTCCAAAACGTTTTGCGCATTTATAAGATAAATAAAAATCAGCATTTTTAGAAGGCAGCTATGATCACCACTCTACCACCAATGCCACGAAAATCTGTATTCTTGATTACCTGCTGGAAATAAAAATGTAATTGCTAAAATACTCAGTATAAGTTAAGTGATACAAGTAAAGATCTATCATGTGTTAAGTTTCAAGTTTCACTTAATGTTCTTAATAAAATAATGGTAGTTTGAATTCTCTACAAATATGTTCAGCCTATAATATTCTAAATTTACAGATGCTTGAGAACACATAATATTTTTGATTAACTGAATGTCAAACTATTATCCTACCTTGTAAATAGCATAGAAATTTTAACTATAGTCTTTAAAAAGTCAAATTTCATTGGTAGGGAAGTGTAAATGTATGATTTTTTTAAAACACAACATTAAAAGGTTGAGGTTATAACTTTCATAAAGATGAAATCACTATTTAAAAGCTGCACATACACTGATTATTATTGTTTGTCTTAGAAGATGTATCTTTAAATTGCTGGAAGACATCATGAATATTTTCATTGCTAATTATTGGTAAAGTCTTTAGTATATGTCAGTTCTGTTTGTGTGGGTATGGTTGCTGTAGTGCGGCTTAACAAAAACAATGCTTCATATCAGTGAAAGCTCTTCTTTGGTTTAATTTGGGTTGTGGTTATATTGTTTTTTCACATCACGTGAGCTGATTGCAAGGGGTTAACCCAAAATGAGCCACTTCACTTAAAATTATTCTATATGTTAGTTTGTGAATTCTGTTGTTGGTATTTAAATGTATATCATAGTTTAATCATATCACATAAAGTTGTGATTTCAGGAATACTTTATATTTCTTTTGCTGTTTTTGCTTGTGACAATTGACTAGTCCACCACATAGAATTTCTTAGTCTTTCTAACACTAGTTGAACATTTGAACTGACCAGATGATTTTATGGAAAGAGCATGAGACAATGGAAGTCAAATCTCTGTTCTATACCTTGCTTTGCCCCTTTCTGGCTACAGGAGCCTCAGAAGTCACTCCGAGATGCAGCAAAGTGCAGGGGATCAAACCATTGATTGCTGAATTTGAGTCTTACTTTCGTCATTTATTATTAGCTGTGTGACAGCTGGTAAATTAACTTAATCTCTCTGTCTCTGTGTTTTCATTTGTAAATGGTATTAATATTAGTGCCTCTCCCCCAGGGTTCTTAAGAAGATTAAAACAGTTGATATTTGTAAAGTACTTAGAATATTGCCTGTACAGCTAATTATTTAATAACATTTTAATGTGATGTGACCTCATTAGATCTGATGTCTACAAACAGTACTTTGAGTTTGAGAATTGTTATCATTTTAAGTGTTTCTTGCCTTTGTTTTCAGTATATCTTGAAATTATTAAACTTCGACTGGTGAAAAAAAAAAAAAAAACTACTCAGTGCCCTGAGATACCTTCTATATCCCTGCTTTTTTAAAAACTTCAGGTTGGTTAAATCTTACATCTATGTTGTCATAGATCAGCAGTCCTCAATTTTTTGGCAGATATTTTTTCTACAGACGTGGGGGTATGGGGGCGATGGTTTCAGGGTGATTCAAGCACAGTTCATTTATTGCTCATTTATTTCTATTACATTGTAATATATAATGAAATATTAAATAATTATGCAATCCATTATCATGCAGAATCAATGGGAGCCCTGAGCATGTTTTCCTGCAACTAGACAGTCCCACCTGGGGGTGATGGGAGATAGTGACAGATCACCAGGCATTAGATTTTCATAAGGAGCATACAACCTAGATCCCTCACATGCACAGTTCACAATAGGGTTCATGCTCCTATGAGAATCTAATGCTGCCCCTGATCTGACAGAAGGCAGAGCTTGGGTGATAACATGAGCAACGAAAAGTGGCCATAAATACAGACGAAGCTTTGCTCATTCACCTCCTGCTCACCTCCTGGTGTGCAGCCCAGTTCCTAACAGGCCATGCACTGGTTCTGATCCATGGTCCAGGGATTGGGGACCCCTGGCAGAGATGACCCTTAAAGGTGTGCTGATATAAATTACTAAGGGGTTCACTGTTCATTTTCTGGAAGTGCTTTTTGGCTTAGGAAGCCAAAAAGCATGTGGTGTGGAAATGTCCAGGAATCTGTGAGAGGACAAGTGCTGTCAGATCATCCAGGTGCCTTGAGCTGTCCCCATGGGTTCCTTTCCTGCTCTCTGAACATGTCCTGCTGCTGCTCCACGCCTTTCCACTCAGTGTTCACTCACCCTGCAGGCGTCTTCTCTTCCTTCCTCATTTAGGTCTCAACGTAAAGGTCATCTCCCAGATAGCCTTCCCTGAACCCCAGTTCTTCTAGAGCCCTATTCCTGAAATTCTAGCCCATTGACCCCTGCATTTTTTAAATTGCATTTTAATTGATTATGAAGTTTTAAGGAATAACACAGAGGGATCCCTTGTACTCCTTAACCTGGTTTCCCTCAGAGGTAATGTCTTGAAAAACTATAGGAGGGTGTCACACCCAGGATATGGCATTAACATAATCCACCAATCTTCAGATTTCCTGTTTTTCTGGTACTCATTTTGTGCTGGATTTAGTCCTATACAATTCTGTCACAGTGAGGCCGGGCACGGTGGCTCACGCCTGTAATCCCAGCACTTTGGGAGGCCAAGGCAGGAGGATCACGAGGTCAGGAGATCAAGACCATCCTGGCTAATACCGTGAAACCCCGTCTCTACTAAAAATACAAAAAAAAAATTAGCCGGACATGGTGGCGGGTGCCTGTAGTCCCAGCTACTCAGGAGGCTGAGGCAGGAGAATGGCCTGAACCCGGGAGGCAGAGCTTGCAGTGAGCCGAGATCGCGCCACTGTACTCCAGCCTGGGTGACAGAGCGAGACTCCGTCTCAAGGAAAAAAAAAAAAAAAAATTCTGTCACAGTGTGATACCATCGCAGTCAAGATCCTCAGCAGTTTCAGGATCCCTCATTTGGTCTTTTATAGCTCACCCATCTCACCCCCAATTCCCCTTCACCCACTCCAACCCTAAGCCTGGCATCCACTAATCTGTCTTCCATTCCTAAAATTTTACCATTTCATGAATGTTACATACATGGAAACATACAGTGTGTAACCTTTTGGAATTGGCTTTTTTCACTCCACATAACTCCTCAGACTTTCACCCATGTTGTGTGTATCGGTAGTTCATTCCTTTTTATTGCTGAGCCATATACCATGGTGTGATGTGCCATAGTTTAACGACTCACTTGTTGAAAGACATCCAGGCTGTTTTCAGTGTTAGGCTATTAAGAATAAAGCTGGCATGAAATTTCATGTATGCAATTACCATACAACTCAGCAACAACTTTTCTTCCCTCTTGGATAAATGCCCAGAGTGCACTTGCTGAGTGGTATGGTAATTGCATGTTTAGTTCTATAAGAAGTTGCCCAACTATTTTTCAGAGTGGCTATAATGTTTTATATCTGTTATCTAACTGAAATAGAGTCCACTCACCTGGCATGGGAAAACCAGTTATCCACACTGAGGTTTGTAGGCACCAAGTAAGGAGCATCAGCCAGCTCACACTTAAGTCCTGAGCTCCCTGATGCCTATCAGCTAAGGGTTTTTTGTTTTGTTTTGTTTTGTTTTTGTTTTGAGACAGTCTTGCTTTGTCACCCAGGCTGGAGTGCAGTGGTGCAATCTCAGCCAACTGCAGCCTCTGCCTCCCGGGTTCAAGTGATTCTCCTGCCTCATCCTCCCGAGTATCTGGGACTACAGGTGCCTGCCATCATGCGGGGCTAATTTTTGTATTTTTAGTAGAGACGGGGTTTCACCACGTTGGACAGGCTGGCCTCAAACTCCTGACCTCAGGTGATCTGCCCGCCTTGGTCTCCCAAAGTGCAAGGATTACAAGCCACCACACCCAGCCAGGTAAGGCGTTTTTAAGGCAGGGGTAATTTCAGGAAAGCACACGCTACAGGCAAAATTTTAAATCAATACATGGAGGTCACACATTGGTTTTGGCCTAAAGGATGGGCTATGAAATGGGAGCTTTCAGGTCACAGGTTAATTCAAAGATACTCTGATTTCCAACTGGCTAGGGAAGAGAAGCTTTGTTTTAAAATTTGGGGTCAGCAAAGAATGTTACTTCTGGCTCATGGCTGTGACTTCCTCCAGACCCCTCAGGAAAAAATTTAAAATGAAGAATGATAGTCAAGAGTTCAGTCCCCAGTTCCCCTTATCTGAGGTCTATGTGCTGGCAGATCCATTTGGTAGGGGTCTGGGTTCCTGAAAAACAACTCAGGGACATATGTGAAGCTATTATCTTTAGCTTCTGTAGGGGAACCAAACATCCTGTGATTCTAGCTTCCTCGGCTATTGTTCTAAGCTACAGTTACCTTCTTGCTTATCAGGTTGCTTATGTACTTCTCAGGGCCAGCTACATGCCTAGAATTTCCCTTGAAGAAACTCAGGATTTTCCTTTATTGCTGTGCTTGAAGGATGGGGGAACTGCAGGTCCCTAAGAGAGGTGTCCTTGCTCCATCTCACATTCCCACAAGCAATTTATGAGAGATCCAGGTTCTTTGCATCCTCACCAGTATTTAATGTTGTCATTTTTTAAAATTTTAGGGATTCTGATGGATGTGCAGTGATGTTTCAGTGTCTCATTGTGGTCTTAATTTGCCCTTACTGGTGGCTAATGATGTTGAGCTTGTTTTGTTTTTTTTTTTTTTGAGATGGAGTCTCGCTCTGTCATCCAGGCTGGAGTGCAGTGGCGCGATCTCGGCTCACTGCAAACTCTGTCTCCCAGGTTCATGCCATTCTCCTGCCTCAGCCTCCCAAGTAGCTGGGACTACAGGCACCCACCACCATGCCTGGCTAATTTTTTGTATTTTTAGTAGAGACAGGTTTCACCATGTTAGCCAGGATGGTCTCGATCTCCTGACCTCGTGATCCACCCGCCTCGGCCTCCCAAAGTGCTGGGATTACAGGCGTAAGCCATTGCGCCTAGCCGATGTTGAGCATCTTTTGATGCTTATTGACATCTGTATATCTGCTTTGGTGAAATATTTGTTCATATCTTTTCCCCATTTTCTAATTGAATGGTTTGGGTTTTCTGTTGTTGTTGTTATTGTTATTCTTGTAGAGATTTGAGAGTTCTTTGTATATTCTAGATATCAGTCTTTTGTTGAGTACGTGTTTGCAAATATTTTTTCCCTGTTTTAGTTTGTCGTTTTATCCTCTTCATATATTTGAACTGTCATAGAGCATTTTTAAAAATTTCTGATTTTTTTTTTTTTTTTGAGACACAGTCTTGCTGTGTTGCCCAGGCTGGAGTGCAGTGGCGTGATCTCAGCTCACTGCAACCTCCACCACCTGGGTTCTAGCTATTCTCCTGCCCCAGCCTCCAGAGTAGCTAGGATTACAGGTGCCCACCACCATGCCTGGCTAATTTTTATATTTTTAGTAGAATCAGGGTTTCACCATGTTGGCCAGGCTGGTCTTGAACTACTGACCTCAAGTGATCCACCTGCCTTGGCCTCCCAAAGTGCTGGAATTACAGGCGTGAGCCACCATGCCTGGCCTTAATTTTCAATTTGATTTTAATTTTTAATTCATATATCATCCCTTTTGTGAATTGTGCTTTTGTTGTCAAGACTCTCTTCCCAGCCCTAGATCCTGAAAATTTCCTTTTATGTTTTTTTCTAAAAGTTTAACAGTTTTCTTCTTTGCAGTTAAGTTTATGGTCTGTTTTTAGGTGTGATGGTTGGGTGAAGATGATTTTTTTTTTTTGCCTATGGATATCCGGTTGCTGTAGGACCATTCATTGAAAAGGCTATCCTTCTCTGTTGAATTGCTTTGGCATTTTGTCAGAGTTTAGTTGAGCTTATTTGTGTGGGTCTGTTTCTGGGTTTTCTATTCTGTTCGAGTCGTGTGTGTGTCTGTCCCTCTTCTGTCGATACTGTACTCTTTTCATCACTATACTAGGCTTTAATATAGGGTAGAGTGATTTTCCTGTTAGATTCTTCTTTGTTAAGATGTTAAGCTATTCCAAGGCCTATCCCTTTCCATATACTTTTTTTTTCTTGAGACAGGGTCTTGCTCTGTCTCCCAGACTGGAGTACAGCCGTGCGATCATGGCTCACTGCAGCCTTCACTTCCTGGGCTTAAGTAATCCATCTGCTTCAGCCTCACTTGTAGCTGGGACCACAGGTGTGTGCCACCATGCCCACCTAATTTTTTAATTTTTTTATACAGACAGGATTTCACCATGTTTCTCAGACTGGTCTCAAACTCCTGGGCTCAAGTGATCCTCCCATCTCAGCCTCTCAAAGTGCTGGGATTACAGGTGTGAGCCACTACACCCAGCTCGTATAAATTTTAGAACACACACATCTATGTCTGCGAAAAAATAAAATAAAACAAAACATACTGGGATTCTGATAGAGATCGTATCAAACCTATAGATCAATTTGGGTAGTGACTAAGCCTCTCTTTTTTTGACCAAGCTTGAGTCAGATTCCTCTGAGTCCCCTTTCTTTTTTTTTTTTTTTTTTTTTTTTTTTTTTAATGGAGTCTCGCTCTGTCACCCAGGCTGGAGTGCAGTGGCGCTATCTCGGCTCACTGCAGCCTCCGCCTCCTGGGTTCACGCCATTCTCCTGCCTCAGCCCCCCGAGTAGCTGGGACTACAGGTGCCCACCACCACGCCTGGCTAATTTTTTTGTATTTTTAGTAGAGACGGGGTTTCACCGTGTTAGCCAGGATGGTCTCGATCTCCTGATCTCGTGACCCACCCGCCTCAGCCTCCTAAAGTGCTGGGATTACAGGTTGAGCCACTGCACCTGGCCTCTGAGTCCCCTTTCTGACTAGAACCTGATCTGTCCTTAGTCCATAGTATATGTCCACTTAGTTGAGTTTTAGCAAGAATCCTGCTGAGTTAATTTAGCAAAAGTCCCGTATGCTTGATATCTGATCAAATTTCTAATTATTTGCCCTAGATACCTTATCACCTTGCCTTGTCTTCAGCAAGTAGGTTGATTCAGTTTAGCCAGAATCCCCTTAGCCTAGATGTTTTCTCTTAGTAATTTTCTATCTACTGACCCTGTACAGCTCCTTGGCTGTAAATTCCCACTTATCCTTGTATTAGTTGTTGAACCCAGCTGTAACACCTGATGGGTTCGTCCTGGCTGTTGCACAGACAAAACCAGTTCACTGAGACCATGGTATTGCAGTAAAGAAAGAGTTTAATTAAAGCAAGGCAGCTGAGCAGAAGGACTGGGGTTATCACTCAAATCAGTCTGAAAACTCAGAGACAAGTTTTTATAGATAACTTGGTGGGTAGGGGGCTAGGGAATTGGTGCTGCTGATTGAAAAATTGAGCCAGCCTCTGGGTGTGGGCTACATGCCTGGTAGAGCCATGAGTCATGGCTCCAGATGAAGTCAGCTGGTTGCCAGAAGGCAAAAATCTGAAAACCATCTCAAAAGACCAATCTTAGGTTCTACAATAGTGATGTTATCTACAGGAGCAATTGGTGAAGTCACCAATCTTGTGACCTCTGGCCACATGACTCCTGGGAAGTAAAGAATTATAGAAACTGTGCCTACATTTTAGCAGAGTTCAGGTCCCTCCCATGATCCTAATCTCATGGCCTTTCACTAATTTTGAGTCCCTGAGCAAGGAGGGGCTTAGTTTTAGGGAAGTGCTATTGTTATCCTTGTTTCCAACTTAAACTATAAACTAAATTCCTCCTGTGATTAGCTTGGCCTATGTGCAGGAATGAGTGAAGACAGTCAGCCTGTGAGACTAGAAGCAAGATGTTGTCAGCCATATTAGGTTTCTCTGTCAAAATTTTTGCAAATATGCTTTCACAATCTCTCTCTCCTACTGTAAAAACCCATCACAGTGGTGCCTATATCTGTTGCAAAAGTCCTGAATAAAACCTCTCTACTATCTTTAATAAGAGTCATGAATAATATTTTTCTTTAACAGTAGAAATGACATGTTTACTATGTTGAGCCTTCTAATCCACACAGTATGTCTCTCTACATATGTAAGTCTTTTAAAAACTTTGTCATCAGCATTTTGTAATTTTGAACAGGCAGGTCCTGTACATGTATTGTTAAGTGTATACCTAAGCAGTCCATTATCTTTGGAGTGATCATAAATGGCATTGTGTTTTAAATTTTTCAATTCTTACATCTTCATTGTTGTGTATAGAAGAGTGATTTATTTGTATGTCTGGGTTTTTTAAACTGCAACATTACTGGACTCACTTATTAGTTCTAAGAGTGTTTCTGTAGATTCTTTGGGAAATCTTACACAGACAATCATCTCATTTACAAACAGAGACAGTTTTATTTCTTCCTTTCCCACTTGTATGCCTTTTATTTTCTTTTTTTCCCTTGCTTCAGTGGCTAGGCCTTCCAGTACTATGATGAATAAGAAGGGTGAGAGTGGACATCCTTGCTTTGTTTCTGGTCATTGGAGGAAAGCATCATTTCATCTTTCACTATTAAATATGTTAACTGTAGGGTTTTTTGTGGATGTTCTTTATCAAATTGAGGTAGTTCCTCTTGATTCCTAATTTGCTAAGAGCTTTTATCATACGTAGATACTGAATTTTGCCAAATGCTCTGTGTCAATTTATAGAATCATGTGATTTTTCTTCTTTAGCATATTTACATGGCAAACTACACTAAACTAACTGATTTTTGAATGTTGAACCACCTTGCATACCTGTAATAGATTTCACTTGGTAATTGGATATAATTATTTTTACACATTCTTGAATTCTGTTTGCTAATATTTTCTTGAAGATTTTAAAATCTAAATTTATAAGAAATATTGGTCTGCAGTCTTCCTCTTCTATGCTGTGCTCATCTCATTTTGGCATCAAGATAATACTGGCCTCATGAAATAAGTTGAAAAGGGTTCTCTCCTCTTTTAATTTCTAAAAGAAATGGTGTAAAATTGGCGTTAATTCTTGAAACATTTTGTTGAATTTCCCATTGAAACCATGTGGGAAACCTCCAAGTTGTGAGGAATTATGAATTCAATTTTTTGAATAGGTATAGAACAATTCAAGCAGTGTATTTCATCTTGGTTGAGTTTTGGTAGTTTGTGACTTTTGAAGAATTCATTTATTTCTTATAAATCACTAGGTTTATGAAGGTAAAGTTGGTCCTAGTGTTTTTTTCTACCATCTTTTTAATGGCTGCGATGTCTGTTGTGGTATTCCCTATTTCATTATTGATATTGGTGTTTGTATCTTCTTTCTTTTTATTCTTATCAGTCTTGCTAGAGATTTGTTGATTTTATTGATTTTTTCAAGAACAAACTTTTGTTTCATTGATTTCCTCTATTGTTTTTCTATTTTCAACTTTATTGATTTCTGCTCTAAGCTTTATTGTTTCCTTTCTTCTGCCTTCTCTGGGCTTAGTTTGCTACTTTTGTATAGTTTTTTGAAGTGACAACCTAGAATATTGATTTGAAGCCTGTCTTCAATTCTAATATGGGCATAAATTTTCCTCTCAGCATTGCTTTAGCTGCATCCCACAAATTTTGATGTAGAGTTATTCCTCAATTAGCACTGGAGATACATTCTGAGAAATGCACCATTAGACAATTAGACAATTTCCTCATTGTAAAAACAGCGTAGAGCATACTTCTACAAACCTAGATGGTATACCTAACATATCTAGGCTGGGTTATATGGTATATCCTATTGTTCCTAGGCTACAATCCTGTACAGCATAGTGCTATGCTGAATAGCGCAGTCAATTGTAGCACAATGGTAAGTATTAGTGTATCTAAACATACAAAAACACTGAAAATGTAATTTAAAATACAGTATTGTAGTCTTATAGGACCACAGTTGTATATGAGCTCTGTCATTGACAGAAATATTATTACATGGTACACGACCATTTTGTATTTTCATGTGTTGTAAGTGAAGTGAGTTTCTTATAAACAGCATATAGTTGGGTTGTAGTTTTCTGGTTTTTTGTGTGTTTTGTGTTTTGTTTGTTTGTTTGTTTTTTGAGATGGAGTCTCGCTCTGTCACCCAGGCTGGAGTGCAGTGGCGCGAGGGAAAGTGCGTGTCTTTCTACTGCACATTGCACACCTTTGCACATGTAATATACACGGTGTAATATGTAATATACACGGTGTAATATGTAATATACACTGTGCATTGTAATATACACTGTGTAATATACAATAATATACACTGTGTAATATATTATACACTGTGTATATGTAATGTAATATGTAATATACACTGTAATATACAGCTATGTAATATACTGTGCATTGCTATGTAATATACACTGTGCACTGTAATATACACTGTGCACTGTAATATACACTGTGCATTGTAATATACACTGTGCATTGTATGCTATGTAATATACACTGTGCATTGCCAAGCAGTTTGGACATTTATTCTTTTCTGCTTATTTCTCCCCTGTTGCCTTCTGTGTCCCACACCACCTCACCCCATGGCAGTTGGCTGCCCAAAGCAGGTCTATCTCAAAAGAAATGATGGTGTTAGCTTTCCCTTGCACAACCTTGAGATATCAGAAAGCCTTTCTAGGTAACATCCTAAGTGGAGATCTTGGTGTCCTTGTCCTGTAAACTACTTCAGCCCCAGGTCTGAGTGAGTGGAAAGATTAAGTGTTTTATACTCCACTGGCAAAGCACAAATACTGCACCAAATGAAAATAAAATTCTTTAAGTAAGGGTTTTCAAAAGGTGGCATCCAATTTGCGTGTATCGTATGGGGTAATGCAAAGGCTGGAACACAGTAAAACAAGAAAGGAAAGCGCATAAAGGTCCAGAGGTGGACAGGCATCTGTCTGACACATGCTATGTGATAGCAGGGAAGTCACTTAACCTCTCTGAGTTGCTGTAACTCAGCAGACCTCCAACATTTTGGTTTCAGGACCCCTTTACACTCTTAAAAATCACTGAAGACTTCAAAGAAATGTGTATGTAGGTATTTAGCTATTGATGTTTATTATATTAGAAATTAAAACTAATATATTTAGCCTATTTACTTATTAATTTATTTTAAAGTAACAATAATTAACCCATTATATTAGTATAAATGACATGTATATGAAACATAACTATATCTTTACAAAACAAAAAAAAGTGTGAGGAGTGGCATAATTCTACATTTTTGCCAATTCCTTCACTATCCAGCTTAATAGAGACAGTTAAATTCTCAGGTCTGCTTCTGCATTTAATCTGAAATAGAATCATATGTCATATAGTACAGTAAACACTGTTGAATATAGGGAGAAAATAAGAGAAAGAGATAAATACAGTTTTTAAATTATTATGAAAATTGTTCTGACCTAGCAGACTCCTGAACAGGTCTTGGGTATTCCCAAGCACCCTTGGGAACATGCTCTGAGAACCACTATTTTATCTAAAAAGTGGATCTGAATCCTATTTTCCCTTGAAGAGCTGCAGGTAGCTCACACTCCAGATGGCACCTGGTGTCTTAACTCGTGGTCGCCATCATGTACAGATTAAACTCTCACCAGGGCATTTAGACTGGGATGGCGGAGACCCAACTGTCAGGTTTCATGAATTTTGACTCCCTTTTCTCAGAACTGGAAGAAGACCTAGCAACGCTGTTGTCCTTCCCACTTGACTGAGAGATGAGGAGCTTGCAGCTGTAGCCTGGCACCACATAACTGACGACGTGCTTCTCAGTGTCCATGCTGAGTATTGCTTGTGTATGGTGTGAGGTATGGATCTAATTTTCTCTTTTTCTCTTTTTTTCTATCGAAATGGCTGTATACTTGTCCCATGTATTAAAAACTTTATTTTCTCGGTCATTATGCGATGCCACCTTCATTATACACGTATTTACCTATGTCTGTAGTTGTATTATTTTTTCATCTTTTCCACTGACCTGTTTGTCATTCATGTGCCAGAACCACACTGTTTTATTATGAAGGCTTTTTGGTATGTTTTACTTTTTAGTTGGCCTAGTCTCCCTTGTAGATTTTCCTTTTTAACTGTTTTCATTCTATTCTTGCATATTTTCTTTTCTGTAGGGATTTTTTTTTTTTTTTTTTTTTTTGACAGGGAGTCTCACTCTCTCGCCCAGGCTGGAGTGCAATGGCACAATCTCTGCTCACTGCAACCTCCTTCCAGGTTCAAGTCATTCTCCTGCCTCAGCCTCCTGAGTAGCTGGGATTACAGGCACCTGCCACTATGCCTGGCTAATTTTTGTACTTTTAGTAGAGACAGGGTTTCATCATGTTAATCAGGCTGGTCTTGAACTCCTGACCTTAGGTGATCCGCCCGCCTTGGCCTCCCAAAGTGCTGGGATTATAGGCGTGAGCCACCAAGCCTGACCTCTGTAGGGATTTTAGTATTGACTTCAAAAGGGTTATTCATATTTTTATTGGGATTGTGTTAAATTTATAAATTAACTGGCATCCTTATAATGTTGCTATCCTGGCTAAAGCAAGGGATGTCTAGTTCAAGACTACTTTTATGTCTTCTGGAGTGTTTTAAAATTTTTTCTCATGTAGATTTTACTTGTTGATAAATTTATTCCCAAATATTTAGTCTCCTTTTTTGTTACCATAAATGGAATTTTCTCTACTATTTTATCATCTAAATGGTCATTGTTTGTGTATACAAAACTTGCATTATGTTGCATACCATAAATATATACGATTGTATTTGTCAATTAAAAAATTTATATTGCAGATTTCTGCATATTGATCATATATGCCAATAACATTGGTTTATCTTATAGTCTGAGTTAGTTTTGTTATTTATTTTTTAGGGTTTTCCAGATATACTGTGTTATAATTTTTAAAAGTTACTCGGGTTTTGTCTTTGGTTTTTGGCACACAACTCCTAAAACCTGTGGAATCTCCAGAGTGAAAAAGAGTGTCATTTATACGATAATGAGATGCCTTTTTTGGTTAGGAGCCCCTAGATTAGCTTCAGGATTAGGAAAAACCAAGATACAGTTAAAGGGTTAGAACTTCAGACTGTTCTTTCACCATGAATGGTTTTGACACCCTTGTTTAAAATCAACTGACTGTAGGCATATGATGTTATTTCTGGAAGCTCAGTTCTATGCCATTGGTGTATATGTCTCTCCTTATGCCAGTACCACTCTGCCTCCATTAGTATAGCATTAAGTGTGTAGATTGTTTGGAGGAGTGTTGCCATCTTAATATTAAGTCTTCCAATCCATGACCACAGATGTCTCTGGATTTACTCTGTATTCTTCAATTTCTTTTAATAATGTTTTGTAGTTTTTAGTGTACAAGTCTCCTCCTTATTTAAATTTATTTCTAAGTATTTTATTCTTTTTGATACTATTGAAAATGGAAATGTTTTCTTAATTTCCTTTTCAGATTATGCATTGTTGAAGTATAGAAATGCAACTGATTTTTGTGCATTGATTTTGTATGCTGCAACTTTGCTGAATTCATTTATTGGCCATAGGCCATATAATAGGGGTGTGTGTGTGTGTGTGTGTATTCTTTAGGATTTTCTGTATACTGCACTGTATAAGATCATTCCATCTGTCTCAGTTTGTTCCTGCTGCTATAACAAAATACCTTAAACTTCTTAATTAATAAACAACAGAAATTTATTGCTCACTATTCTGGAAGTTGGGAAGTCCAAGATCAAGGGGCCAGCAGATTCAGTGTCTGGTGGAAGAGTCACTGTCTGCTTCAAATATGGTGGCTTCTTTCTTCATCTTCAAATGGCAGTAGCGGCAAACAGGTTCTCTCAAGCCTCTTCTATAAGGGCACTAATCTCATTTATGAGGACTCTGCCCTCATGACCTAATGACTTCCTGAAGTCCCCACCTCTAAATACTATCTTAATTGGGAATTTGAAGTAGGGAGACACCAACACTCAAACTGTAGAACCATTTGGAAATAGAGATAATTCTACTTATTTCTGTATTTCCAGCTGGTATGCCTTTTTTTTTCCTTCCCTAATTGCAGTGCATTGTTGAAATAGAAGTGACAAAAGCAGGCTTTTTTTTTTTTTCTTTTTTTTTGAGATGCAATCTCGCTCTGTCCCCAGGCTGGAGTGCAGTGGCGCGATCTCATCTTACTGCAACCTCCACCTCCCGAGTTCAAGCAATTCTCCTGCCTCAGCCTCCCAAGTAGCTGGGACTACAGGCACCCAGCCACCACACCTGGCTAATTTTTTAATATTTTTAGTAGGGACGGGTTTCACCGTGTTGCCCAGGCTGGTTTCAAACTCCTGAGCTCAGGCAACCCACTTGCCTCAGCCTCCCAAAGTGCTAGGATTACAGGCATGAGTCATAGCACCCAGCCAAAAGCAGGCATTTTTATCTGGTTCTTGATCTTAGAGGGAAAGCCTTCAGCCTTTCATCATTGATTTTGATATTAGCTGCAGGTTTTTCATAACTGTCCTTTATCAGGGTAAGGAAGTGCCCTTCAATTCCTGGTGTGTTGAGTATTTAACATGATATTGGATATATTGTGGGTGTATGCTATACATACATTTCTGGATGAATTTAGATGATTATGGTTTTTTTTTCCTTTCATTCCCTCAATGTGATTGATTAATTTAGCCAGCCTTGCATTCTTAGGATACATCCCACTTGGTCATGACATTTAATTCTTTTAATATGCTAGTGGATTCAGTTTGACAGTATTTTGTTAAATATTTTTGCATCTATATTCATAAGGAATATTGGATAGTAATTTTCTTTTTTTGCAATGTCCTTTATCTGACTTTGGGATCAAAGTAATGCTGGCCTCATGAGTTAGGAAGTATTCCTTCCTTTACGATTTTTAGAAGAGCTGGAGAAAGATTGTTGTTCATAACTGGTAATTAGTGAAAACTACTTCCATTATTGGGAGGTTTTTGATTACTGGGTCAGTATCTTTAATTTTTATAGATCTGTTCATATTTTCTTATTTCTTCTTGAGTCACTTTTTGTAATATGAGTGTTCTAAGAATTTGTCCATTCATCTTGGTTATCTAATTCTATTGGAGTACAGTTGTTCATAGTGTTATAATCCTTTTTAATTTCTTTAATGTTGGTAGCAATGTCTTTACTTTTATTTCTTTTTTTGGTAATATGAGTTTTCTCTCTTTCTTTCTTCATCATTCTAGCTAACAGTTTGTCAGTTTTGTTAATCTGTTCACAGAACCAACTTTGGTTTCATTGAGTGTGTATTTTTTCCTATTCTCTGTTTTGTTGACTTCTGCTTTAATCTTGATCATTCCCTTCCTTCTGCTAACTTTGGGTTCAGTTTGTTCTTATTATAGTTCCTCAAAATGTAAAGATAGGTTACAGATTTGAGATCTTTATTCTTTTTTCATGTATTTGTTTACATTAAAAAAGTACAACATATAAAAACTTTAAAAAAACTTATGGGATGCAGTGATAGCAGTGGTCAGGAATTATAAATTTCTAAACTTATAATGAAAATTTCTAAATTGTCTAAATTTATAATTTCTGACCATTGCTTTCACTGCATCCCATAAGTGTTTTTTTGGTTTTTGTTTTTGTTTTCTGTTTTTTTGAGACGGAGTCTCATTCTGTCGCCCAGGTTGGAGTGCAGTGGTGCAATCTCGGCTCACTGCAACCTCCGCCTCCTGGGTTCAAGCGATTCTCTTGCCTCAGCCTCTGCAGTAGTTGGTATTACAGGCATGCACTGCCCTGCCCAGCTGATTTTTGTATTCTTAGTAGGGATTTTACCATGTTGGCCAGGCTCGCCTTGAACTCCTGATCTCAGGTGATCCACCCACTTCGGCTTCCCAAAGTGCTGGGATTAAGGCGTGAGCCACTGAGCCTGGCCTCCATAAGTTTTTATATACTGTGCTTTTGTTTCATTCATCTCAAACTATTTCCTAATTTCCCTGTGATGTCTTCTTTGACCAACTGGTCACTTACATATGTGTTGTTTAATTTCCACATATTTGTGAAATTTCCAGTTTTCCTGTTATTAATTTCTGGTTTCAGTCCATTGTGGCTGGAGAAGATACGCTGTATGATGTCCATCTTACTAGATTTCTTGAGGCTTATTTTGTTGCCTAATGTATGCTCTGTCTTAAAGAATGTTCCATGTACACATGAGAAGAATTTGCATTCTGCTGTCGTTGGGTGTAGTGCTCTGTATATATGTGTTAGGTCTAGTTCTCATAGGTCCTTACTAGGAGAATTTTTATTATATTTATTTTTAGAAATTTTGTAATTTAGGTTAGTACTTTCTCTTTCATCAAGGGCATTAAATATAAGTTGTGCAGGTTTTCAAAAATTTCCTGGTGGGAATTTTTTTAAGTTTATTGATTTTGTGATTAATTTCCAGGTTTATTGAGCTGTGGTCAGAGTAGTATTTGCACATTTCTACATTATTGTGTTCCAGTATAACAACTATTTATGTGAATATTCTGTGCATGCATTTGAAGGTATACATTCTATTATCGCATCTTAACTTTTGATATATATCCGTACGACCTATCATATTGATTACACTGCTTAGGCCTTCTATAACCTTTGTTATCTTTTTCTGGTTGATCTGAATTGCACTGAGAGTGATCTGTTAAAGTATCCTATTAGTAGTTGACTCCTTGCATTTCCTGTAGTTCCTGCCTCATAAAAGTGGTCTCTGTTATACTCGATACTTAGATATTCATAACTGTACTGTCTTTCCCATGACTTCTGGCTTTTAGTATTAAAAAGTTCTTTATTTGTCTCATGTAATGTTTATTGCTTGAATTTTACTTTGTATGACATAAATATTGCTACCTGTGTTTTCTATTATTTCTGTTTTCCTGGTATGCCTTTGCTCATCATTTCATTTTTAGCCTTTCTGAATCCTTTGTTTCAGATGTGTCTCATGTCTCCAGCATATGACATTTGTGTCTTGCTTTGTAAACCAAAATGAAAATCTTTTAACAGATGAGTTAAGCTCATTTGCATTTATTGATATGACTTACAGGTGTAGTCTTAATTCAGTCACATTATTGTAATTATTATGAGTATTATATTTACTATTTTTCTTTCTCTGTAATGTTTTGTTTTTATTTTTTTAACTTATGTCTTTCTTAGTGCCCTTATTTCTGTTTTCTTATTTAATTTTTTACTATCTGTTTTGTCAGTTTCTAATGGTATTCTTTGAGTACTGTGTATGACCTATCCACCAAAGGGTTTATTTTAGATTTATCTTTTCCTTTTCTAAAATTTTAGTTATGTTATTTCTAGTTTGTCAGAACATAGAACATTTATATATTACTCTTTCATGTTTTCCCCACTTTTATTTTAGTTTCAGGTCCACAATTAACTATATTAAGTGCTCATCAGTGGTCCTTTTGCTGAATTTTCTTCAGTGATTTTTAGCTGAGTCAGTCTCATCCTCTAGCTGGTGCTTCAGAAAAGGCTCATTCTTACAAGTTTGAAACTGTTCTTCTATAGCCTTGACACTTGAGGGACAGTTTGGCTTGGTTCATATATTCTTTCATTGAGTTTCTTGAAAATGCTATTTCAGTGTTGCCTTGCATATTGCTTTTGAGAAATCTTACGCCGGATAATTTTGTTTGACCTTGTAAGTTATTAGATCTTTAGAGAACTGGGGATATTTTATTTACAATAAAACCTTATAATTTTATTAGAATATGTCTTGACATTGTTACAAATAAGTTTTCCTGGTACATTGTGGATCTTTCCAATATGTAGATTCAAGTATTATTTCTGAAATATTTTCTTGAGTTACAGTTATAAATATTAGTTCTGTTCCATTGTATATAGCTTTTTCCTTCTTCAGAGAATCCAATTGTACATATGTTTAATCTTCTTTCATTGTCTTCCATTTCAACAAATTTCCCTCTAATCCTTTCCATTTCATCTCATTTTCACTCTCTTCGTTCTTTTCTTTCTTTTCTTCAATGACTCATATTACATTTTTATTGGAATCTGTTCTCCTTTGGGCATCTTATAGTCCTTATTTCTGATATAATTTTTCTTTTGATTCTTTTTCTTCTTGAAATTAAATAAACTCTCATTTTATTTGTTCTTTTTTTTACAGGATGGAATTAATTTCTGTTCTTAGTTTTTAAATTTCCAAGCCAGAGTGTATGTTTGTTGTTGTTGTGTATACATTTTAAAAATCTCTAAATGCTTGCTTGAGAATTGTTGTAATAGAGGTGTTTCACTGTTAACTTTTTGGAGAAAATTTTTATCAGCCAAAATATTTTTATTCTCAGTTTTTGCCTTTGTCTTATTGTTCTCTTAATAGATAAAGACTTCTAATATATTTTATTTTGTGAATAGAGTTGTCTACTGGGATGATTTATACAATTCAAATGTGCCATCTTCTATCAGTAGTGAGATGTAAAGACTTTTTTCTTGAGTGGCTGTTTTCATAGGTACAGGGGAGGGATGGTGTGTCCTTCCATTTTTTTTGGTTTACTGTTGTTTGATAGAGTCTTCCATTTTCTCCACTTCGATTTCCCCTTCACCATGCATTTTTACTATGTTCCCACATAACTGGGACTTTTCCTTCTGCAGGTAGTTTTACCTCCACCCTTGCTTCTCTTTCTGGAGTCTTTCTGGATCCTCCCTCATCTTCAGTAAAGTGTGTGGTGGGAGCTACAGAAATGACTCTACTGGAAGTTTATGTTTGTCTATTTACAGGTCATTTTAAGCTTATGACGTCCTTCCTTTTCTAATTGTGCTGAAGAAATGGGCCATTGGTGGTTGTCTTTATATTATAGCTGTACAAAGATTGGTACATCTGCTCAATTTGGTTAATTGATCTGCTCAATTTTTAAATGATGTGTGGGGAGATTTAGCTTAGATGGTTATAATTATCTTAACTACCAGAAAGTCCCCAAGATGGAGTTTTAAAATAATTGTACATCTATAGTTCATGAGGCAAGGAATAGCTACATATTAATACATAATGGATAGTTTCAAAGAAATTAGGATATTCTTGGGTAGAAAAGTTGTACTTTATTGCAAATCTTTTAGTAACCTCATAAAAACATGGCACATTCAAAACAAAATCTTTTAATTCAAACTTGCATTGACCCAGGTTACAGGGCAGTATGTCTCAAAGGAGGGTTCATGTCTTACCACCTGAAGAGCTTGCTACTGAATCAGAATTTCTGTAGCACATTATTGTACTTGTTAAAACTGCACAGACAGCCTCTTTATTGTTTCACAAAGAGCTCCCACATGCAATCTAAACTAAGAGTGTGAGAGCCTGTCAAAGCTGCTGAGCTTTGCTCTCTAAGGACAAAAAGACTTGAAAATAATTTTTCCTCCTTATTTTCATTTTTAGTATAAGTGCTGCTGAGGTGAGCACCCTTATTTTCATTTTTAAATGTTACTAATGCTGATTTGTCCTTTAGACCTAAGTTGATCTGTTGTTTTTTAACCTTTAACTCAAGGGATGTGATACAACCACTTGTATATCCCATCATTTAGCACTGCAGGCAGCAAACCCAACACTTTTTGCTTTATAAAAATATTTATTTATTTATTTATTTATTTATTTATTTATGAGACAGGGCCTCACTATGCTGCTCAGGCTGGACTTGAACTCCTGGGCTCAAGCAATAGTCTGTATTCAGCCTCCTATGTAGCTGGGACTATAGGCATGTGCCACCATGCCCAACCTGCTTTTTTTACACTGTAGTTTTTATTTTTTTTATGACATGTAGGGCATTATCTTATTTTTTTTATTTTTAATAGACTTTTTGGGTCAGTTTTAGGATCACAGCAAAATTGAGCATAAAGAAGAGAGTTCCCATATTCCTTTTCCTCTCAGCACTCACAGCCTCTCCTACCATCAACACCTGGAGCAGCAGTGATAACATTTGTTACACTTGATGAACCCATTTTGAGACACCATTATCACCCAATGTTCATAGTTTATATTAAGGCTTACTCTTGGTGTTATAAATTCTGTGGGTTTGGACAAACTTATAATGATATATTTCCACCGTTGTAGCATTACACAGAGAGTAGTTTAACTGGCCTAAAATTCCTCTGTGCTCTATCTATTCATTCTTCCTCCCTAATCCCCATCTATCAGTGATAGTTTTACTGCAGCCATAGTTTTTCCATTCCCAGCATGCCATATAGTTGGAATTGCACAGAATAGCAAAAGCTATCACAAAAGACTCTATAAAACTGCAACCTTGAACAAAGGGTATTGCAACCATACATTAAAAAAATACTTCTGTGAGGACATCTATTCAGCCACTGCCTGTTCAAACCTGGACTGGCATCACCCTCATTATTGATCATTATAGTCAAGGATAATTATGTCAAAACAATTATGTAATCCTCCCTATTTTTGTCTTCCTTGACCTCCATGAATATGTGCGCAGTTTACTATATGTGCATGGTTTACTATATTTCCATTGAACTGCTTCATTCCCAAATAAATACCATTTGCTTTCAGACAGCCTCTCTGCTTGTTGTTTAGGTCAACACTGGCTACTGTAGGTGGAGCCTAAATTTGATCACTGGTCCTTACTCCAAATTTTGTCCCCATTTTTCCTAAACCACAGGTTTCTGTTACTATAATAATCTAAACAAATAATTGAAGCGTTCTACACTATTGATATCTGTTCCTGATGACTTTTTTGTTAAGGTGGGGGTGTCTGGGAATGAGGTAAGGAAGGAAGAGAATATAGAGAAAGGAAGAGAATAGGAAAGGGAAAAAACAAACTTCTTACTCTAATTGTATATTATTTTTATTCAATGCATACAGCCATTTGCATTTTTTACACATTGCATACATTCTCCTGTAGCATATCAGTTTGATCAATGAATATAAATATATATGCTCGATTAAGTATCTCATATAGAGAACTAATTTGAAACTTAAATTTTAGGTAAGCAAATGCATGATAAGTTTATTCTGGGAAAGAAGCTAAAATATCTGTGACTTTATTTGGCTTTTTGAAAACATTCTCACATAAAATTATTATTTTATTAATCAATTAATGTACAAAACATAAAACTATATTTTTAAGCTAATTACTTAAATATAAACAATTTAACATTTATAAAACAAGGTAATTCAGTTTGACTATTAAAAAGTTTTTGTTAATTCTACTAAATTAAATATTAAAACAGCATATTTTTACTTAAAGGTTTATACAAAATAACAAATGTTTAATATTTTGAATATCAGTTTGTGAAAAAATAGCAAAAATTTTAAAACAGCAAATGTTATAATGTTTTATATTAAATGTTTATAAATTCATGGCATAATAAATTAAAATATGTTTCTTAACATAAACTGTATCACCATATTCTGGAGTTAAATTTTTCTGTAACTAGAAATGATTTCTATGAAGACTACAATACTAAATATTGGAAAAGGCTTAACACCTGTTCTGTAAGTTTTCTCTAGTTAAGAATCCAGTAGCAATGCCTGCTAAGAGTGGTTCACACAATAGGAGGAGCAAGTGATCAGTTCTGAGACACTGGGACATCACCAGGCCAGCAGGGCAGAGGGTACCAGAGGCCTTAGTTGTGTTTGTTAGCCAAGTGTTTCACATCCCAGAGAAATGCAAGAAACAAAAACCAACACCTGCCCCTTCTATGCAGCAATGTCAAATCTGCTGCAAGGTAAATTATTCAATGAGAGTCTATATTAATAAAATACAAAAAAAGCCTCAGAAATATAGCTATAATACAGTCATGTCATATTTAGCCATTTAAAAATTATCCTAAATACATATTGCATCAGGATTTATTTGAGCTCTGCTGGTGTTGATGCAGATACAGATTCTTCTGGGCCTGCAACACAAAGTAAATAAATGAGTAGACAAAGATGACATTTTCTATAAATTAAAAAACATTAATTTTAAATATAAGAAAACACATAGTTTTGTACCTATTAATAAGGATTATTTCTGAAGTCTACATAAAAATTGAGCTTATGATCCTGGCATAAATAATACATTGGAAACACAAGATTACAACTTTTGCACTGGTAGACCAGAAGAGAATGCCCCATTGGAAACAGTTCAATTCATGAGTTTTGCCTGTGTATGGTGGAAAGTTTCTGCTGACATAAGCACACCGATAAGAATTATTAAATAAATAGTATGAGCACAGCCTGGGCAAGGCGAGTAGAGAAGAGGGGCAACTCAGGCTGTCTGTCAGCCTCGGCATGGCACGTGTCCCTGCTCCCAAGCCTGTTGCAATCTTCATTAATGTTGACCCTCTCAAAGTACAGTAGTGTACCAGTTTCCTAATGCCCAGCTTTAGGGCACGTCAAAACATCTAGGACAGCTGAAAAAAATTGCAATAAAGAAATAATAATAATCTTGTGTCTCATGGAGGGAAAGAAACATTAAGAAGAAGCCTTAGGCTGGGTGTGGTGGCTCACGCCTATAAACCCAACACTGTGGGAGGCTGAAGTGGGTGGATTGCTTCAGCTTAGGAGTTCAAGACCAGCCTGGGCCACATGGCGAAACCTCGTCCCTACAAAAAATACAAAAATTAGCCAGGCATGGTGGCATGCACCCGTAGTCCCAGCTGCTCAGGAGGCTGAGGCAGAAGGATCACTTGAGCCCAGGAGGTCAAGGCTGTAGTGAGCCATGATGGCACCGCTACACTCCAGGCCCGGCAACAGAGCAAGACCCTGTCTCAAAAAAATAAAATAAGAAGCCTTGACAAGATTAGTCTCCAGAAAGTTATAGCAACACACTCTAAGTGGAGAGATGTCTAGTTGGAAGGAAAAAAGGCACTTTCTAAATTGCCTATTGCTTATAAAGTTAAAACCATGAGGGACAGCAGGGGAAATAGGAAAACAGAAGAGGAAATGAAATACAGGAAGGAAAATAGTGGTCAGACTGACAGTGGAGAGAGTGTGGTTGTCAAAAGCTCTAGCACTAGCCTTGGCATCAGAGATACTGAGAGGTGGGAGCAGGCATTTCATAGTGACCCCCGCCTCAGCTATCCAGAAACTAAGCAGAGCAGATCCTCTTCTCCACATGACGATTCTTCCAGCTCTTAGGGGCTTTGCTGCTTATTTAGGCCTTCATTAATTTGAAACGTTAAAAGGTTTCTTCAAAATTGAACAGATCTTGCTGATAATATAAACACAAAGATTACATAACACCTGCAATATAAAGTTTATACATTTATATGAATGCCAAATGATCGTCCCTTGATCAGATAATATGTAATACTTTGTCAATGGTGAAGTAAATTCTATCTTCTTAAGACAATGCAGAATAATAAAACCCTTATCATATCTTATGAAGGTGATCTTCTGTACCTGCTGTATTTGTATTTTCAACTTGAGGTCCTAAAGAATAATCTAAGCCCAAGGTTAGCAGAAGAAAAGATAGAAGAGATAAAAAATGTTAGAGTAGTATTTTTATTATAAACAAAATTGACAAATATTTAGCTAGACTAAGAGAGGAAAAAAGAAAAGACTGAAAAAAATAAGAAAAGAAAGAGGAGACATTGCAACTGATACTGCAAAACACAAAGGACCACAAAGGACAACTGTGAAGGATTATACACCAACGAATTGGATAGTCTAGAGGAAATGGATACATTCCTAGAATCATACAATCCACCAAAGCTGAATCATGAAGAAATAGAAAATTTGAACTGTCTAAGAATGAGTATGGAGATTGAATCAGTTAAAAAAAAAACAACTCTCCCATCACAGAAAAGCCCAGGACATAATGGCTTCACTGGTGAATTCTACCAAACATGTAAAGGAAGAAATCATACTAACCCTTCTCAAGCTGTCCCAAAAAAATTGAAAAGGAAGGAACACTTCCAAACTCATTTTATGAGGCCAGCATTACCCTGATACCAAAGTCAGACAAGGACACTATAAGAAAAGAAAATTACAGGCCAATTTCCCTGATAAACATAGATGCAAAAATTCACAGCAAAATACTAGCAAACCAAATTCAACAGCACATTAAAAAGATCATAAACCATGATCATGTGGAATTTATCCCTGGTAAGCAAGGATGGTTCAACATATGCAAATCATTAAATGTGATATACTACATTAATAGAATGTTAATATACTACATAATATATCATTAAATGTGATATACTACATTAATAGAATGTGATATACTACATAATAGAATGAAGGACAAAAACCATATGATCACCTTAATAGATGTAGGAAAAGTGCTTGACAAAGTTCAACATCCTTTTATGATAAAAAAAACTCTCAACAAATTAAGCATAGAGGAAATGTACCTCAACACAATAAAGACCATACATGAGAAGCCCACAGCTAATATGATATTCACCAATGAAAGCTGAAAGCTTTTTTTCTAAGATCAGGAGAAATACAAGGGTGCTCACTATCACCACTTCTATTTGACTTAGTACCTGAAGTCTTAGCCAGAGCAATTAGGCATGAAAAATAAATAGAAATCATTCAGATTATAAAGAGACAAGTGAAATATTCTGTTTGATGACAATGTGATCTTATATATAGAAAGCCCTAAAGACTCCACCAAAAAACTGTGAAAACTGGTAAACAAATTCAGTAAAGTTGCAGGCTACAAAATCAGCAGACAAAAATTGGTAGCATTCTATATACTAACAACAAATGATCTGAAAAAGAAAGTAAGGAAACAATCCCACTCTCAACAGCATTAAAAAATACTTGGGAGTAAATTTAGCCAAGGAGGTGAAAGACCTGTACACTGAAAACTATAAAACATGGATGAAATAAATTGAAGAAGACACAGATAAATGGAAACATAGCCTACATACATGGATCAGAATAATTAATATTGTCAAAATGTCCATACTACCCAAAACAATCTACAGATTCAATGCAATCCCTACCAAAATTCCAATGACATTTTTCACAGAAATAGAAAATAAATCCTAGAATTTGTAGGGAACCACAAAAGGCTCTGAATAGCCAAACCAATCTTGAGCAAACAGAAAAAAAAAAAAACAGATATATGGCATCATCTGATTTCAAAATATATTACAAAGCTAGAGTAAGCAAAACAGCATGGTACTGGCATAAAAATGGAAGTATAGATCAGTGGATAGAACCAAGAAATAAACCCACACATTAACAGTCAATTAATTTTCAACAAAGGTGCCAAGAACACACAATGAGGGAAAGGACAGTTTCTTCAATAAATGATGCTGGGTAAACTGAATATCCACATGCAGAGAAAGAAAATTGGATCTTCATCTCATTTAATATACTAAAATCAACTCAAAATAGATGAAGACTTAAACAAAAGACCAGAAACTGTAAAACTGCTATAGGTTGAGTATCCTTTATCTGAAATCCTTGGGACCAGAAGTGTTTGGGATTTCAATTATTTTTAAATTTTGAAATATTTGCATACTTACTGGTTGAGCATCCCAAATCCAAAAATCCAAAATCCGAAATGTTCCAATGAGCATTTCCTTTGATTTCAGATTTTCAGATTTGGGATGCTAAACCTATAGAAAAAATATAGGGAAAAACCTCCCCAGCATTGGTCTGGGCAATGATTTTTTGGACAGAACACCAAAAGCCCAAGTAACAAAAGGAAAAATAAGTGGGACTACATTAAAAAGTTTCTGCAAGCAAAAGAAACAAACAACAAAAGACAAGCCACAGAGCAGGAAAAATATCTGGAAACCATACATCTGATAAGGGGTTAATATCCAAAATGTATAAGGAACTCAACTCAGTAGCAAAAAAACAAATAATCCAATTTAAAAATGGGCAAAGGACTTACATAGACATTTCTCAAAAGAAGACATGCAAATGGCCAACAGGTATATACAAAAAAGCTCAAAATCACTATCATCAGGGAAATGCAAATGAAAACCACAATGAGATATCATCTCACACCTGTCAAAATGGCTATTATCAAAAAGATGAAAAGCAAGTGTTGATGATAATGTGGAGAAAAGGGATCCCTTACATACTGAAGGTGAAATGTAAATTAGAATAGCCATAATGGAAAACATTATGGAGTTTCCTTAAAAAACTAAAAATCGAATTCTCGTATGATATAGCAATCCCACTGCTGGGCATATATCAAAGGAAATGGAATCAGTATGTCACAAAGCTACATCTGCGCTCCCAAATTTTCTGCAGCATTATTCACAATAGCCAAGCTATGGAATCAACCTCACTGGCCATGAACAGATGAATAAGGAAAAAAAATGTGGTATATACATGATGGAACACTATTCAGCCTTTAAAAAAGAAGTAAATTCTGTCATTTGTGACAACATGGATGAACCTGGAGTACATTAGTCTAAGTAAAATAAGCCAGGTACAGAAAGACAGATACTGTATAATTGCAGCCATATATGGAATCTAAAAAAATTGAACTCATAGAAGTAGAATAGAATGTGTTACCAGGTGCTGGGGATGGGGCAGTAGTTGATGGGGTAAGAGGAGAAGTTGGTCAAAGGGTGCCAAGTTTCCCTTAGACAGGAGGAGTTAAGTTTTAATTATCTATTTCACAGCAAGGTGAATAAAGTTAATAATAATATATTGTATATTTCAAAATCATTAAAAGAACAGATTTTAAGTGTGATCACCACAAAAAAAGGGTAAGTATTTGAGGTAATGGATATTTTAGTTACCTTGATTTAATGATGCCACAATGTATACATATATCAAAACATCGCATTGCACCCCATAGTTGTATACAATTATTATCTGTCGATTTAAAATAAAATAAAAAGTAAACTAAAAAATAAATTGGAGTCTCCGATGGCTTTTTACTTATGTTTTCCAGTATGACTCTCACATGACGAGTAATACAATGTGTGTCCATGAACTAAAGTATGTTTTTGCTTGTGTAACATGAATAAAAGAATAATAGGCCAGGCGCGGTAGCTCACGCCTGTAATCTCAGCACTTTCGGAGGCCGAGGCAGGTGGATCACGAGGTCAGGAGATCGAGACCATCCTGGCTAACACGGTGAAACCCCGCCTCTACTAAAAATACAAAAAATTAGCTGGGCGTTGTGGCGGGCGCCTGTAGTCCCAGTTACTCGGGAGGCTGAGGCGGGAGAATGGCGTGAACCCGGGAGGCGGAGCTTGCAGTGAGCGGAGATCGCGCCACTGCACTCCAGCCTGGGCGACAGAGCGAGACTCCATCTCAAAAAAAATAATAATAATAATAATAATCATCATCATCATCATCATCATCTTCATCCTGTTGTAATTGTGTAAGCGATCCTCTTTTTGCTCTCCCTAAGTTAAGTTTCTGGAACTCTGATTTTTTTAAAGCATACATGGCACAAGCTTTGTAGTCAGAATGCATGCAGTTTGGAGAAGGACATTCCAGGCTGCCTAGAGGCTGTAGTCTCAGAATGCAGGACTATGTCCATCAATTTCTTTGTGTAAGACTTTTTGTGTTTTGGTGCTGGTTACTTTATAAGTACTCACTTTGAGAAGACTCTGTAATAAAAAGTACATTCGTTGTTCAGGTTAATGAAACAGATCAAGTATTAAAAGAAGTCATAATTACTTAAAGATTTAATGAAAATTCTGTATTACTTAAAACAACAATAAGTCATAAAACACTCTTGACATTGTAAAGTTCAATAGGGCAACAAACCTTTTTTTTTTTTTTTTTTTTTGAGAGAGTTTCCCTCTTGTTGCCCAGGCTGGAGTGCAGTGGCACGATCTCGGCTCACCGCAACCTCCGCCTCCTGGGTTCAAGTGATTCTCCTGCCTCAGCCTCCCGAGTAGCTGGGATTACAGGCATGTGCCACCACTCCCAGATAATTTTGTATTTTTAGTAGAGACGGGGTTTCTCCATGTTGGTCAGGCTGGTCTCGAACTCCTGACCTCAGGTAATCTGCCTGCCTCGGCCTCCCGAAGTGCTGGGATTACAGGCGTGAGCCACCATGCTCAGCCAATAGGGTGCTTTTTAACAACACTGAGTATGAACTTGTCACCATCTCATCTTCCAGGATAATAAAGGAGAGAGTTGGCCAATAAGTGGCAGATCTTGTTCAACAAATACAGTAAGGAACAGGGTGTAGAATGGCAAACGGTGACCTCACTTACAAATAACCACACCACACCAAACACTTCAAATGTCTGAAGAGGTATAACACGCCATCTTTCCTCTTAATCAAAGAGCTCAAGCCTCAAGAGTAAAAACAGGTTTCCCAGAAGCAAATGGTCAATAATTAATAGAGCTATGGATACTGAACACAATGTCAATAGGCTTTAAGATGGATGTGTTGAAAAAATAAGATGAATTCTTTCTGTACTATTAAAAATAAAAATGAATGGCTGTGCACAGTGACTCACACCTGTAATCTCAGTACTTTGCAAGGCAGAGGCAAAAGAATTGTTTGAGCCCAGGAGTTTGAGACCAGCCGGGGCAATATAGTGAGGCCTTGTCTTTATGAAAAATAAAAAAATAGCTGGGTGTAATGGTGCATGTCTATAGTCCCAGCTACTTGGGAGACTTAGATGGGAGGATCGCTTGAGCCCAGGAGGTTGAGGCTACAGTGATCTGTGATTGTGCCACTTCACTCCAGCCAGGACAACAGAGTAAGACTCTGTCTCAAAAAATAAATAAATAAAATAAAATATTATAATAAATAAAAACTAATATAGTACTTTGAACATCTAATTGTGGAGAAAGTTCTAAATTATTCAAAGCTTAAGACATGCCAATAATGGAGTAATTTTAAGTTTGAATTTTGACTTATTTTCAAAGCTTTTTAAGAAGTGATCTCAAAAAGTACCGGCTGCTTATGCAAAAGTCCTTTTAGGGTCAACATTGTTTGGATCTGGAAGATTAAAAGTTGATACTATTTGGTATATTATTTGTTTGTTATATCAAATGGACTATCAAAATTTTTGACAAATAAAAGAAAATGTGAAACCCCAAAAGTCATGACTTCCGCTATTCATTTGAATAAAGAGGAAAGAGCAAAACATGTATTACTCTCTTGCTTATCTGTAACCTTAGTACTTCTGTGGGCGTTTTCACATGGTTTTTGGGTTACTCATTTCTCATTACGAGACGCATCATGTGATAAGAACGTCAGCTGCTGCATCACAATTAACCAAGCCTCCAATAAATGCAGATGGCTGCTTGTGCCTCACCTGGGGTGTCCTCAGGACCTTCAGAAGCCTCTGCATCCTGGAGCCTGGCTGCATCCTGGGGACCTTCCAGGTCTCGTGGGGACTGAGATAACACTGATGCCCTGGAGGTCTTCGGGGTCCTCTTGTCTGAGTCAGCTCGCTGCTGCTGCTGCAACCACTCATCCTTATAACCATTGCTAATGAGTTTGGAAAAATTGGTAGGTGAACTGTTTTTTTGACCAGGCCTTAAAAAGAGTAAAAGTAATGTGAAACTTAAGTACAAGGGTTAATGATAAAGCAGAAGCAGTATTCCGTGAACACACCAAATAGGAGGTGTCACTGTCCCTTTAAACCTAACAAACCTCTCTCTCTCTGTCTTTCCCTCTCTCTTTCTCCCTCTATCTCTCTCTGCCCCTTTGTCTCTCCCTCTGCTTCTCTGTCTCACTGTCTCCATTTTTAAGCATAGCAAGTGCATGTCAAAGCATCCCTTGTACAGGGATGAGAGCATGTTTAGTTCAGCTTCCAAAATCTTTCTTTGTGATAGTCAATTAAGAATTAGTAATAATTCTAGTATTTCACAGGGAAGCCTTCCTAAGAAAACACCATGCCCTTCCCTCATAGTAATGGATTGCTCAGAACTACCTTTAAAAACAAAACAAAAAACAACAACAAACTGCTGGGTGCCGTGGCTCACGCCTATAATCCTAGCACTTTGGGAGGCCAAGGCAGGCAGCCATGAGGTCAAGAGATCGAGGCCATCCTGGTCAACCTGGTGAAACCCCGTCTCCACGAAAAATACAAAAATTAGCTGGGCATGGTGGCACGCACCTGTAGTCCCAGCTACTCAGGAGGCTGAGGCAGGAGAATTGCTTGAACTTGGGAGGCGGAGGTTGCAGTGAGCCAAGATCGTGCCACTGCACTCCAGCCTGGGCAACAGAGCGAGACTCTGTCTCAAAAAAAAGAAAAGAAAGAAGAGAGAGAGAAAAAAAAAAGAAAGAAAAAAAGAGGAGAGAAAGAAAGAAAGAGAAGAGAAAAGAAAAGGAAGGAAGGAAGGAAAGAAAGAAAGAGAAAGAGAAAGAAAGAAAGAAAGAAAGAAAGAAAGAAAGAAAGAAAGAAAGAAAGAAAGAGAAGAGAAAAGGAAGGAAGGAAAGAAAGAAAGAAAGAAAGAAAGAAAGAAAGAAAGAAAGAAAGAAAAGAAAAAGAAAGAAAAGAAAAAGAGAAAGAAAGAAAGGAGAGAGAGAGAGAAAGAAAGAAAGGGAAGGAAGGAAGGAAGAAAGGAAGAAAGGAAGGGAGGAAGGGAGGGAGGGAGGTGGGCACAGTAGCTCATACCTGTAATCCCAGCACTTTGGGAGGCCGAGGCGGGCAGATCACTTGAGGTCAGGAATTCGAGAGCACTCTGGCCAACATGGTGAAAAACCATCTCTACTAAAAATACAAAAAATTAGCCCACACAGTAGTCCCAGCTACTCAGGAGGCTGAGGCAGGAGAATGGCATGAACCCGGGAGGCAGAGCTTGCAGTGAGCCAAGATTGCGCCGCTGCACTCCAGCCTGGGGGACAGAGTGAGACTCTGTCTCCAAAAAAAAAAAAAAAAAAAATTAGCCAGCTGTGGTGGCAGGCACCTATAGTCCCGCTACTTGGGAGGCTGAGGCAGGAGAATCACTTGAACCTGAGAGGTGGAGGCTGCTGTGAGCTGAGTTCGTACCGCTGCACTCCAGCCTGGGCAACAGAGCAAGACTCCATCTCAAAAAAAGTGTAATGATTACTTTCTTATTGGTTCTTTCTTGTCCTTATCAATGATTATCTGCTGCTATTTTACTCTCTTACACAGGTTTGTCTCCAGTCATTTCTTGATGTTAGCTTAGCCTTTCACCATCTACTGCATCTTCAAATATCTTATCCTGACCCACACTGAAGAGTGACAGGGCAGTTTGACACGGTAGAGGTAGTGTGAGCTTTCAGCTCGAGCAGTAGCAGCCCACCACCTGTTCTCTCTAAGCCTCCATCTCAGCACTTTGAGAGACAGAGGCAGGAGGATTTTTTGAGCACAGGAGTTTGATACCAGCCTGGGCAACATAGTGAGATCTTGTCTCTACAAAAAATAAAAAATTAGCTGGGTGTGGTGGTGCATGCATATAGCCCCAGCTACTTGGGAGGCTGAGGTGGGAGGATTTCTTGCGCCCAGGAGGGGTTCAATCACTTTGTTATCAAGGCCACTCCTAATGCTTTATTTTCTCTCTCGTACATCTATAAATACATGTCTAGGTATACATATATACTTACATATATATAAACACATATGAATACATGTATATTTCCCTCTGAGCTTGGTGCTCTCATGGCATTTGTCACAATGCAATGTATCTGATTGTTTTTTCCCCATTGGACAAGAAGCTGTTTGAAGAATTAGTCAGGTAATTAATAACATTTATCCTAGCATTAAACTTGGATTCTGGGAGAGTAAGAAGACACCTAAGGCCTCAGGGATTTCACTCTGCAGCTGGAGGATCAGCAAATGTCAGTGTGTCTGCTATATCTTCCAACTGGAAACAGAGCCAGCACGCTTACAAGGCGCGGACACCTCAGTTCAGGCCTTGGACACAGAAACGTCAGGACCTGGTGGCCCCTACATGCAGGACAAGCAGTCCCCGTGAACTGTGGTGAGGGTGGTATCTTGGAGGGGGAGTGCTTCAGGCAGGGCACAGCCTGATGGAGAAGCAGAGCCTCCACACTGCCAACCTGCAGCAAGCATGACCTGGAAGGGCAGATGTGTTCAACAGGGGCAAAATGACATTAGGAAGGAACAGAAACCACAGTGAGGAGGCGACAGGCACAGCCAGGCCAGGCCACAGACAGGGCTTCGGGAAGTTGTGTGGATGCTGTCACTAGCGCAGTCATCACCGGATGAAAGACGGAAGGCCAAACCCAAACCCAGTCCAGACAGTGAGGGCGTAGCTCAAGCACTTACACGGGGGGGAAGGAGAGTCTACTTCCTGCAGGATTCTTAGGGCCAAGTGGGGTGCCTGCTTTGCTCAGATACTTTGAGTCAATGGCCGGTAGCCTCAGCTGTGTGAGGAAACACACAAAACCTTGAGTTAGTGGAAAGCATTCAACAGCTAGAGAAGAAAACTCACTAATGGTAGCAAAGATACAAAGCTTATAGGCTGGACTTTCAATGTGGTCATTGTAAATGCTCACAATAAAATATAATTCAGCAATAATCTCATTCAACAAAATAGTTATGTAAAAGGGACTATCACTAACTCAAAAGCAGTTGCTATATTTGAGTAAAGATGCCATCTGCTCAGGAGGAAAAACAATGAACTAAGAGCCTCGTCCTGAAGGAACTTCCCACACCCAGATGAAAACATATGTTCACAAAAGCACCTGTACGCTTTTGTAATAATCACCCAGAACTGGAAACAACCCAGATGTCCACCAACAAACGAATGGATAAACAAATTGTATCATGATCAGCCAATGAAACTCAGCAACAGAAACAAATGAACTACTGACACTCAGAACAGCATGGCCATGCGTATGTAATGTAGATGCATAATGTAAATGCATTACACCACATGGGAGAAGCCAAGCAGGAAAGACGCCATGCCGTATGATTCCATTGATTTCACATTCTGGAAAAGGAAGTGTAAGAATTAAAGAAAGAGGAAAGAAACACGAAATGCGGCGTGGCAGTCAAAGACAGGTTTTCTTTAGTTAAAACCTGAGAGGCACTCCTGGCTGATTGTGGTCAGGAGCACTTTCTCTTACAGACTAAAAGTATATATCAGTTTTGGGGTGAGGGGGCTTATCAGAAGCTTGGAATGTTTATGTGTGTGGAGAAGTTCATGGCTGGGTTGGAATCTCTCTGGGAGGAGGGGAGGTTATCTTGGTGCAGACATCTTTCAGCCCGGAGGGGGGTTAACTCGGGCCTGGCATCTTCCTGGCTGGAGAGAGCTTATTTAGGGGCTACCATGTCTCTGGTCAGGGAGGAGTTTGGAATGTTTCTGGTTGGAGATGTTACCTATGGTTCATGGTCGTGTTGACCTTAGCCATTAGGCTGATGCCCCTTGGATTTAGGCGGTTTTTTTTAAGGTGAACTTTTAGAATGAGAGGCTTGTCCAAGATGGCGATGTTCCTGCACTGTCCAGAAGAACTATAAAGACTGAAAACAGATCAGGGCTTGCAAGGGGCAGGGGAGAGGCTGACTATAAAGAGGGGTAGAAATGCTGGGGGCAACAGAACTGCTATATGTTCCTTGACAGCTGTGGTGGTACACAAGGGACGCCTTAGTCAAAACCTGGGGAGCAGTTCTCTATAAAAGGTGGGTTTCGCTCTACCTAAATTGTTTCTTATTAAAAGAAATAGAAATACATGCTATGGGAAAACGGGAAAAAACAAAACGAAGCAAACAAAATCCACGGAGGTATTGCTAACAATTATAGGAAGAAAAGATGGCTTTTCAAAAAAAAGAAACAAGATCCCCCGATCACCCTGTAGGTGAGCAAGACCCCCATGAATGCTGGTAACCAACAGGCAATACATGTGCCCTAAGTCTTGTCAGGTGTCCACCATGTGTCCCGTGTGAGGCCAGGGCACAGCTGAGGAAGCGCTTTGTCAGCTGGCCCACGCCCATGATGTGATCATCACTCATAGGTGACCTTCATACCAAAGCGGTGATGGTGTTGTCTTATTAGGGAAATCAGAGCCCATCCCGATGCGGTGCTCATCCCCTGCACCTTACCCGACACCATGTCCCTCTACCTGTTAAATACTCAGCATGTGTGTCTTTAACCACCACCCCTTGTCATCCTATCTCCTTCCCCATAGTGAAGGGCTGGCTTCAGGAACTTTGTGTAGCCCCTAGCACACCTTTTGTAAATGGGTACTAACTTAAAAACCCCACTTGATTTGAGAGTGATACAGCATTTAGCATTTTAAGATTTCTGTAGAAATGAGCTGTAGCCACGGTTAATATCCAAAGGTTCATTTATCACTAGAGGTTGTAGCTCAGTGTAATTGGTCACTTGTGCAACACTAAGAGATAAATCTAATTCTTAACATGGTCCATTTTGGCTGAGTGTCTACGGTAGTATGCACCTGTAGACCTAGCTACTCGGGAGGCTGTGGCAGGAGGAGCCCTTGAGCCCAGGAGTTCGAGGGTGTAGTGAACTATGATAATGCCGCTGCACTCCAGCCTGGGTGACAGAGCGAGAACTTCTCTCTAATTAAAAAAATAAAATAAAAAACAAAAACAAAAAAACAACAATAAAAGGTCTAATGCCTTTGCACGGATCATGGAAACAACCCAAAATCTGAATCACAGCCGGACATGGAGATCTTAAAGAAAAAGCATGTGGCCCATTGCAGCCAGTTGACATTCCACTTGGTGTTCAGCTACTCAAGTCCCCAAAATAAACTGAGGGGTTTCCCTTCAAACCAAGATGCTAAGGCAACAGCCTAGGAATCAGGCATAAATAGTTCACAACAACTTCCACGTACGCTGAGACACATCCAGTCTCTTCATTGTTCAAAATGATCACCCATCAGGTGACAACGGTGTTCACTCTTATTCTCAGTATCAAACACTATTGTTATTTGTAATATGAACTTCACCGTTTCACTCACAAACCCTGAAGTTGCAAGAACTGAGACTAATCTGAGACCTGGTGCTGATGCCCCGGGCAACACTGAGCCCTTGGTGGAGCTGAAGGCCTGGCTCTTGTTCCTTCCAGCACCAAGGAAAGGGGATAGAAGGTCCTCCTGTCAAGACTTCCCAACAACAGAGCTGGCAATTCAAGATTGCTTCCAACTTTCTCCATTGCATTCTTAAAATACACATCCTCTGAGAAGGCTTCACTGCACAGCCAGTCACTCCTTTGTGATCAAATACACCACCAGGACTTCATACAGAAGAGAATTCATCTTCTCTTCCTTTATTATCAACAAAGAGTGTCCCAGAAAACTCTTAATACTTAAATAAATGAAAATATTCAGAAATGGGATGACTAAATATAAAATTCCTTTTCTATATTGGCCTGATAAGAAGTGCTATGCCAGTTTTCCTCTAGATAAGCATTAACTATCTATAAATCATTTAGCAAAAAGAAATCTTACCTCTTAAAGTCATTATTCATAAAAAGAAAAAGAAAGACCATAGTATGGTGCCTGCTTGCCTTTTAGTAGATCCAAACTTAAAATACAGAGCACGTGGCCGATGCCACGAGCAACATAAGACGCCACCAGCAGCTAACATCACAGCACTTAATTACTCGAGACCACAGAAGCAAAGCGGATGCGGATGCCGTCTATTTATGGGCTCCCGTCACCTTTTTTTTCTCCTTTTCAAGTTCCTCAGCCTCTCTTTGCCAAACTGTTTTCATGTCGAAGTCGAAGGGCCCTCTTCTGGATGCATAGCTACCATTGGCTTGATCGGGGTTAAATTCTTCATGAACCATGTAATCCGGCATGGAGACAGCCCGCACTCTGCAAGGACAGACACCAGTTACAGCCTGGTGCTCAGAGCCATTTCCACTCCCTCCCTTCCTTCCATCTCCATCGCTGGCTCTCCCTTTCCCTCCCTCCTTCTGTCTCCCTCCTTCTCTCACTGTCTCCCTCCTTTCCTTTCTCCTCTCTCTCTCCCTCTCTCTCCCTCTCCTGCTCTCTCTCTTTCTCTCTTTTCCTCTTCCTCTTCTTTCCCTCTCTTTCTCTTTCTCTCCCTCCCTTATTCTCTTCTCTTCCGTCTCTCTTGACATCAGCACTACCCATTCTCCTTGAAAACACAGACGGGCCCTTCCCTCCTGTGCCTGCTAAACAACACACCAACCCCTCCAGGCCCTGCGTCCCAGGATCAGGAGGCCCACTTAGAAATCACAAGGTCTCAACGTTAGTAAAACGAGATATACTAAAATATGAATTTATAAAACGTACCTTATAAAATAATTATTTCTTTTAGGATAGCATCTACCACTTTGACCCCTTAAAATAGCTAAACACCCCTAAACATTTACCATTTAACATGTTCATTTAAAATAATAATAACATGCTCTGTTTCCTGTTGGATGGTCATTTTTAATGTGAGTATTTAAACTAGCAACCAGTCTTCCCATATAGGCAGCGCACACAGGAGGGGCATCCAAAGGCACTAGAATGCTTCAGCCTTCAGATCCCTGAAGGTACCATCTGTACACATAACCAGGTTTGAACAGGGAAGAACACTGGATTCAAGTTTGACACGGCAACACAAACCCCCCATGCAGTGTCTGAGGGGCTGCAGGGATGCCCCCATGTCCTGCTCCTCATTTGTACTTGTTCAGGGCTCCAGGATGCTGAAAAAAGGCCCCAGCTGCAAAGTGGGCACCAAGGGCAAGGTCGAGGCGTGGGGTACTGGGCACCACTGCAGCAAAGCACCTGAAGGAGGTGGCTGGGGGCCTCCGAGAGAGCGAGTGAAGAGGCCAGAGAGCAGCGGTCAGAGGCTGGAAATGCAGGCTTGGAAGGTGGACGCAGATACCCAGTAAGAGAAGCCATGAGTGTGGCTGAGCTGCTCAGGGAGCACAGGTGTGAAAAGCGGCACCTCTCCCCAGGCCTCCCACTTCTGATGTGGTCTCGGCAGGAAAAAGCCCACAGAAACAGATGAGCATTGAAAACAACAAAGGGAGGGACAATTAAAAACAAAAAGCATGTTAAGTTATAGCTCCTGGGTTCCCAGATTTTCAGTGAAGGAAGGATTTCTCCTGAGCTTCCCACTCTTCATCCTCTGCCTGTCCCAGGACCTGGAGCAGGTGGTCTGCGGTCCAGAGGAGGACAAGGTCCCAGGAGGACGGAAAACACTGAAGGCCCCAGAAGTAGATCATCCTAGAAGGCTTGGACAATTGGTAAGGACATATGGGGTGGGAGGAGACAGCAAAGGGACAGGGGTACCAACAGTCTGGAAGAAAAAAAGCAGAAGGAAGGGAAGAAAAAGTCCATGTGGCAGTGTGCAGAACATTCAAGTAACACCGGATAACCACTTGGAAATATATTTGTGGTAGTCCTATTTTCAAGCCAAAAAAATGGGGAAATGGCCTGAAATGATTTTTCATTTTACCTCTCAATCCACGACAGGTGGTTCTGGAGATAAAGTTTGCATGTCCACAAATAGAAATTTCTTAGACATTTCAAATATTATGGGAACGATGGCTCCCCATATCTCAATATTGAACATAGAAATTTAGGATTTCATGTATTTCTAGCTTTACCTAGTGCCTTTTGTCTTTAATGAGAACCCTTTGGGATAGGCTGCTATTTCTACATCAGGAGGATGTGGTCAGTCCTACTGAGAGACAGGACTAGCTGGATTTCCTAGGCCAGCTAAGAATTCCTAAGCCTAGGTGGGGAAGGCGACCGCACCCACCTTTAAACATGGGGCTTGTAACTCAGCTCACACCCGACCAATCAGGTAGTAAAGAGCGTTCACTAAAATACCAATTAGGCTAAAAGCGGGAGGTAAAGAAATAGTCAATCATCTATTGCCTGAGAGCAAAGGGGGAGGGACAATGATCGGCATATAAACCCAGGCATTTGAGCCGGCAGTGGCAAACCCCTTTGGGTCCCCTCCCATTGTATGGGAGCTCTGTTTTCACTCTATTAAATCTCGCAACTGCACACTCTTCTGGTCTGTGTTTGTTCCGGCTTGAGCTGAGCTTTCACTCACAGTCCACCACTGCTGATTGCCTCCGTTGCAGACCCGCCGCTAATTTCCACCTCTCCGGATCCGGCAGAGTGTCCGCTGCACTTCTGATCCAGGGAGGCACCCACTGACGCTCCCCATCGGGCTAGAGGCTCGCCATTGTTCCTGCGCAGCTAAGTGCCCGGGTTCGTCCTAATGGAGCCGAACACTAGTCGCTGGGTTCCACGGTTCTCTTCCGTGACCCACAGCTTCTCATAGAGCTATAACACTCATGCATGGCCCAAGGTTCCATTCCTTGGAATCCGTGAGGCCAAGAACCCCAGGTCAGAGAACAAAAGGCTTGCCACCATCTTGAGAGCAGCCCACCACCATCTTGGAAGCAGCCCGCCACCATCTTAGAAGCTCTAAGAACGAAGACCCGCCGGTAACACTACAGTGCAATTTACCGAGAAGGAGCCCAAAGACACAAGACTCTAGGGTGGCACAAAATGCCACAGGTTTCCAGAACTCTGGTTTTCTGACAACTTAGGCTACATCCCTCAAAGAGCAGGCTATTGTAAAAGAGAACCTGAAGTTGTCATATCACATGCTTGCTACCACTATTAGACATTTGTATTTTTAAAATTAAAATTGGGCTATTTTTTTCCTGTAAAGATAAACAAAAATGTGAGTGCTTTAAGGTACTTACTCTTGCTGGCTGGCTGTCGGTGGCTTGCTGTGGTGGATATACCAGTCTGGCAGGGAGTAGGCCACTGGAGAGCCTTTCCTGGTTCCAGGGGCAAAGTGCTTCAACAAATCTCAAAAGAGAAAATGACATGGCTGTGAGACACCCCGCCGCCCCTACACAGACGCACAGCATTGCCAGTGATAGGCTCAATTTACAAGGCGAACTGTAGGTCTCCCTGTAGTTGCCTCTGGGATCCAGGGACTAACAGAGCATCCCTGATCCTCACCTGTCTGTGCACAGGCTGACAGGTGGGCGTCCTGCTTTGTGCTCAGGCAGGGACATCCTGTATGCCTCCCCACATCTCACTCTTTGCAGATCTGGACAGAGCTCCTGGTCTTGAGCTGCATCTATGCAGGCCAGCATCTACCAGCTCCTGGAGGGGGCCCATCCCTCCACTGCTCAGGTCTCCAGGGGCTGCACATGCTGGCTCCCTCATCCTCAGCTACCCCCACACCGTTCTCCTAGCATAGGACGGTCTGACTGTCCTCTGCCACTGTGGAGCTGTCCCTAACCCCACCCCTACCATTTCCAGGAGAAGCCACACCTCCAGGTTTCCAGATGGGAAGTAGGATACAAGCCCCTGAAAGGTACCTGGGAGATTTCACAGTCACCTTGGAGCCAACCCTGAGAGGCACAGAGAGCACAGGCTCCTTCTCAGAGGCCCAGGCCAGCTCCGGACTCACCCACTTGCTTTCTAGCTCCCCACACTTCCCTCCCCCGGTTTCAAAAGGCGGGGAGTGGGAAGAACTGACTTTCTTGATCATAAGGACAGCAAAATGATAGCAGTGCCTGTGGCAGTAGCAGACAACTTTGGTTGACCTATTACTATCAGTAAGAAAATTTTAACTTTTCTTTTTTTTTTTTTACTTTTAAAGCACTTTTCATTGTTAAATGTTTCAGACTTACAGAAACATTGCAAGAATAGTATGAGTTCCCCTATACCCTGACCTAGGCTCCCCAAACAATATTCTACCACATTTGCTTTATGTTTTCTCTCTTTGTCTGTCCCTCTCTCTCATTATTATTTTTATTGTCGTTATTGTTTTCAGAATCACTGGGCAGCGCGTTGCAGACACAATGCCCAGTCCTCCCCCTATACCTCAGCAGATGCTGCCAAAAGACATTCCTGACATAATCATGGCACAATGATCACACTCAGGAAACTACTATTGATGCAATTCTTTTATCTGATTTACAGACATTCAGAGTTTGTCCCCTTAATGTTCTTTTAACCAACAGCAGGAGGAGGTGAATCTAAGAAAAAATGTCTAGGTCTTGTTCTCTGAGCATCACACCTAGTCCATCAAATTGTTTGGTCCAGGCTTTTTAATATTAAAGCAAAGATGTTGCCATTTTGCTTCCCATTTTCTCTCTGACAATCCCCACAGGGGTAATGGCAGCTAAAGGGGAAAAAAGGTTAGTGTCTCTCCAAGTCACTGACCACAAGGCTGGCTCTGAGACATTTTAGACTCTGATCAGTAATTTCTATTGAGCTCAAATAACTTAGTTTTTAGCATAGTTAAGCAGTACTTTCTCAATTAAATCATGTATCAAAATTTGGTCCTCGTCAGTATCACACTGAAACTCCTCTATGGTCTTCATTTTCTAAAACGTTTTCATACAAAGGACAAGCCGCAATGAGAATAAACAACAAAACCTTTTCACAATTAGACAAGAATTGGTAGCATGCAAAGACAGATTCTCTCTTGGAGGCAACTTCCTGAGATTCTCTTTGTAATTAGAATATAAAGTGGGTGAGGGAAGGGTTGAATCATCGCAAAGGCATTACTCAGAAGAAATATCCTACACAGGAAATTCTGTGAATTTGGCCTATTTATTCTAGCATCATAAAAATTAGCTCATCCCTGGAGATCATGCTCATCCCTACACCTAATTAACCTAGCTTTCCCAAGGCCCTAAGCTAAACATACAGACTCTGTAGTAATATTTTTATATGGAAGAAATTAGGAACAAACGCCCCCCTCACCGCCCGCGAGGCTGCCACACTGAACAGGGCAGGAGGGGGCTCACCGGGCCTGCCACCTTGTTTCGCGAGCTTCACATATTCCGAATCTGTTTCTTTTATCCAGTATCTCCGAGTCCCAGGCAGGTTCTCGCTGTGTGAGTCTCCCAAATTGCTGAGACCTGGGATCTGGGACGCTGGTGGGGCATCCACGGCCTTCTCAGAGCGCTTCACTGGGACGTGGTAATACCAATCTATAGAGGAGAGAGGCGGAGGGCCACACTGTTGCTGTGTGTCGGGGTGGCCTCTAGGCCTCTACCAGAGTATCTCTATGCAGACAACACCATCAGGTGGGGCAGTGCAAGCCACAGAGCCCATTAGCAAGGAAGAAAATGCCCTCTTTTGGGTTACTGACGTGAGTCATAACACCAGCTATGCAATCCAGTCTCTACTGCCCACCAAGATGCCACCACTGGCACCAATCAAGGGGAAAGCTGCTAGGGCTCAGCCTCTTTCATGGGTGCTTTCGCTTCCCAGGGAGGTACCCAAGCCCCATGATGTCTCTGTCTCTCTCTCCTAATCCTCCATAAAAATAAGACAACAGTATTTCTGGTTATGTTGGGGAATATACATTCCTGAAAAATCCCAAATCACTTAAAACGTTATGGGTAAGCCTGTGGAATACATGACTAAATGTTGACCAAGATTTGCTAAATTTAGTATGTTAAAAATACTGAAATCTAAGTTCTGTCACAGAAATAACAGCCTGTTTGAACACATTTACCAATAACACAAGAGTGAGAAGAGGTAGGACTGGGGAGTGGTCAAAGAGGCCTGTCCACCGAGCAATGGCACTCGAATCAGCTCGGCAGCCTCTCTCCATATGAGCGAGTACAGTGTGAGTTCCCCCATTCTCTCCACCCAGACTCCCCACATGAGAATTCATCTCACCTTATCACTCTCCCTCTCCCTCTCTCCTTGTCCCTTTCATTATTATTAATATGTAATTACTGTTTTCAATCATAATGGCTTTGCTCATGCCTGAGGCCAAAGAGGGCTGTGAAAGGTGGCCAGAGGTCTAGATGGTTCCTGAAAAGTGGCGGAAACAGGTGACTTATGTGTTATGGAAAAACATCTCAGCTGGAAATTCAGAGATTCCTGAGGTGACTGGGTGTGGCTCCCTTGAGAAAGATCAAGTTGAAACACAGTGAGTGTAGATTGTGTGATTTCTATTGAAAAAGGTCCCACGAAGAAGCCAGGCACAATCGAGTGGAGGAAGAGAGCGGTTCTCTGTCCATCCTCCCTTCTTGATTGGAGCCCATGCAGAAAGGTGCTGTGGACAGAGGAGCTGAACATGGGCCTGGTGAAGCCATGAGGCTCCCTAAGGCCTTGAGCTGAGGGTATCCAGGACAGGCCCTGCAGGCTGGCTTGGGACCACCCAGGAGACTCCCTGGAGTCCTACTGGGAGTTTCTGTCAAGTGAGTTGGCAAAATCCCAGGGACCTGGAGTTATCAGTGTTTATTGATGACCCCCACAGAGAGAAGAGATCTGGGGCACTCAGACAACTGAGGTTCTAGGTAACTATTTGAATCTGAAATTGATTAACCAGATGCCCAAATGTAAGAAAAAAAAAACCACACCTGATTGAAAACTTTAGAAACAAAACCCAGGAAGAATGTCAGATACAAAAGATGCAATTAATGTGACACAAGTGACTGGGTGTATTCAATACCACTTATCAGAACGTACTGTCACAGGGGCAGTATGTTCAGAGTCTAACACAATATCCCCTTCTATTCAATACCACTTATCAGAACGTACTGTCACAGGGGCAGTATGTTCAGAGTCTAACACAATATCCTCTTCTTGGGTAGGTATAATGTCTAATTTTATGTGTCAACTTGGCTGGACCATGGTACTCAGATATTGGTAAAGCATTATTTTAGCTGTGTCTATGAAGTTTTTTAGATGAAAATAACATTAAAAACGGTAGAATTTGAGTGAAGTAGACTGTCCTCTATAATGTGGGTGGGCTTCCTCCTATCAGAGTAAACCAAAAATAAACTTCTAAGCCCCCCACCACCCGCCAGCTGACTGAATGAATCCCCCCACTCAGCCAAGAGCATTCCAAAGTAAACCTGAAAAATTAGTTCAGGCCATAATGGGAAGGAAAGCTGGACGTGCCTCCTTATACCCTCCTTCCTTTGGAATTCAGGCACAGCAGACCAGCATTATCATTAAAACAGAGATCTTAAGACTGAAAAAACAGACTCTCTGTGGCAGTCAGAGACCAAATTGCAACCTGACTCTAGTATAGCATCACATGACAGATAGCAGGTCCTGAAAGAAATTGAAATATTTTACCCCAATATAGACTTCTTTGACATAGTTCGAAATGGTCCTACAAAGCTGTCTCTTGTGGGGAAAATCTACATTCTGTAGAGAATCCCCTTCCTTTTCCAGCTCTTTTCCTGATCCAGGAGAGAATTAACTGAGTCTGACACTTTTTTAGGTCTGATAAGAGATGTTCACATCTACTCTCTCTGAAGTTGGCTACCTGGAGACTTCATCTGCATGACAAAAACCTTAGTCTCCACAACCCCTTATCTTAACCCAGTCACTCCTTTCTATCGATTCCGTGTCTTTGGATAATAACTTGCAACCAATTACCAATCAGAAAACCTTTAAATCCACCTATGACCTGGAACCACCCCCCACCCACATACACACACATACTTGGAGTTATCCCACCTTTTCAAACTGAATCAATGTATACCTTACATGTATTGATTGATGTCTTCCTATAACTTCTGTCCCCCCAAAATGTATAAAATCATGCTGTGACTCAACCATCTTGGGCACATATTCTCAAGAACTCCTGGGGCTGTGTCACAGGCCTTGGTCACTCATATTTGGCTTAGAATAAACCTCTTTAAATATTTTACAGAGTTTGACTCTTTTTGTGGGCAGTTAATTGAAAGTCTTAAGAGAAAAGAATGAGATCCCCCAGAAAGAGGAAATTCTTCCTCCAGACCACTCTGAAACTCAAACTGCAACATCAGCTCTTCCCTGGGTCTCCAGCCTGCTGGTCTGCACTGCAAATTTCGAACCTTCCAGACTCCACAATTACGTGAGCCAATTCCTTAAAACAAATCTCTCTCTCCCTTTCTATCTATCTATCTATCTATCTATCTATCTATCTATATGTATATAGAAAGATAGACATGGATATGCTGTTGGTTATTTTGGTTTGGAGAATGCTGACTATTACAGTAGATGCACAGGAAAATAGTACTGAATAAATTGATTTATGTAAGCACAGAGAAATGAGAAGTAACCATCCTTTAAAGCTAAAAGCTTAGACATTGAATTTTTAATGGATGGTATTTAATACAGACAATCTTTTAAGTATGTAAAAGACATTAAATAGCTGAATCAACACTATATGGTTTCGAAAAGGAAAGAAAAAAATTGGAAAAGATTTAAAGAATTGCACAAAAGATCACAGAGAATCAATTTAAGAATGAATAAGAGAATTTAGCAGCTTCATACTCCGATCATATTCAGTTCAAATATTTTCTATTTGAGAGAAGGCGTTTGATTGTTGCATTATTTTTCCGCTCTGTGTTTTGATTACTAATTAATCCACAGAGAACAGTGTGTCTTCTACCTTCTTCTCATTACTGGAAGCTGTGGACAGGCACTGAACTCGAATCTGGTTGGCCATTTGTAAATGCATACAAAGGAGGCACTCAGAGAATGAGGGCCTGGATCAGTAAGAACCATTTGTGACCACCTCACACACACGCACGCGCGCGCACACACACACACACACACAGAGGGTTAAAGGGACTAAGAGTTATCTCAGCTTTTATCATGCAAAAAATTGTTGGCACTTGTACAATATCAGTCATTTACTATCCTATAGATTTTTTATATATATATATAGCCTTCCCTGCCTTCTCATTTGCCATATATTAGTACTCTTATTTAATCAGTGAGGAAACACAGTCTGTGACAGTCTATGAGATGAACTGAAGATCCCCCAGCTCTTCTGGTCTCTAAGGCACAAGGCAGTGTGTTATATGTTCACATACCCGCAGGGGCACAGGCTCCTGCTTTAGGCTGCTGTGGCCTCACAGAACAGCTGTGGAGCCACTTACGAAGTGTGTGACCTTGGGCAAATTACTCCAAACTCTATAAAATGGGGGTAATGTTACCTTGTAGCATTGTTATGAGGTTAAATGAGTTAGTGTATATTAATACAAAGCACTTAGAACAGTGCCTGGCAGTTGTTAGTGTTCCTTACTGCTGTTCATACAGACAAGGTCACTAGAAGGCACCCAGAAGTCACATAAAGGCTCCAGAGCCTACTGGGAAAAGGCAAATCAGCCAGGCCTTCTGTGCTGTCCCCTTTCCAATCCCCAGCATGGCCACACTATCTTCAATAGTGGTCACAAGGTAGAGCTCTGGGCTAGCAGCATGTTTAGAGTATGAAGAAGGGTCACATTTGGTTCACTTCTGAGCAAATGTGCTGGCTCCAGGGTGCCGACCAGCTGCAACTCAGCTGTCCCAGCTGATCCCCAGGACCCTCTTCTCTACCCTCCTACAGCCTTTCACAAATAAAAAAGCAATAGCAAAAGGAAAAAAAAAAAACCCAGAAGACAGCATCTCAAGACTTCTTCTTCCTTCCCCTCTCCTCCACTTCAAACCCTGGCACATAAGAAGACATGAACCTCACTGAATTCCTTTTCCTGTATCCAGACACTAAACCCAGAATGTATATTTAACTTGCTTGGGGTCTAAAGTAGGAGCAAGGGCTAGGGATTCAGTGAAATTCCTAGGGGATTCTGCTAGAGAAGAAACTTCCCAGGTCAACATTCAGGAACGCAGTTGTGAGAATTGTATAGGGTTGAACTATGACAAAGAAAATTTCCAAGGGATCCTGTTGCTCCAGATTGAACCAAGATAGGTAGCCTTGGTTCTCTCTTGTTGAAAATAAAGAAAAACAAGACTCCCCCCACTCATATTTAAGTCTTGATTTCACACTCAGGCACAGGAGCAGTTTGTGGCTTTCTTTGACTTGTTAGTTTTATCACTTGGTCCTCCATCGTTCACACCCCCCTCCAGCCCACATAGAGGACGTTGGGTCCACAGCGTGTCTAGCAAGCAGAGTGCACGCACCCAGCTCTTTCTGGCCGGGACGCGCTCAGGGCGCACTCACCGCAGGGAGCGTAGCGGTGCGTGGCGCCCTGAAGTTCCTTGCTTGTGTTCCTCATGGTCAGGCGCTGCACGCTGCGGGAAAAGACAGATGCTGCCGGACCTGGTGTTCGCGGGTGCGCTGGACGCTGCCTGCTTGACCAGTTGCCAGGAGCTGCAGCTGCAAAAGCAAAATCCGCGCGCCCGCTCTGGGTCGGTCTGTACGCCTCGCCCTGACACGCCTGCAGGCGCCTTACGATCGCCTAGCGCTGGCACTTCCATGCAGGGTATACAGCAGGGGGCATGTCCACGCCAGGTAAACAGAAGGGAGCACATCACGCCGGTATACAGCAGGAACACACGCACGCCGGGTAGACAGCAGGGCACGTCCACACAGGGTACACAGCAGGGACGTACGCACTCCGGGTACACAGCAGGGGCACATTCACGCGGGGTATTCAGCAGAGACACGTGCGTGCGGGGCACACAGAGGGGGCACGTCACGCCGGGTATCCAGTACAGGCACGTCCACGCCAGGGACACAGCAAGTACAGAGAGGATAAGCAACAGGTAACCAAGGGGCCGCGGGACTTGGGCAGGCTTGGAGATCCCGCCCTGTGCTCATCCCAACCCGGCGACAAGGTGGTCCCCTCCCTCCAGCCCCGGCGCGCACTGCCCGCACTGCGAGCTCCGCACAGTGGACAAGGCCCGGGACCACAGTGGGCGCCCCCATTGTCCTCCAGCCCGCTCAGGCTCACCAGCTCCCCGCGGGTCTCCGTGGGTGCTGCCCGCGGCGCCCGGCGTTGGAGTTTTTACACGGCTGGCTGGCTGCAGCCAACCAAACCCAAACTCCCAGCGCGCCGCGGAACCACAACATCGGCGTCGCCAGGGCAACGGCTGAACGGCCAACCGGCGGGCGCGGCTGGAGCACTGTCAGCCAATAGGGGAAGCCTGAGGGGGAGCGGTGGGCCAATCAGGGCAGGAAGCGGAGCGCGGGCGCCGCCTGTCAACTGCCCGTAGCCCAGAGCCGGACCAGGGCAGGGCAGCGCAGCGATGCCACGGGGAACCGGGCGGGACGCAGCGGGGGTGGGAGCAGGGCCTTACTGTTGCAGGGGTGTGGGGGCGTGGGGACGTGGGGACGTGGACGCAGGAAGAGAGTCAGGCCTCAGTCCTCCTCATGCCGCTCTGGCTGGGAACCACAGTTACTGTAGAGCGGTCCAGAAAAATTGGGGACATGCATCACGTTTTCCAAATAAGTATAACTGTCTCACCCTAAAAACACAACAAAACAAAACACCCCACCAGTATACAAAAATAAAACATAAAAAGAATTTACTAATGAGATGCAGGAGTAATGATTCACTTAGTAAAGGAATCCTTAATTTTAGACAAATTTGCTTGCAAATTTCTCATCTAATGCATTTTTTTCAAGACTAATAAGTATTTGGAAATTGTGTGTCGATAATAAAATTATCATGTGAACATTCTTCCTTATATCTTATTTTTTGAGAATATTTCTGTTTTATAAGTTGAGAGACTTTTTTTAAAGCTCTTAACCATATTTATATGGAATCGCGTTTAGAACTCCAAACACTTGGCTTAAGTGTAAACTTGTTGCCTGCCTGGATTTTGAGATCTACAGAAAGTACAATGAGTATATTACCAATGGTGCTTCATGGGAATGAAGATTATCTATCTGGCATATGCTTGGTGAGGCCAATAGACACCAACAGCTATGGCGCAGTTCAGTAGGAGACACTTTTGATACCCAGAAAGCCCTATACAACCCTGGCAAAAATAATAAGGGCTACTTACCCGGTGGTAACCGCTTGTGAGAGTTTGAGGGGATAAGTTGATACAGAGAACATTCAAAGAAATCCTGTTGTTCCAACGACTGCAGCAACAGTTAGCAGCCTTGGTTTTCTCTTGTTGAAAATTTTTTTTTAAATCAAGACTTTTCATAATGGTGGGTATTTGACAACTTGAACTGAACATGAGTCTGTTTCTGTTACACGAGTATAGCCTTAGAAATCTAGCAGGAGACAGGTAATATCAGAATTGGTTAAAGAGAAGATAGTTTTTGTGCAGGAATTAACTCTAATTCTGTGGTTTATCCTGCTCTAATATAATATCATAATGAATTCTAAGCATCTTCAGTGGTCCAGTCATGAGTAATCAAGACTTCATACTGCAATGTCAAATGTTTGTTCCACTGCATATACACGCTCTTAGGTTATTGCCAAGCATGACAAATGCTTTTGTTTGTGCAAGTCACAGCATCCTCTAGCTACGGGATTGTATGGTCAAGAGAAGTTTATTTATTTATTTAGAGACAGAGCCTTGCTCTTGCTCTGTCGCCCAGGCTGGAGTGCAGTGGGGTGATCTTGGCTCACTGCCACCTCCACCTCCTGGGTTCAAGCAATTCTCCTGTCTCAGCCTCCGGTGTAGCTGGGATTACAGGCACGTGCTACCACGCCTGGCTAATTTTTGTATTTTTAGTACACATGGGGTTTTGCCATGTTGGCCAGGCTGGTCTCATACTCCTGACCTCGTGATCCACCTGCCTCGGCCTCACAAAGTGCTGGGATTACAGGCATGGGCCACCGTGCCTAGTCAAGAAGGTTATTCTTTTTTTTTTAATTGATCATAATAACTGGAGCTGTCATGACCAAAGAGCATCTCTATTCTCCATTGGATTAACAAAAAAGTACAGCATTCATCCAAGTTGATAACCTTCTTGACTGGCTGAAATCATAAGTTCAGTGATAATGAAGTGTTATCATTCCTTAGAAGAAACTTTTTATTTTATTTTTATTTTATTTTTTTTGAGACAGGATATTGCTCTGTCATCCAGGCTGAAAGGCATTAGTGTGATCATGGCTCAGCGAAGCTTTGAACTCTTAAGCTCAGGAGATCCTCCCACCTTAGCTTCCTGAGTAATTAGGAGTCCAGGCCCACAGCACCACATCTAGCTAATTTTTAAATTTTTTTTAGAGACAATGGTCTTGCTATGTTGCCCAGGCTGGTCTCCAACTCCTGGCCTCAAGGAATGTTCCTGCCTCAGCCTCCCAAAGCACTGGGGCTCTAGGCATGAGCCACCACACCTAGCCAACTTTTGACTTTTGCAGTGTGATTGAAATTACAAATATTTGCAAACCAGATCAGACAAGAATGTAGGTAATGATGCCATGGAAATTAAAACATGATACAAGAATAATTTATTTATAATAAGAATATCTCAATGTTTTTATTTTCTATACTTTATGACATAATCATCTTTCTACCACATAATCGGCCTCAGTATTTAGAAAGATCCAACATTCTCTGACATATATTTTCACTTTATGCCTAATTTTTTCACTTTACTTGTAGATATGCAGATAATCTCCTGCTTATGAGCATTTTGAGAAGAGGAAAAATGTATTTGAGTACAAATTCTGATTTTTCAAAGCCCTCTGGCCCTTCCTTCCTGCCTGGTCTCTGTTGGTTTACCCATGTTGTTGGCTGAAGCTAGTTTATTTAAACTTTCAGGACACATCCTCCATTTGTGCTTTTCCATCTCTCCCACTTTTGCCCTGCCTTGTTACTGTCTGTTCCAATCTCAAGCAGCTGAAAGCCCTTGTATAATTCCCCTCTCCAACCTTCACCTCTGTGAGCTCAGTCTTTCCCTCTAGAACATACAACATAGTCTCACCAGGGTTCCACCAACTGGAGGGGCTTTTACATTTTGTGCTTTTTTCTGATAATCTGAGTAATTTAAAGACAAGGTTTCCTTTTTTGATATATATTTATGTATTTCAATGTTATAGCAGTTTGGGTTTTCAGCCTCATTGGAGAAACAAGATCATCTTCTCTTCACACAGGAGAGAGACTGGATTTCTTTGACTCTGCAGTGCTCTGCATGTTAAAATAATGGCCTTTTTCTTTGGTTGAAATTTTTAAAGACACATTTTGGATTTTTTCCAACTTTATTGAGATATAATTAACAAACAAAACTTCTATGTTTCAGTTGTACATGTTGGTTTTATACACATGTACGTTGTGAAATAATTACTACAATCAAGCTAATTGACATATTCATCATCTCACTTAGTTACCTTTGTGTATGCGTATGTGGGGTAAGAACACTTGAGATCTATCTACTCCCTCAATACATTTCAAGTATACAATACAATGTTGCTAACTGTAGTCAGCATGCTGTACATTCGATCCCTGGAATGTATTCCTCTTGTAACTGAAGCTCTGCACCTTTTGACCAACATCTCCCCATTCCCACTCCCTCTGCCCATCAGCCACTGGCAACTCCCATTCTACTCTTTGCTTCTACACATTTGACTTTTTAGGCTCCACATATAAATTAGATCATACAGTATTCACCTATCTGTGTCTGGTTTATTTCACTTAGCATAATGTTCTCCAGGCTCATTCATGTGGACACAAATGACACAATTTCCTACTTTTTATGGCTGAATAATATTCCATTCTCTTTCTCTCCCCCCACCACCACCACACACCCACCGTGTGTGTGTGTGTGTGTGTGTGTGTGTGTGTGTGTGCATAAATCACATTCATTCATCCATCAATAAACACTTGGGTTGTTTTTATATCTTGGCTTGTAAATAGTGATACAATGAACATGGAAGTGCAAATATCTCTTCAACACACTGATTTTATTTCCTTTGGATATATATACCCAGAAGTGGGATTGCTGAATCATAAGGTAGTTCTATTTTTAATTTTTTAAGGCACTTCCATACTGTTTTTCATAATGAGTATACCAATTTACATCCCACCAACAGTATACAAGGGTTACATTTTCTCTGCATTCTTGCCTACACTTATCTTTATATATTTTTGTTTGTTTGTTTTAAGATTAACAATTTCTTTAAAATATGGGGTCTGGCTATGTTGCCCAGGCTGGTCTCAAACTCCTGGGCTCAAGCAGTCCTCCTGCCTCAGCATCCCGAGTAGCTGGGATTACAGGCGTGTACCACTTTGTGCAACACTAGCTGTTTATCTTTTTTATAATAGCCATCCTAACAGCTGTGAGGTGATATCTCATTGTTGTTTTGATTTACATTTCCCTGATGATTAATGATGTTGAGTAGCTTTTCACATGCCTGTTGGCAATGTGTATGTCTTCTCTGGAAAAAAATGTCTATTTAGGACCTTTGCCAACTTTTAAATTCAGTTATTTGTTTTCTTGTTATTAAGTTCCTTTGCTGTGCAAAAGCTTTTTGGTTTTTGGTTTGATGTGGTTCCACTTATTTATTTTTGCATGTGCTTTTGATGTCATATTTAAAAAGTCATTGTCAAGACCAATGTCAGGGAGATTTTTTCCTTGTTTTCTTCTAGGAATTTTATGGTTAGAGGTCTTATGTTTAAGTCTTTTATCTATTTCAAGGTATTATTTGGGTATGGTGTAAGATAACTGTCCAATTTAATTCTTTTGCATGTGAATATCTACTTTTCCCAGCACCATTCATTGAAGAGACTACAGTGTCCTTTCCTTATTGTGTACACCTGACAAACTTATCAATGATTAGTTGGCTGTATATGTGCGGATTTATTCTTGAAAAATACACATAGACTTTGACCCAGAAGTTCCTCCTCTGGGTATATATCCTTAAAGATATATTCACACATATGGATAATAACTTAAATACAAGATTACTATTGCACATTATTTTAAATACCAAACTGCCCATCAATATGAGACAGGCTAAATAGCCTATGGCCCATTCACCCAATGAAACACTATTCAGTCATAAATAAATGAGGAAGATTATCTCAAACAATCAAAACAACTTCCAAGATACATGTTTAAGGGAAAGAAGCAAGATGCAGAGCACAGTTTATAGTAAGCTACCATTAGGAATGTGGAGAGATAAATATACCTATAAAATATTACATATATAATACAATGTCACATACTGTGCATGTGTATCACATCTTTGAAAGGAAATACTATAAATGGTAGCATAGATGCTAAAAGAGAGGGGAACCAATAGCTAGAAGGCAGATGCCGGGTGGAAAGGCCATATTTGCTGTGTACCATTTTGTAACTTTCGAATTTTGGACTAGTAGGTAAAAAAGTAGAAACTTGGGGGTTTCTTGGTATAAATCTAAGCTTTCAGAAAATAAGTAGTAAATTGAAAAATAACACTTACAAATTCACCCAGAAATCAGCATAAGTAAAAAGAGAAAAAAGCAAAAACAAATATGAAGGAGCAGTTGAACGGAAAGCAAAAGGGAGACACAAGTGTCAATAGGTGGACCATTCTAAGAAAATTGAGGCAGTGGCAGAGAAGCAATATTTGAAGCCCTGATGGCTGAAAAATAGTCCAGAACTGAAAAAACACACAAGTACCCAAATTGAAAAGACTCTCTGAGTTATAAGTGAGGAAAAACAAAAACTAGTATCAAACCTGGATACACTAAAATACAACTGGAAAATATGGATAAACAGAAAATCTTAAAAACTACGCGAGAAATTGCCAAAAAAAACAGAGAAATGAAGATAAGACAGAATTCTCATCAACAACAATCAATCCACAAGGCCATGGAGTAGTATCTCCAAAGTGCTGAGAGTGAAATGACTGTCATCGTAGAATTTATGCCCCAAATAAACCAGCTCATCCTTCCACCTAACTATTCTGTTTCTAGGTGTATGTTTAGAAAAACCTTGTGATGTGCATATAACAACGTGCAATGAGCATTATTCCTTGCCAAAAAAACTGAAAACAACCTAAGCATACATTTACAGAAGGATGGGTAAATGAATTGTGATGTATGTATAATGAAATACCATAGAGCAATTAAAATGAGTGGAGTTAATGTCTCAAGATAAATAATATTGTAAGAAAACCTAGAGTGGCATAACATTTAGTTTATGTTTTAAGCATGAAAATGGTATTATTTATAGATACAGATTTACATAGTAAAGTATCAAAAATAATGAGAATAGAGTATATCAATTTTCAGGTTGTAGTTATCTGTGGAAAATAAGAGTGCTGAGATTCAGGGATACTTGGGGGTCTACTATTATATTTCTGATATTTTCTTTATTAGAAAAGCACTGAAGCAAACACAGCAAAACATCCAGATTTGCTATCGAAAAGCGGTAGGTACATGGGGGGGCCTTTGTATTATTCAGTGGGTGTGACATATGGTACAATTAGGCCCTTGAAGCAGAGAGGTGGTTGCCTGTCCATGCCCTGGCTGGGCGTGGTGGCCATCTGCATTATGAGGTGTCACGGAGGATGATGCAACAGAAGAATCAGAAGCTTTTCAAAATTCCGTCTTCAAGAAGAAACACCCGTGGAGGAAGAAGACATTATACAAAACAAATTTAGAAACTGTATGTATAGCTTCATGTTTTTCATAAAATAGGAATGAGGACAAATGTTGCTCTTCATCCTACCAGCTGTTTGTTCTTTGGTAGGGGATCATGAGTGGAAAAACAAAGGCAAGAAGGGCTGCCATGTTTTTTAGACGTTGCTCTGAAGACGCCAGCGGTAGCGCCAGTGGCAATGCTTTGTTATCAGAGGACGAAAATCCTGATGCGAATGGGTAGGTAAACATGGCAGAACGGTGTGCCTGAAATTGTAGGTTTTATGTGTTACATCTGTCACTTGTGTCTGTTCATCTGTTACCTGTTACCCGACAGTATTTTCTCCCTTTATAGAGAAAATCATTTTCAATAGTTTCCTTTGAAGGTTTCTCTTCATCACAGTCTTACACTTGATCACAATACTTCTATGTCAACGGTATCTGGATTAATAACAGCAGACTTGGGAGAAGGATTAAGAAAGGAGAGCCACCCTCTTTAAAAGAATGAGCCACAGCAGCAGGAACTTAAAAGCTTCCAGATAATTCACTTTTTTTTTTTTTTTTTTTTTTTTTTTTTGTCATTGGGCTAGCTTGTATAGTCTTGGTGGTATGCAGAGCTTAGCACCGGGCTCAGGACTCTGGGCACAGAGTGGCATTTATTACATTCTTGGGTGATAATTGACTAAAGACTCTGGTAGGGGATGCACATTTTGAGTGAATCACCCTGTTTCCTCTAGTGAGAACATATGTGGGGATTATTATAGCAGGGAATCCAAATACCCTAAACCTATTTACAAACGCCCTGCCCATGTGCTGCCTGCTGGGAAAACAAAAACTACAAGTAATGAAATAACCTTCCTATTGGTAACAATGAAGCACTTGCACAGAACAAAACTGTCAATAAAAATAAAAGGAATGCTACAAAGTTATTAGTACAAGTAGAGCAGCATTTCAAAATCACAGTAATAACAAAATATGCTTGCCCCAAATGGCAGAATCCCACTGGCTGGGTGAAGGCACCGAAGGAATTTTGCAATGCAGAGCCTGGCAGCCAGTTTTCTAGTGAAAAACAAAAAACGAAAAACACTGGAGTTAATCTTTGGTAAATATGGTAATGTGATAATTTTCACTTAATGCAGCCCACCAAAAGAGCTCTTGTAGACCATAACTGACCTATGAACAACTTTTTTAATACAGTGGACCCCCTACCACTCTCCACATCTCCAATAATAGTTAAAAGGAAGAGGTTCCAGAATACACTTCCCTGGAGGGGAAGAGAGTTAAGAAAATTCTCTTCTTAGTTGGTTTCCACACTGTCACACTCTTGGATGGCTAATAGGTATGACTGCTTTATGTAGGGTAGATAAGCTACTTAAAGATTCTGTACTGGGAGAATTAGGCGGCCCACTCTAGTGAATACAGTTAATGAATGGTCCATCTTAATGTGATTTTTCTTATGTTTTAAGTAGAAATTTTTAGTTTGCCAACTTGTAATACTTTATCCGGAAGTTTATAGCCTTCACGTTAGATTAATGTGATCATTTTAGCTTCCCTCCCCATCCACCCTTTAGGGCTTTTTAAAAGGTTAGATGTGAAAAGGTTGTCATTACAACCACTTTGTAACACTGAGCAAAATCTACTGCAACGGATTATGCATGTATCCTATGACCCATCAATGTCTCTCTTGAAAATACACTTAAATGAAATACATACTTGTCTTCATCAGAAACCATGTACAAGAATGTTCATAGCTGCATTGCTTGTAGTAATATTTATAACTGCATTGTTTATCATAGCCCCAAACACCCATCAATGTTAGGATGGATACCCACATGATATATTCACACAATGAAATACTACACAGTTATAAGAATGAATGAACCACAACTATACACAACAGCACAGTTGACTCTCACAGACTTAAGACTGGGAACAGGAGGCAGACAGATAGAGCCCATACCCACATGGGTCCATTTATAGATGGTTCAAACCCAGACAAACCTACTTAATGGGGATAGAGCTCAGGAGAGCAGGTACCTTTGGAGGTGGGAGGTATAGGGTTGATAAGGGCATAAGATGGGCTTCTGATGGGCTTGGTATATTCATCTGCTCGGGCTGCAATAATAAATACCACAGACTGGGTGGCTGAAACAACAGAAATTTACTTTTTTTAACAGTTTTGGAGGCTGGGAAGTCCAAGGTTCCAGCTGATTTGGTCTCTAGCGAGGGCTCTCTTCCTGGATTGCCTTCTCACTGTGTCCCCATGTGACCTTTCTTCTGACTGCACAAAGAGAGAAAAAGTTCTGGTCTCTCTTCCACCTCTTCTAAGGACAACAATCCTGCTAGTTTAGAGTCCCACTCATAACCTCTTTTACCCTTAATTAGCAATTAAAGACCCTATCTCTAAATACAGTAACAATGATGGTAGGGCTTCAACAAATGAATGTGTGTGTGTGTGTGTGTGTGTGTGTGTGTTGGGGGGTGGGGTGCAATTCAGTCCACAGAACTGAGTATGCTCAATTTCCAGTCCTGGGTGAGGTTTCATGGATGTGTTCATTCTGTGAGGCATCACTGGTCTGTACAATTATACAGAAAAGAGCACAAATCGTATTTGTATAGCATACTGTACTTCAACACAGAGTAGGAAAAAAGGTCATGGTGGCTTTAAAGAATTTTATCAGATATTTCTTAACTGTCATAGTTCTTTAGCTTAGTACAAAATTTCCATAAAATCAGAACCTGATTTTTCTTTTTTTTCTTTTTTTGTAGCTAGTTCTACATTTGAGACCTCCAGAAAACTGCCTTTGTTTTTTTCTTATAAGTATTTTAAGAATATAAATAGACATATACTAGCATAAGCATTGCATATGTGAAAGTAAGAGGCATGACTCTATGTATGCGCACTCATATATGCTGGTGAGTGTGTATCATCACTAAAACGATCTTCTCTCAATTTAAAAAATAGTGGATTGGAAATTAAAGTAATTCATAGACTCAACCTAGATTAAGCAAGAATGAAAATAAGTAAGTTTGTTGACGTGAGTGTAGTGGCTAAAGTCCAAGTTAAATGCATGATGTTGTTAAATTCTTTTTCTAATCATTGTTTTTATTCTTTTAGGGTAACTCGATCATGGAAGATTATTCTAAGTACAATGCTTACACTGACTTTTCTTCTTGTAGGTAAGTCTTCCTAAGTAATGATCCTTAAAACCATTCCACAGGTTATGTCTGCCTGGTGAGAGAGATCTCAACGGAATGACTCATATTTGTAAATAAATGCCACGGAAAGTGCTGGAGGTGACCTGCACATTCTCAAAGCTTTTTCGTTTGTTTTTTATTTCTGATTGTAAGAGTAATACTGGCTTTTTAATAGAAAATTTAGAAAGGAGATTTTTCTTTTAGAATTGTGGTTTGCTTTTTGCAAATTTTTTAGTCATAGATGTTGCTTTAAAGTTAAGAATTTCTAATATATTTATTGCAAACATACATTTTACCTTTTCTAAATTTAGGTGACTCCACTTGGGAGGTTTTGACAACCAGAGACTCTTGCTCATCACACAGTTCCCAAATAAATTACTGCAGAATGTGCAGTTTGTAGTTTCGTATCGGGAAATATCACCATCCACCACCCCTAGCACACTGGAAAATTGTTCTTTAATATATTCACAACTTAAGGCATGTATCTCCCATTAAAATAAAAGTTTCAACCCAGTTATTGTTACAAAAAAGATCATATAGCATGTGATCTTTCTTATCTGCCTTCTTTCACTTAGCATAATGTTTTTAAGGTTCATCCATATCCTATCATGTGTCAGTTCCTCATTCCTTTTTGTAGCTAAATAATATTTCATTGTATGTATATACCTCATTTTGTTTATCCATTTATCTATTCATGGACATTTAGAGTGCTTTTATCTTTAGGCTATTGTGAATAGTGATGCTGTGCATAAGTGTGTATGTGTGCTTATTTGAACACCTGTTCTCAATTCTTTCAAGTATATACATAGGAATGAGATTTCTGGGGAGGAACCACCAGACTGTTTTCCTCAATGGCTGCACTATTTTACATTCCCACAAGCAGTGTAGGAGGACTGCTATAGTTTGGATATCTGTCCTCCCAAACCTCATGTTGAAATTTGAACCCCAGTGTTGCAGGTGGGGGCCTAATGGAAGGCATTTGGGTCATGAGGACAGATTCCTCATGAATCACTTGGTTCCATCCTTACAGTAATGAGTTGTCACTCTATTAGTTCCTGTGGGAGCTAATTGTTAAAAAGAACCTGACTTCTCCCAGCTCTCTCTTGCTCCCTCTCTCACCATGTGATCTCTGCACATGCTGGCTCCTCCTTTGCCTTCCACCATGAGCGGAAGCAGCTGGAGACCCTCACCAGTTGTAGATGCTGGTGCCATGCTTCTTGTACAGCCTATAGAACTGTGAGCCAAATAAACCTCTTTTCTTTATAAATTACCCAACCTCAGATATTCCTTTACAGCAACACAAATGGATTAAAACAAGAAGTCCAATTTCTCTACATTTCCACTATCATTTTTTTCCTTTTTTTTTAAATTACAGCCACCTGATGGATGAAAAGTCATGTTTCATCATGGTTTGATTTCTCTAATGACTAATGATGTCAAGCATCTTTTTATGTGCTTATTGACCGTTTGTATGTGTTCCTTGGAGACATGTCCATTAAAGTCTTTTGCTCATTTTTGATTAGGTTGTTTGTCCTTTTGTTGTTGAGTTGGAAGAGTTTTTTAATATATTCTAGATACCAAATCCTTCTCAGATATATCACTTGAAAACATTTCTTTCATTCTAGGTTGTCTTTCATTCTAGGTTGTCTTTGCACTTTCTTTGATACACGAAGGTTTGTAATTTTGAGGGTGTCATATTGAAGCATCCATTGCCAAACCTTTTTAAAAGAGTTTTCTGGTTTTAGCTCTTATAATATTTAGGTAATTGACCCATTTTGAGTTCATTTTTGTATATGATGCAAGGGATCCAACTTCATTTTTTGGCATGTGGAAAGCCAAAGTAATATTTGCTAAAAATATTACTCTTTCCCTATAGGAATCTTTGAATGTCTTGTCCTCTGTTCCAAAAACTGAATTGGCTATAGTTGAATGGGTTTATTTCTGGATATTCTAGCCCATTAGTCTATATGTCTATCATTATCCAGTATCATGCTGTTTGGATTTTGATAAAGATTACTTTGAATCTGTGGACAGCTTTAGGTAGTGTTGCCATCTTAGCAGTAGTAAATCTTCCAATTCATGAACACAAGTTGTCCTTCCATTTATTTAGGTCTTCTTTAATTTCTTTCAGCCATGTTTTATAAATTTCAGTTTTGATTCTAAAGTAAATCTCTTGTAAGCAGCATATAGTTGAATCATGTTTTTAAATTCATTCTGCCAGCCTCTGCCTTTTGATTGGAAAGTTTAATCCATTTTCATTTACATTAATTACTACTAAGGAATGACTTACTTCTGCCATTTTTCTATTTTTTAGAAAATCTATATCTTATACCTTTTTTGTTCTTCATTTCCTTCTTTACTGCCTTCTTTTGTGTTTAATTGCTTTGTTGTAGTGCACTCTTTTGATTCTGATCTGTTTCATTTTGTATACGTTTTTTAGATATTTTCTTAGTGGTTACCATGGGGATTTCAACTGAGACCCTACATTTATAACAATATAGTTTAAATTTATACCAAATTAACTTTAATAGAATGCAAATACTCTGCTCCTATTCAGCTCTGCTCCTCTTTTTTTTCCTCCTTATGATCTGTATTCACTGGGATTTACTCCTCTTTATGTTGTCAAAAATTACATCTTTACACATTGGGTACCCATAAACATAGATTTATAATTATGCTTTATAAATTTGTCTTTTAAATTATGAAAGAAATAAAAGAAGGAGTTACAAACCCAAAACAATAATACTGGTTTCATATTTACCTCTCTGTTACCTTTACTGGAGATTTTGATTGCTTCATGCGGCATTGAGTTACTCTCTAATGTCCTTTCACTGCAGCCTGAAGGAATCCCTTTAGCACTTCCTGAAGGGCTGGTCTAGTCATAGAGACACCATGAGCTTTTCTTTATCTTAGAATATGTTAATTTTTTCTGCAGTTGGGAGAATCGTTTTCTCATATATAGAATTTTTTTTCTTTCAACGCTTTAAATATGTCATCCCACTGTCTTCTGGCCTCTATAGTTTCTGAAGAAAAAAATCAGGTGATAATCCAACAAAGACTTTCTTCTATATAACAAGGCATTGCTCTCTTTCTGCTTTCAAGATTATCTCTGTGTTTTTGTCTTTCAACAGTTTGATTATAATAGGTTTCAGCATGAGTCTTTTTAAGTTTGTCTTACTTGAAGTTTGTTGAGTTTCTTGGATGTGTAGATTCATGGCTTTTTATCAACTTTGGAACTTTTTCAGCCATTATTTCTTCAAATGTTCTTTTTCTTATTTAAAATTTAAAATTTTTTAATTTTTTGTGGGTACATAGTATATATACTTATGGGGTACCTGAGATGTTTTGATACAGGCATGCAATGTGAAATAATCATATCATGAAGGATGGGGTATCCATCCCCTCAAGCATTTATCCTTTGTGTTGCAAACAATCCAAATACAATCTTTTAGTTATTTTAAAATGTACAATTAAGTAATTTTTTACTGTAGTCACCCATTGTGTTGTCAAATAGTACGTCTTATTTATTCTTTCTATTTTTTGTACCTATTAACCATCCTCACCTCCTCCATCTTCGACACTACCCTCACCTGCTTCTGGTAATCATCATTTTACTCTCTATGTTCATTAGTTTAATTCTTTTAATTTTTAGCTCCCACAAATAATTGAGAACATGTGATATTTGTCTTTCTATGAATGGCTTATTTCACTGAACATAATGATCTCCAATTCCATCCATGTTGTTGCAAATGACATTATCTCATTCTTTTTTATGGCCGCATAGTACACCATTGTGAATATGTACATTTTCTTTATCCATTTATCTGCTGATGGACACTTAGGTTGCTTCCAAATCTTAGCTATTGTGAACAATGCTGCAACAAATGGGAGCGCAGATATCTCTTTGATATACTGATGTCCTTTATCTTGGGTATATGCCCAACAGTAGGACTGCTGGATCATATATCAGCTGTGTTTATCATTTTTTGAAGATTCTCCAAACTATCCTGCAGAGTGGTTGTACTAATTTACATTCCCACCAACAGTGTATGAGAGTTCTCCTCTCTCCACATCCTCTCCAGCATTTGTTATTGCCTATCTTTTGGGTATAAGCCATTTTAACTTAGGTGAGATAACATATCATTGTAGTGTTGATTTTCATTTCTCTGACAATCAATGAAACTGGCACCTTTTCATATGCCTGTTTGCCATTTGTGTGTCTTCTTTTGAGAGATGTTTATTTGAATCTTTGGCCCATTTTTTTATCAGATTATTTAGGTTTGTTTTTTTTTTTTTTCTCTGTAGAGTTGTTTGAGCTCCTTATATATTCTTCTTATTAATCCCTTGTCAGATGGGTAGTTTGTAAATATTTTCTCCCATTCTGTGGGTTGTCTCTTCACTTTGTTGATTGTATCCTTTGCTGTCAGAAGCTTTTTAGCTGTGATCCCATTTGTCCATTTTTACTTTTGTTGCCTGTGCTTGTGGGGTGCTGCTCAAGAAATTTTTGCCCAGACCAATGACCTGGAGATTGTCCCCCAATGTTTTCTTATAGTTGTTTCATAGTCTAAAGTCTTAGATTTAAGCCTTTAATCCATTTTGATTTGATTTTTGTATATGGCAGGAGATAGGGGTCTAGTTTCATTCTTCTGCATATGAATATCTAGTTTTCCCAGCACCATTTATTGAAGAGACTATGATTTCCCCAGCGTATGTTCTTGGCACATTTGTTGAAAATGAGTTCTCTGTAGGGGTTCTCTATTCTGTTTCATCAGCCTATCTCTCACTTTTTATGCCAGTACCCTGCTGTTTTGGTTACTAAGCTCTGTAGTATAATTTGAAGTCAGGTAATGTGATTCCTCCAATTTTCTTCTTTTTGCTTAGAATAGCTTTGACTATTTGGGGTCTTTTGTGGTTCCATATAAATTTTAGGGTTGTTTTTTTCTATTTCTGTGAAGAATGTCATTGGTATTTTGATAGGGATTGCATTGAATATGTAGATTGCTTTGGGTAGTATGGACATTTAGCAATATTGATCTTCTAATTCATGAACATGAGCTATCTACTTTTTGTTTCTCCTTCAATTTCTTTCATCAATGTTTTATAGTTTTCGTTGTAGAGATCTTTCACTTCTTTGGTTAATTCCTAGGTATTTGATTTTGTTTGTGGCTATTGTAAATGAGATTACTTTATTAATTTTTCAGATTGTTCACTGTTTGTATATAGAAATGCTACTGATTTTTGTACATTGACTTTGTATCCTGCAACACTGCTGAATTTATCAGTTCTAATAGTTTTTTTCCTAATATAAAATCATATTATCAGCAAGCAAGGATAATTTAACTTCTTTCATTGCAGTTTGGATGCCTTTTATTTCTTTCTCTTGTCTGGTTGCTCTAGCTAGGACTTCCAGTACTATGTTGAATAGCAGTGGTGAAAGTGAGCAACCTTGTCGTGTTCCAGGTCTTTGAGGAAAGGCTTTCAGTTTGTTCCCATTCAGTGTGATACCAGCTGTGGATCTGTCTGTCATTCATGGCTTTTATTACGTTGAGGTATGTTCCTTCTATACCCAGTTTTTTTTAGGGTTTTTATCATGGAGAGATGTTGAATTTTATCCAAATGCCTTTTCAGCATCAGTTGAAAACCATTACATGGTTTTTATCTTTCATTCTATTGATATGGTGTATCACATTGATTGATTTGCATATGTTGAACCATCCTTGCATCCCAGGGATAAATCCCACTCAGTCATGATGAATGATCTTTCTAATGTATCATGGAATTCAGTTTGCTGGTATTTTGTTAAGGGCTTTTGCATCAATATTCATTAGAGATATTGGCCTGTAGTTTTCTTTCTTTCTTTTTTTTTTTTTTTTTTTTTTTTGATGTGTCTTTGTCTGGTTTTCATATCAAGGTAATACTGGCCTTGTAGAATGAGTTTAGAAGTATTCCCTCCTCCTCTCTTTTTCAGAATAGTTTGCATAAGGTTGGTATTAGCTCTTCTTTAAATGTGTGATAGAATTCAGCAGTGAAGCCATGGGGTCCCGGGCTGTTCTTTACTGGGAGATTTTTTATTATGGCTTCGATCTCATTACTTTTTATTGGTCTGTTCAGGTTTTGAATTTCTTTCTGGTTCAGTCTTGGTAGGTTGTATGTGTCTAGTAATTTGTCCATTTCTTCTAGATTTTCCAATTTATTGGCATACAGTTGTTCATAGTAGCTAGTAATGATCCTTTAAATTTGTGCAGTACCAGTTTTGATGTCTTCTTTATTATTTCTAATTTCATTTGTATCTTCTCTTTTTTGTTAATCTGGCTAAAGGTTTGTCAGTTTCATTTAATTTTTCTAAAAACCTTTGTTCCATTGATCTTTTGTATTGTTTACTTCATTTCCATTTTATTTATTTCTTCTCTGATCTTTATTATTTCTTTTCTTCTACTCATTTTGGGGTTGGTTTGCTCTTGCTTTTCTATTTCTTTAAGGTACATCATTACATCATTTATAGGATGTTTTTCCTCTTTTTCAATATAGGCACTTACAACTATAATCTTCCCTCTTAGTACTGCTTTTGCTGTATCCCATAGGTTTTATTTATTTCTTCATTTCTTTCTGCCCCTTTCTCTCTCTCTCCTCTTTCTGAGACTGCCACAATGCATATGTTGATCCACTTCATGGTGTCTGATGGGTGTCTTGGGCTCTGTTCACTTTTTCACTTTTCTCTTTCTGTTCACAGACTCAATAATTTCATAGCTCTATCTTTAAGTTAACTGATTCTTTCATCTGCCTGCTTAAATCAACTGTTGAGCCCTTCTAGTAAGTTCTTCATTTTAGTTATTCCTCTTTCAGCTTCAGAGTTTATATTTGGTTTCTTTCATAATTTATTTTAATCAATATTCTCATTTTATCCATACATAATCTTCCTGGTTTCCTGTAGTTCTTTGTCCATGGTTTCCTTTAGTTTTTGAACATATGTAGAACAGCTGATATAAAGTTTTTGTCTCGTAATTCCAATGTCAGATTCCTCAGGGATGGTTTCTGCCATTTTCTCTTTTTGAATGTGCCATACTTTCCTGTTTCATCGTATGCCATGTGATTTTGCAAATTGAGCATTTTAATATTATAATGTAATAACTCTAGAATTCAGATTTCCCTCTTCCCCAGGGTTTGCCTGCTGTTGCATGTTGAGGGCTGCAATCACTTGTTTGTTTAGTAACATTTTCAAACTTTTTTTTTTTTTTTGGGATGGAATCTCACTCTGTCGCCAGGCTGGAGTGCAGTGGTGCGATCTTGGCTCACTGCAACCTCCACCTCCTGGGTTCAAGCATTTCTCCTGCCTCAGCCTCCCGAGTAGCTGGGACCACAGGTGAGCACCACCACGCCCAGCTAATTTTTGTACTTTTAGTAGAGACGGGGTTTCACCATGTTGGCCAGAATGGTCTCGATCTCTTGACCTTGTGATCCACCCACCTCGGCCTCCCAAAACTATTTTGGAAGACTGTATTTCTTGTCGTATATGTTTGCTATTCCACTATCTCAGTGGTTAGCCACTGATTTCTCACATATTTCCTTGAATTCCTGGATCCAGAGAGAGAGTGAGAGAGAGACAGAAACAGAGACAGAGACAGAGATTACTCTCTCAGTCTTTGCAGCTTGGCTCTAAGCTGGGACACTCCTTCAAGACTAAGCCAGGCCACCTAAAACTCTGCCTTAGTCTTCATCTCCTGCTTATACACAATCTACAGATCCACCAGAGGTGCAACCCAGTATCTTCTTGGGGTCATTTATGAACATGCGTCCAGTCCTAGAAATGCACATTACGTTCTCTGCTTCCTAGTATATGATGCAGCAGTCCTTCTGAGCCCTTTTTCCAGAAAGAGACTGCCTCTTTATTCATGGGCTGTTGGGTCTGTCTGCCACTTCCATCATCTACTGTCCTTTGTCCCAGTTGGGCTTCGGCAGTATGTCTTTGAAGTCTTTCAATAGATATTGCCACTTCCTAGAAAGCTATAGGCGTGGAATAAACACAGGTCAGCTTCTGTGCCAGCCCCTCAGGGAACCACTAGATGAGTCAAAAAACATTACCATGGTATTTTAAGAACAAAGTCTATATTAAAGGAATGTGAAATGCTGTCCCTATAGCTGCCACCACCAGGTTGAGAAATGGAAGATGGTAGTCAGGTAAAGAAAAATGCCACATGCTCTGTTTCTAGAAACTAGCCACCCTATCCTTAGTTATCTGGCTGCTGTAGGTTTTGGATTAGATTCCAGAGTTCCAAAAAAAATTGATTCTGTCAATCTTTACTAGCTATATTGTTTACATGGAGGCCTGATTTTTTGTGTGTACTATTCCACCATTTTCCATGATGTCACCCAAGGATCTGATATTCTTAAGAGTATACATATTCTTCATGTTTAGGGAAATTCTTATGAATACATGTAAAATATTTTATGTTTCCAGAGAAACTCTTTAATCAAAGTTTGTCTTTTCTTTAACAGGACTCCTAAATCATCAGTGGCTTAAAGAAACAGATGTTCCTCAGAAATCCAGACAATTATATGCCATAATTGCAGAATATGGTTCAAGGCTTTATAAATATCAGGTGATATTTTGTTAAGTAATTTTGTATATCACTCATTTAAAGTTTAATATGCTACAAGGCTAGTTCAACTTTCAATATGTTATCTTTGTTTTATATGAGAATATCTAATAAAATTAATGTAGGAAATGGAATTCTATTAAGTGGTTTCTGTGGTTTGAATGTGACCACCAAACCTCATGCTGAAATTTAATTGCCATTGTAACAGTGTTCAGAGGTAAGACCTTTAAAAAGTGATTGGGTCATAAGAGCTCTGAATTAATGCCATTATCATTGGAGTGGGATAGTCACCTGAAGAGTGGGCTCCTAATAAAAGGATGAGTTTGGCCCCATTTCTCTCTCTGTCTCACATGTTCCTGTGCCCTTTCACCCTTCTGCCATGGTAGAACCCTCATCACATGGCAGTGCCATGCTCTCAGATTTCCAAGCATCCAGAACTGTGAGCCAAACAAACTTCTGTTGTTTATAAATTACCCAGGCTGTGGTATTCTGTTATAGCAACAGAAAACAGACTAAGACAATAGTTTTATAGCTATGAGGTCCTAAAAATTCTCCACACTTCCCCAAGAGAATCTCAAGCACAAATAAAATGGCAAATAAACCTTTATCACCAACTTCTGCCTGACACTGCCTGACACTGGACAGGAGTATGGCACTTCCCTTTGTCCTGAAGCTAGTTAGATCTAGGTGGGCTTAGACTGAGGCTAGTCACTGAATGTCCTCTTTCTGATCCACCCCACCCCCAGCATTCCAGAATAAGCCTTGTCCATTCTATGCTCAGAAACTCAGAAGATTGGAGGGAGGAGGGTGGCAGTGTAACCATCCAAAGGGTTCACCTTGCCCATTGCCTTGACAGAGCCAATTTATCAAGACAGGGGAATTGCAACGGAGAAAGAATAATTCACGCAGAGCCGGATGTGTGGGATACTGGAGTTTTATTATTACTCAAATTAGTGTCCCTGAGCATTTGAGGATCAGAGTTTTTAAAGATAGTTTGGCAGGTAGGGGCTTGGGAAGTGGGGAGTGCTGATTGGTCAGGTTGGAGATGGAATCGTAGAGAGTCAAAGTGAGGTTTTCTTGCTGTCTTCTGTTCCTGGGTGGGCTGGCAGAACTGGTTGAGTCAGATTACTGGCCTGGGTGGTATCAGCTGATCCATCTAGTGCAGGGTCTGCAAAACATCTCAAGCACTGATCTTAGGTCTTACAATAGTGATGTTATCCCCAGGAACAATTTGGGGAGGTTCAGACTCTTGGAGCCAGGGTCTGCGTGACCCCTAAACTGTAATTTCTAATCTTGTAGCTAATTTGTTAGTCCTAAAAAGGCAGATTGGTCCCCAAGCAAGAAGGGGGTCTTTTCAGGAAAGGACTGTTATCAATTTTGTTTCAGAGTCAAACCATGAACTGAATTCCTTCCCAAAGTTAGTTTGGCCTACTCCCAGGAATGAACAAGGACAGCTTAAAAGTTAGAAGCATGATGGAGTCGGATAGGTCTTGTCTCTTTCACCGTCATACTTCCCTTAGTTTTCATTTTTGCAAAGGTGGTTTCAGCAGGAGCTATGACCAGGTTACTGCTGCTCTGGGGGAAGATGGACAGACATATTGGCCTGTCTCCACCAGTATGCTGATCTTTTAACCCATAGTGACTTCAGTGACCCAGTCAGTGGCCTTAGGCCTGACTGATCAGATTCCTACTTCATACCCTTTTTGCTCAGGGCCTCTGAAATCTTCTACTTCCTAGTTCCTCCAGTAACTGCCTCATTCCAATGTGTCTTGCCATGTGAAGTCCCAAAAGAGAGGGGAGACTGCACATGTATGATGCCCACAGCATTCCAGTCCAGTGAGGAAGCCTCCCTGGAGGTTCATAGGTTGATGCCCAGGATAACTCCCATCTCAGAGGCGCTACTCAGTCTGCATATGCTGAGAATCTGTGAGACCCCAGTCTTAGACAAAAGCACAGCTACCTGGAAACCCCACAGAGAGGGTCAGCCTCAGATAGCTCCTACTCCACGAGGTTCTCACATCAAAGACTAAGACCAAGCCCATGGGAGCTGAAGCTGGATAGTTAGGTCATAACCAGAAAAGCAGAGATGAGCACGCAGAGTGGTCATGGTGGCTCCAACTATTGCCAATTTGTGCCTAAGCTTCGTTGTGATGGTTAATTTTGTGTGTCACTTTGGCTAGGCCATGGCGCCCAGATGTTTGGTCAAGCACCAGTCTAGATATTGCAGTGAAGGTATTTTTTAGATGTGATTAACATCTAAATCTATAGACTAAATACAGAAGACTACCCTCTACAATGTGGGTTGGTCTCACAGGCATTTTAAAGTCTTAAGAATAAAGAATGAGATTCCCCAAGAAAGAAGAAATTTTGTCTCCAAATAGCCTTCAGACTCGAGCTGTAACATCAACCCTTCCCTGGTTCTCCAGCCTGCCAGCCTGCCCTGAAAACTTCAGACTTAGCCCCTGCAATCATTTAAGCCAATTCCTCAAAATAAATCTCTCTCTATATATACATTGGCTTGGTTCCATTTCTCTAGAGAACCCTGACTAATACACTTGTAAGTTTATCTGGCAGGTTCTGTTAGTGCCTGAATATTGGGTGCCCCTTTGCCCACAGTCTTCTGCTGCAGATCTTTGCAGGATTGGTTTCTTTCTGAAATTCCAGCTAGTCCAAATGTCTCCTCATTAGACAGGCTTCTGTGACCACACAAACCACCTGTGACAATATCCAGGTGTAGGTGCATCCTAGTTTTTACCCCTGCTTTATTTTAGACACTCATCGATTTCTTTACCAGCTCTCTTCTTGCCTTCTTCCCTTTTAACTAAAATGTAATGATCAAGGAGCTTGTCTAGAGCCTAGAAGAGTCCCCAGGTAAATGGAGGCTTAATAAATATGCACATTAATGAATAAATAAATAAGTTATCTGAGACTAATCACATTTTTAAAAGGCATCCTTCCCTTCTACCTTCCGATTTTAGACTAACCAGCATACTCAACAGCAAATTCAACCCTTTAAAAATGTCTAGCCAGCCCAACACGGTGGCTCATTCCTGTAATCCCAGCACTTTGGGCAGGTGAAGTGGGCAGATCGCTTGGCTCCAGGAGTTCAAGACCAGCCTGAACATCAAAAAATTAGCCAGACATGGTGGAATATGCCTGTAGTACCAGCTACTCTGGAGGCTGAGGTGGCAGGATCACTTGAGCCTGGGAGGTTGAGGCTGCAGTCAGCTGTGCTTGTGCCACTGCACTCCAGCCTGAGTGATAAAGCAAGACTCTGTCTCAAAATATAAAATAAAATGACTATGGCCGTGTTTCTAAGGACAGTATTTTTCATGAGGTTGAGGTTGACCTATGATCATTTAATTTTTGACCAGTGTTAACCTGGTTTTCACACAGACAAGAGCACTGTCAGAAACCACTGGAGACTGATTTTAACTTATTTCTACGTGAGTTCTTTATAAATCCCAAGCTACATGAAGTAGTTGCTGTTTCTCAATCTCCTGAGCTCAAGCGATTACAGGCATGAAACGCTGCACTCAGCCAGTAATAGATTTTAAATATGCTCCCTTGCCTTTAGATATTATTTTATAATGACATGTAATGGATGATAAAATATTCCAATGAATAATATTTTCAATGAATACTTATTTCTAAACAATTGGATTGTCTCTAATTTTTTAAATATTATAAACACAAACATCCTATGGCTTAATCAATTTGCCTCTCCTTGATTACTTAGGATAAACTCTTAAAAGAAAAATAAGTAAAGAATATTTATAATTTTTAGGTGACCTTGTTGTCATATTGAATCCCAATGATTTGATATTACTTTTCAAAAAGCTGGATATATCGCCTCATATTCCACCATGGAGAACAGGATAATGGTAATAGTTATGCATCAGAAGAGATCCTAAGAACACTAAATATATATTACACTTTATCCTCGAAATGACTTTTCAGTAAGAGTATTACTAAATCCATTTATAGATTAGGAAGCTGGATCAGCACAATGGATCAGCACAATGAAGGAAGGCAGCCTGTGGTCACACCACTGCATATTCCAGAGCTGAAATGATCCTCCCTGAGGATCCAGATTTTGTTGAGACTGGGCCTGCCATTCAGACTAAGACTTTGCTCACTGCTACACTGAGAACAAAATTTTATTGTCACATGCCACTTTCAAATCACCAGCACAGTCTTAATCCATTTATGCTGCTATAACAAAATGCCATAGACTAGGTAGCTTATAAAGAACAGAAATGTCTTTCTCACAGTTCTGGAGGCTGTGAAGTCCAAGATCAAGGCATGTGCATTCTATGTTTAATGAGAGCTTTCTTGTGTCTTCACGTGGTAGGAGGTCAAAGGGCGAAAAGGGCCTAAACTACTTCCTTCGAGCTTTTTATTAAAAGCACTAATCCTATTCACGTGGGTGGTACCTTCATGACTTAATCACTCCCCAAAAGACCCTACCTCTTAACACCACCACAATGGGGATTAAGTTTCAACATAAATTTTGGAAGAAACATAGATATTCAAGCCACAGTGATCACAGTTGTGAGTTCAAGACCAATGACTTCAAATTACTTACTCCAATATTTAATTGGTTTCTATCTTAAAGCTATATTAAGCAGCAAGCTTAGTTATTTACCCAGGGCACAGTCTGCAATCACTATAGTTTGTAGGATTCACCTTGAAGTTATATGGTTTAAAGTTAGATATCTTATGGGACCTCATTGAGAAAAAAAATTTTAATGACCATGTCAGAAATGTGTTAACACATCATTGAATTTATCTTGGTTCAAATTACTAGAGCCATGTTCCAAGGCATAAAGCTTTGGGTCTCAGTCAACATTATCTGAAGAAAAAAAAAAAAAAACTAAACAAAAAACAAGTAAAACTGGGCTTTGCCCATGGCTATTTCTTTGCCAGCCTCTACCTGACGCCTTCGTGTCTCAGGAGGCTGTAAATTGACAGCACATGCAGACAAACCCTACCTTAATCCATGGTTAGGATGAGGCACAGGGACTTTGTTGCTGAAAACAATATCCCTGGAGGCTGTGTCCTCTTAACGAGTGCTCTGGACATTTTCACATCTGATGAGGCTTTCCCTGACATAGGCTTTGTCATGAGGCCAACAGCCTACAGGGAGGGATGTTTTAGGAAGGTTCCTAGGACACTGAACCCCCATCTCATTGCCAGAAATGTTTCAGAAAGATAATCAACTATACACAAAGCAGCCTTTATAACACTTTTGATTTTCTTTTTCCACATTGTGGATGTGGTAAATTTTGGCCATTGGCCTGCCCCCTCTCCCACCCATTTGGTTGCTGTGATGCTCTGAAACAAATTTATAGCCCACAGCTAATAACTTTCAAGAATTTCAGGCACGAGTAGGTTCCAACTTCATCCTTCTCGCATTATCTTACTTTTCCAATCTTTATTTTATCTTCACTTTCACTTCCTTACTTACTGTTTTGTCCTACATGTTCTTATACTATACAAGTTCCTATAGTAGAACTTGCCTGAAATGCTTTTGGGAATGAAGCAAAATAAAAATGTTTTTAAAATTGTGAAATATTTTATTTTTCATGGAACTCTCAAGTTCATTTATCAGCAAATTAATTGAGGAGTATTTTCTGTATGTTATTTTAAGGCTAGAACAGAAAAAAGAAACAAATTGAAAACACTGCTCCTACTGACAGGGAAGTTGCTCAAACAGAATGTGAAAAACTAGAAGTGAGAATCTCTATCTACCAATGATAAGCTCCCAAATTCACATCCTTGTCAAAATAAAAATGTTGAGGAGAACGTATAAGAAGTGTAATTGTTCAGAACAAAAGCAAGGCAATATTTTTCTATGTGCCACACTACATTCCATTCTGACATCATTATCACACATGACAGAATAACATCGCACAAGACACAACACATTTATAGTATAGCACTATTTTGGGCAGAGCTAACTGATAAAAAGCCAGTCTTTGTAACAGAAAAGCAAGCTAATTACTGGGTAAAGATGGAGCACTATTTCCCAGATAGCACATTGATGGTCACTGTAGGAGGTTGAAAGGTGATTCCCAAAAAGATATGTCTACCTCCTGACCCCAAGAAACTGTGAATGTGACCTTTATTTGGGAAAAAGGTATTTGCAGATGTAATTAAGTTTCTTGAGATCAAATCGTCCTAGATTACTCAGATGGGTCCTAAATACAATGACAGGGATCTCTTTAGGAGACTTACAGAGGAGAGAGACACAGAGAGGAGAAGAAGAGACCACGTAAAGGCAGAGGCAGAGACTGGAGTGATGCAGCCACAAGCCTAGGAATGCCCAGAGCCACCAGAAGTTAGAAAAGGCAAGAAACAGAATCTCCCTGAGGACCTTCAGAGGAGTGTAAACATGTGGACACGTTGACCTTACACTTTTGACCTCCAGAACAGCGACAGAATAAATTTCCATTGTTTCAAACCACCCCGTTTGTGGTCATGTGTGTCAAGAGCCCCAGGAAACTCATAGGGTCCCTTTGAGTTCTCTGTTGGGTGCCTGAAGTGTGAGCTTTGTTGCTACAAGAAAGTGATCCTTAAAGGCAGAGGTGTCTGCTTCCCAACCTGGCAGGGAGAGTATGTGGATGAGACAAATTTCTGGAGACTGCTGCGGGAATCCTCCAAGATTTAAGTTTAAACCCAAGGGAATTGATTGCTTGGGTCGGCCTTCGTTTTCACACTTGATCATTCCTCCACTCTGATCTACATTATTTTCTTGGCACATAGTCAAAGATACTGCCTCTTAATTGATAAACCACTTGAGTAAAACATGTCAGGGTAGGGGAGTTCCAGATGTAAAGAAAGGATGTCAGGAGCCATCCCTCGATGGGCATTGTTGACTATTTTTCCTGGAATCCTCTGGGGAAGAGATCACCCTTTCACACTTGTCCTCCCCTTCTTACCAGCTTGTCCACTCAGTTGTTGGCTTCTGAGCCCTTCAAGATTGGTGCCCCAAGGTGCTCTCTTTTGCCCTCCTTTCTCTGTTGGTAATATTATTGACCTTCTCCAACCATCCCATGTTGGAATAGGGGCTGTGCATGTGTGCATATGTGAGTATGCATGTGTGCCTATGAGCATGTGCATACGTGTGTATAAGCATGTGTATGTGGAGTGTGTGTGTTTGTGTGTGTGTGTCTCATGCTGGGTAAAGACAGACGGGAAGAGAGTGCAGGGCTTTGGAGGCTCCCAGGCTAATGACTTGTAGGGCATTTGAAATGTGAGCACCCAACCACCGTCATCTGTGGCAGGGCCCGGAAGACACACAGCAGGATGAGCTAAGGGACATAGAGGTGCTGGCCACCCAGACCCAAGTTCTTCTCAGTGACAGGAGGATGCAGCTAGGCCATTCCCCCATTCCAGGTGAGGAACAGGCAGCACAGTAGCCCGGTACTGCAGACCAGAGTGCTGCCTGCACTCCAGCATGCTCTATCTTCCCAGTGTTTATGTTTTCACTGACCACCTCCATAGCAGAAAGTCCTCTGAAGCCACATGTTGTGTCCAAACAGTAACTTTACCTTTTCCTGGTTTCTTGTCTTGGTTTGGGCACCACCAAGACCGTCCATACCAGAGACTATCTATACCAGACATGACACCAGTGTTAGATAAATTTCTGCAATTTTCTGATTGTGATTGCCAATCTAGCCCAAAAGTAATCACATCCCTTTCTTATTTGTAAGTGGGAGTCCCCCTCCTTATTCAGGGACAAGCCCAAAGAGCTCAGCATGGTCCTCTAACGTCGCCATGTGCTCCTTAGGTTTTTCCACATCCACCAGGGGCGCCTCTCCCGCTTGTCTTCCCTTCCCTCTCTTCCTCTTCCCTCTATTTTTTCCTCTTCCAACCTCCCTCTCAGACTGTGTTCAGGCCTTTACAGTCTTAAGAAATAGGAAATGATGTGCCCATCCAAGAGCTCCTGTTGAATGTCACTCATTAAATAGATTTGCATTACCTCATCTCCTTCAAATACATTCATGATGTACAGGTGAGGCTAGGAAAGAGGCGGGCCTCTCAGAGGACGCTCCTGAGTTCCAGCCAGCACATCTGTATATCAGGAGTCAATGTGCTATTTATTTCCCTTTTCTGAGAAAAAAAAAAGACTCTATTTGAATAAGCAGAATTCAGAATGATTTATCTTTTTCTGTTGTTTTCAGGCCAGACTTCGTATGCCTAAAGAGCAACTGGAACTTTTAAAGTGAGTGCGATCTTTTGCTATATGCCTCTTTTTGGTGTGGTTTCAAATACTGAAATGTTTTCGTACAGAAAAGTATAAGAAAGAAAAGTTACTCCCTGAAATAACTCAAAATTTCACTCCCAGAAATAACTATTATTAATATTTAATGATATCATTCCTAGCATTTCTCTATGTATATATGCAGATGGAAAGAAAGGAGGAAGAAAAAGAAAAAAAGGAGATAGAAAAGATTAAAGGGTTAGAGGTGACTTAATCTACCCATGCTGTATTTAGTATTAAAAATAGTACATTTATTGTTACTTGGATTTATCAAAAGAAGGAAACAACAAAATAAAAATTGCCTCCTCTCACTTGTGCATATACATAATTTAAAATTTTAAACACCAAACAGTAACATTTGTAGTACTTTAGAAAATTACTTGTCCTTTTACATATTTCTACTTCTATGGAGCATTCCTTGACAAAATACACACTGAGGTGTGCTTTCCATGTCATTTATGATAACTAAAAATGGAAAATAACCCTATAAGAAAATTAGGCCAATGGTTAAATACATTGGAATATATTCATGAAATGAAGAATTATAAAGCCATTTAAATAATTTTAAAATAGTTTTTAATGATTTGGAAGTGTAGTGGAGACACAAAATTATAAATATTATTTCTATTTTCTTACCAATTTTTTGCATGGAATAAAAACTGGTAGAAAGTCATTAAAATTTAACAGTGTTTATTTCTTCTAAATGCTTGGTTTTTTCCCGAATTCAAACATGTATTGATTTACAAATGGGGAAAAATACCAGATAAGTAGTGCTTATACTTTTTCAGCATAAAGAAATACCTATTCGCTTGACATTTTCTTTTTCTCTCTACTAGTAATTTTCAAACTGTAAACATAGAAAACCCATTCTTGGCCGGGCGTGGTGGCTCACGCCTGTAATCCCAGCACTTTGGGTGGCCGAGGCGGGTGGATCACTTGAGGTCAGGAGTTTGAGACCAGTCTGGTCAACATGGTGAAACCTTGTCTCTACTAAAAATACAAAAATTAGCCGAGCGCGGTGGCATGTGCCTGTTATCCTAGCTGCTGGGGAGGCTGAGGCAAGAGAATCACTTGAACCCGGGAGGCGGAGGTTGCAGTGAGCCGAGATCACGCCACTGCACTCCAGCCTGGGGGACAGAGTGAGACTCCATCTCAAAAAAAAAAAAAAAACATTCTTGGGAAGTAAAATCTTGCATGCTCAGGCTGTCAAACTGGTAACCAGTCACTGCCCACTGGCTGGATCCACCAGCACCCCTTGCCCAAGGCACTTCCACTGAACTCAGGCTACAATTCGAAAGCCACTGCTCTGTACTACACCGGAAATGCAAGGTGTTCCCAATTGGAAAGGTAACAGTGGGATTTAGGATTCACCTGTGTGACGTTACCCAGCTGGGGGACCAGCAAGATTGATTGAGCCTTGCCTGCCCCATGCAGAGCCCGGTCAAGCAGTAGGACACCCTCAGCCATGTGACCCCTGGATGTCCTTGTTTTTTTTTTAGTGAAGCGTGATGCTTTAGAGAAATGGGCATGCTCTGCTCTTCCCTCACTCAAGAATGTATATCTTCAACAATATAAAGCACCTCATCACATGGCGGGTGGAGCCCAGCAACAGCTGATAACAGGAGCTTTACACTTTCTTCCTCTCATGCTGAGATTTTCCCTTTACAGGAAGGAAAGCCAGAATCTGGAAAACAATTTTCGTCAAATTCTATTTTTGATCGAACAAATAGATGTCCTGAAGGCATTGCTAAGAGATATGAAGGATGGTATGGACAATAATCACAACTGGAACACCCATGGAGACCCTGTGGAGGACCCGGACCACACAGAGGTCCTGGATGAGGCTAGGCGGGTTGGGCAGGGTGGGGTGGTGGTTAGCGCGGATGTCCAGGGTGACGGGGAGTGAGTATGTCCTTCCGATGTCACATCTGCTTCTTCTCCCAGTGGGAAGTCCAGTGTTGACTGATATTTGGTTTGTGTACAGAAACCCAGTGTTTCATAAATGCTGTGTCACAGAGAAGACATTCTATTGCATATGACTTACTTCACACCAAAATAAATAACTGTTCTATTTTCCAGTAAAAGAAAGAAAGAAAGAAAGAAATAACAGTCTCTGAGCTCTATACACAAATACCTTAAATAGCAAAAGATTTGCATTCATCATCTTCATAGCTAATGTAGTTAGTCTAGACAGCATCAGATTCAGGCAAAACTGTGTTGGAAACCACAAGCTCTATTTTGCTTCTTTCTCTTCCGCTGTCATTACTACCTTCTTTTTCTTCCCTAATGTCTACTTTTTGAAATGCGCAGCAATCTGACATGGACCACCTGCCGCCCTCCAGACCCCATTTCATCCTTGTCACTGTGAAGGTGTTACGTTTAGGCAGCTTGAACTTGAACTGTTACGCCTGCTTAGGGTGCTTTTGGTTTTGTTTGTTTGTTCGTTTTTTAGAATGAGAGCAGCCTTCAGAATCCAATATTAATTAGACTGGGTGAAAAATGTCTAATATAAGCAATCATGTAGTCTGTGTAAACTGCCTTGATTCCCAAATAACTCTAGAATGTTCAAGTCTTTACTGCTAACCACAGGACACTAATGAGGGACAGAACACAGTAGGTCACAGCACCTCACCGGGAGAGCACTGTGATGCCAGTGGTTAGGGCTTCAGAAGAGACCCTAGGTCCACGGTGCTGTGTGACCTTGTGGGAGTCCCTGAACACACCTTGGCTTTATTTACACCGTATTCCTGAAAATGACACTCCCAAGAGCTGTGAAGGTGTCAGTCCAGATCCATGAACAGGGCCTGGCTCAGAGTGCAGCTGATAGGGGCTCACTGCTATTCTAATTTTGCAAATTAGGTCCAAATCAATAAAATGAATGGTCAAAACTCAAGCAGTTGGCAAAGATTGTTAACAGAAAACTGTTTATAAAATTTCTACAGGAAGTGTCAAACTTGGTCAATTATGTACTTAAAAAGTTGAGAGAAGACCAAGTCGAGATGGCTGATTATGCCCTGAAGTCGGCCGGTGAGTACAGAAAAAGTGAAAAGAGGAACATTAAAAAAAAAAGAATGCTTCAGGAATGTCCCTATTCTCTACATTTGTTTATGAGGAAAACATATTTATCTGGTAACTTGGGGGGGGGAAATTAATCAATTTAGATAATAAAGAAGAGAGTAGAAATAGTTGTCACTACTGATTGCTGAGTGCAAATGTTCCAGGGAAAAAAGCCTGTGCAACTTCATTAACATGCATCTAAAAGAACCACCAAGAAAGCCAAGATGCCACAGTGAAGTTGTGGAAGGCACAAAATATTAGGACATTTTGTATTATTATATACTAAAATTACTTATGATCACCAATCTAAATGCATTATTAGGGATTAAATGACAGTGTTTAAAGGTTATATATAATGTTCCTAATATCTTCCAATTAAAATTAATTATTAAGGGTTAAGGCTATGAATCATTAACCTTAATCTTATCTACCATGCCCTGCCTATAATAGTCTATGGACAATATGTGTTCAGTGAACAATGTGGGAGGAAAGAAGAAAGGGACAGAAGGAGAATGGAAATATAAAACACATAGTAATGCTAATTTTAATCAATTGATAGTCAAATTTACGCCAGGGAAATAAATTTCCAGCTTGCATGAACTGGAGAGCATTTGGAACAGCATGATTACTCAGTCTTGTGAGCATGTGTTTTTCAGAGAGTGAGTTAGAGGGCAGAACTTTCCCAAACCTGATTCCCTAAAGCATGAGTGTTGGGGACAAGATGGGAGACGAACCATAGTTGGGATTTTTTGGTTGTTTGTTTGTTTTGGTCTTGGCATTCTGATACACTTTTTTAATGCTTTCTTTTTTGTATTGATGCATTTATATCAATTGATGTATTTACAACTTCCATTTTGAAAAGCCTATGATGACGAATGTAGGTGCAAGAGTAGCACATGCAGAGTGAGGAAAAGAAGGAAATGCTCGGGCTTCTCTGTAGCCATAGATGTGGAAACAAATGTCAGCTCTGGTTTGGCCAAGATAGAGAAAGCCTGTTAAGTCTCTTCCAACTGATTACAATGAGAAAAAATCCGGACAAAATTCAAAAAGCAACTACGTGAGTGGGCTAAAAAGTAAACAAAGCAGGCAGTTGGTAGAGGGGAACCAAAAACTGCAGATGTGAGCCTTGTGGGAGTTTCCTTTTTTCTTTTCTTTTCTCTTGCAGCCTAGGCTGAGGCAGGCAGCAATTACAGAGCTGCAAACGTGGCAGCAAGGTAGGCAGCTAAATCTGTGAAAGAAGCCCAATTTTTCTAGCCAAAATCGCAGAATAAAGTAGTCCTGTGGGCCAGAGAGTGTGGGCAGAAAGCCTGGAAGGCAAAGCTGCAGAGAAGACGCCTGCTCCCCTGTCTGTTTGCGGCCAGCTTCTGGCCTCACCTCTCAGCTGCCCATTCATGGGAACAGACCCAAAACAGCAAAGTGGAGGCTTTGAGAATTTGGCAATGATGTAAACTGTGGCTCAAGTCTTGGACTAACCCCTGAGTGGTACATGGACATGACAGGCCTGTAGTAAAGGTTTTGAGGACTGAATTGAGATTGGAACCACCACTCATAAAAGGAAGGAGGACTGACATTTCTTGGTTGATTGATGAAGCAAATAAAAGCATTCCCTAGTGGACAGTAATAGGGCTCAGAGTCTTACAGTATAATATTCAGTATGTCTAGGGTACAAATCACAATTACTTGGCATGCAAACTCCTACGGAAATAAGACCAACTCCCAAGGGAAAAGACAACAGATGCCAACCCCGTCATGACACAGATGTTGGAATTGTCACACAAAGACTTGAAGCAGCTAGCATAATTATGCTTTATGAGGTGAAAGTAAGTACACTTGAAATGAATGAAAAGATACCAGTTCTCAGCCAAGAGAATAAAAAGAACCAGATGGAATTTTAGAACTGAAAAATACGATATCTAAAATAAATATTGACTATATATGCTTAATGATAGAAAAACAAAAACAGAGAAAAAAAGGAGTGAAGTCACTCATATTCAACACAGTATTAGAAGTCCTCTCCAGGGCAATCAGGCAAGAGAAATAAATAAAGGGCATCCAAATAGGAAGAGAGGAAGTCAAACTATCCCTGTTTGCAGACAACATAATCCTATATCTAGAAAACCCCATAGTCTCAGCCCGAAAGCTTCTTAAGCTGATAAACAACTTCAGCAAAGTCTCAGGATGCAAAATCAATGTGCAAAAATCACTAGCATTCTATACACCAACAAAAGTCAAGCCAAGAGCCAAATCAGTAACGAACTCCCATTCACAATTGCCACAAAAAGAATAAAATACCTACGAATACAGCTAATTTTGGAGGTGAAAGATCTCTACAAAAAGAACTATAAACCATTGCTTAAAGAAATCAGAGATGACATAAACAAATGGAAAAACATCTCATGCTCATGGATAGAAAGAATCAATATCACTAAAATGCCCATACTGCCTAAAGTAATTTATAGATCCAATGCTATTCTTATTAAACTACCATTGACCTTCTTCACAGAACTAGATAAAACTATTTTAAAATTCATATGAAACCAAAAATAGCAAGGGCAATCCTAAGCAAAAAGAACAAAGCTGGAGGCATCATGTTACCCAACTTCAAACTATACTACAGGGCTACAGTAACCAAAACAGCATGGTACTGGTACAAAAACAGGCACATAGACCAATGGAACAGAATAGAGAACCCAGAAATAAGGCCACACACTTACAACTATCTAATCTTCTACCAATCTAACAAAAACAAACATTGCAGAAAGTATTCCTATTCAATAAATGGTGCTGGAATAACTGGCTAGCCATATGCAGAAGACTGAAATTGGACCCCTTCCATATACCATATACAAAAATTAACTTGAAATGGAATATAGACTTAAATGTAAAAGCCAAAACTACAAAAAAAAAAAGAAAACCCTGGAAGACAACCTAGGTATTGCCTATGAAGTCACTCCTATTCAACACAGTATTAGAAGTTCTGGCCAGGGCAATTAGGCAAAAGAAAGAAATAAAGCGCATCCAAATAGGAAGAGAGGAAGTCAAACTATCCCTGTTTGCAGACAACATAATCCTATATTTAGAAAACCCCATAGTCTCAGCCTGAAAGTTGTATGTACCATTCAGGACATAGGCATGGGCAAAGATATCACGACAAAGACATCAAAAGCAATTGCAACAAAAGTAAGAATTGGCAAACGGGATCTAATTAAACTAAAGAGCTGCTGCACAGAAAAAGAAACTATCAATGGAGTAAACAGACAACCTACAGAATGGAAGGGAATTTTTGCAAACTCTGCAACCAACAATGGTCTAATATCCAGCATTTATAAGGAACTTACACAAATTTACAAGAAAACAAAACAACCCCATTAAAAAGTGGGCAAAGGACATGAACAGACACTTAAAAAGAAGACCCACATGTGGCCAAGAATCATTTGAAAAAAATCTCGACGTCACTGATCATTAGAGAAATGCAAATCAAGGCCGGGCGCGGTGGCTCACGCCTGTAATCCCAGCACTTTGGGAGGCCGAGGCGGGTGGATCACGAGGTCAGGAGATCGAGACCATCCTGGCTAAAACGGTGAAACCCCATCTCTACTAAAAATACAAAAAATTAGCCGGGCGTGGTGCGGGCGCCTGTGGTCCCAGCTACTCGGGAGGCTGAGGCAGGAGAATAGCGTGAACCCGGGAGGCGGAGCTTGCAGTGAGCCGAGATCGCGCCACTGCACTCCAGCCTGGGCGACAGAGCGAGACTCCGTCTCAAAAAAAAAAAAAAAAAAAAAAAAAAGAGAAATGCAAATCAAAACCACAATGAGATACCATCTCACACCATTCAGAATGGCTATTATCAAAAAGTCAAAAACTAACAGATACAGGCAAGGTTGTGGAGAAAAAGGAATGGTTATACACTGTTGGTGGCAGTGTAAATTATTTCAACCACTGTGAAAGACAGTGATTCCTCAAAGACCTAAAGACAAAAATACCATTTGAACCAGCAAACCCATTACTGGGATATCCAGAGGAATGTAAATTGTTGTGTTATAAAGATATATGCATGCATGTGTTCACTGCAGCACTATTCACAATAGAAAAGACATGGAACTGGCCAGGCACGGTGGCTCACGCCTGTAATCCCAGCACTTTGGGAGGCCGAGGCGGGCAGATCACAAGGTCAGGAGATCGAGACCATCCTGGCTAACGCGGTGAAACCCTGTCTCTACTAAAAATACAAAGAAAAATTAGCTGGGCGTGGTGGCGGGCACCTGTAGTCCCAGCTACTCAGGAGGCTGAGGCAGGAGAATGGTGTGAACCTGGGAGGCGGAGCTTGCAGTGAGCCAAGATTGCATCACTGCACTCCAGCCTGGGCAACAGAGCGAGACTCTGTCTCAAAAAAAAAAAAAAAAAAAACAAAAAAAACAGAAAAGACATGGAACCAACCTAAATGCTGATCAATGATAGACTGGATAAAGAAAATGTCATACATATACACTATGGAATACTATGCAGCCACAAAAAAGAACAAGATCATGTCCTTTGCAGGGACATGGATGGAGCTGGAGGCCATTATCCTTAGCAAACTAACACAGGAATAGAAAACCAAAAACACATGTTCTCACTTATAAGTGGGAGCTAAATGATGAGAACACATAAACACATAGAGGGGAACAACACACACTGGGGCCTATTGGAGGATGGAGGGTGAGAGAAGGGAGAGGATCAGGAAAAATAACTAATGGATACTAGGCTTAACACCTGGGTGACAAAATAATCTGTACAACAAATCCCCATGACACAAGTTTTTCTGTGTAACAAACCTGCACATGTACCCCGAACTTAAAAATTAAAAATAAAGAAGTAGTGAAGTTGAAGATAGATCAAAAGAAATTATGCAATTCAAAGAATGAAAAAATGTTTGAAAAAAATGCAAACAGAACTTCAGAAACCTATAGGACACTATAAAAAGGTATAATATTCTTATCCTTGTAGTCTCAGAGGGAGATGAAGAAGAGACCAATGTATCTAAAGACGTAATAGCTAAAAACATCTCAAACTCGATTTAAAAAAAAAAAACCATAAATTTACAGACTCAAAAAGCATGGCAAATCAGAAAGAAGATAAATTCAAGGAAAATGACATCCAGACACATCATAGTTAAATTGCTCAAAATCAAAGATGAAAATACTTGAAAGAAGCTAAAAAAAAACTACACATTATTACAGATTTCTTACCAGAAGTTAAAGAGACCAGAAGAGAAGGAAACGACATGTTTAAAGTGCTGAAGGAAAGGATCTAGCAATGCAGAATTGTAGATCCAGTGAAAATATCTTTCAGGAATGAAGGCAAAATGAAGACATTTAGATGGAGAAAAACTAAGAAAATTATCTGCCACTGAATCTGCTAAAGGAAGTTCTTCAGCTCAATAGAAATGACACCAAAAAGAAACTCGGGACTTAAAGAATGAAGAAAGAGCAACAGCCTCATCTGTGAGTAAAGATGAGGTGGCCCGGCACAGTGGCTCATGCCTTGTAATTCCAGCACTTTGGGAGGCCGAGGCGGGTGGATCACCTGAGGTCAGGAGTTCCAGACTAGCCTGGCCAACATGGTGAAATCCTGTCTCTACTAAAAATAGAAACATTAGCGGGGCGTGGTGGCGCATGCCTGTAATTCCAGCTACTCCGGAGGCTGAGGCAGGAGAATAGCTTCAACCCAGGATGCGGAGGTTGCAGTGAGCGGAGATCACGCCACTGCTCTCCAGCCTGGGTGACGAGAGCGAAACTCCATCTCAAAACAACAACAACAACAAAAGATGAGGTAATTTTCTTTCTTTAAGTACTTTAAAATATGTATGGCTGTTGAAAGGAAAAAATGTATGGCATTGTCTGGGCGTGGAGGGCTAATATATGTAGATTTAATTCTATGACAACCATAAAGGAAAAGTCAGTGGGTGAGATTTAATGGACATCTATAAATGTAAAGATTTTATATGAATGATAAAAAGTTAACTCAAATAAACTATGAGCTGCTAGGTACGTGCGTTGTAATCATGAGAACAATTACTTAAAAATACAGAGATATCCAAAAGCTAATGGAGAAATCAAAATGGAGGCCAGGCACAGTGGCTCACGCCTATAATCCTGGCACTTTGGGAGGCCAAGGCAGGCGGATCAATTGAGGTCAGGAGTTCGAGACCAGCCTGGCCAACCTGGTGAAACCCCGGCTGTACTAAAAATACAAAACAGCCAGGCGCGGTGGCGCACGCCTGTAATCCTGCTACTCAGGAGGCTGAGGCAGGAGAATCGCTTGAACCTGCAAGGCGAGGCGGAAATTGCAGTGAGCTGAGATTGCGTCATTGCACTCCAGCCTGGGCCCCAGAGCAAGACTCAGTTTCAAAAGAAATAAAAAATAAATAAAAAATTTCAACTAATATTTAAAAAAAGGCAGGAAAGGGAAATGAAGAAAAACTGGGAGAGAAAGAGAGTACGAAAGGCAGAGGATAGGGGAAAAGGCATGCAAATTAGAAAGGAAAAAAATGGCTCTATTCAGAGACAACATGATTGCTTATGTAGAAAAACCACCAAAAAAATCTACCAGAGTAAGTGAGGTTTACAAGTTCAAGGGTATATATACAATTTCTATATACTAATAATAGAAAATTAGAGACTATTTAAAAGCAGCTCTATTCATAAATGCAGTAAAAAACATAAAATACTTAGGTGTAAGACTAACAAAATGTGGGAACTGAGAGCTAAAAACTAAAAAACAATAATGAAATAAATAAAAAAGATTTAAATAAATGGACAAGTATACCATGTTTATGGATTAGAAGACTCAATACCATTAAGATGACAATACTGTCCAACTTTTCTATGGATTTAATATAATCCTAATTAAAATCCCAGCAGGATTATTTGTAGAAATTGACAACCATTTTCAAAATGTATGTGGAATGGTGAAGGAACTAGAAGAGTCAAATTTGTTTTGGGAAAAAAAGAGACAAAGTTGGAGAACTCACACTACCTAATTTTAAGGCTTACTATAAGTTTACAGTAATCAAGAGCATGTGGTACTCGTGAAATCAATGGAACAATACAAAAAGTCTAGAAGTAGTTCACACCTGTGGTGAATAGATTTTTGAAAAAGGAAAAAAGGCAAGTCAGTGGTGCTGGAACAGGTGGACATTCATATGCAAAAATAAAAAAAAGCCTTGGCCCAAAACCCACAATCTATAAAAATTAACCCCAAATGGGTCACAGTCTTAAATATAAAGCTTAAAGCTAGAAAAAAAAATAAGCGAAATTTTTTAGAGTTAGAAAAAGTTTTCTTAAACACAACATCAAAAACTATGATTGTAAAAGGAAAATAATGGATAATATGGGCTTCAACAAAATTAATTTCTACTCTGCCAAAAAAACAGTTACGAGAATGAAAAGACAAGTTACAGGCTAGGGGAGAATATTTGGAAACCACACACATTCTTGAATCCAGAATTTATAAAAAACTGTCAAGCTTCAATTAAGCAAACAGACAACCAGATAAAAAATAGGCAAAAGGTTTGGAAGACACTTCATTAAAGAAGATAAATGCATGTCAAAAAAGTATATGAAAAAATGCCTTACATTAATTATTCATTAGTGAAATGTCAAAACCTCAATGTTATATCATTACACACCGATTAGAATGCCAAACAAAACAAAACCGACCATACTAAGTGCTGGCAACCGCATGAACAAAATGGACCTCTCATACACTGTGGGTGAGAATGTAACATGGCACAGCCACTCTGGCAAAGTTTGACAATTTCTTATGAAGTTCAATATAACACCTTATTGACCTAGCAATCCCACTTCTATACATTTATCTAAGATAAATTGAAACATGTTCACATCAAAACTTGCCAAGAATGTCTATAGCAACTGTATTCATCATCACCAAAATTGAGAATAACCCCATGTCCATCAACAAAGACTAACGGATGCATTCATACAGTGGAATATCAACCTGCAGTCAATAAAAGGAAGGAACTTCTGATACTCATTCCAACATTCATAAATCTCAAATGCATTGGCTAAATGAAAGTAGCCTTAGTGAAAAGGCTACATACTGTGACTGACTACAAGGGAGCAGCAAAAGAAATGTCCAGAATAGGTAATCTACAGGGACAGAAAATAGATTAATAATTGCCAAGGCTTGGGGAGAGAGGTTGAGGGAAATGGGGAATGACAGCTAACCACTATGGGTTCCTTTTGGGGTTGACTAAATGTTCTAAAATTGATTGTGGTGGCCGTGCAACTCTAAGAATATAATACAAAACCCTGAATCATACACTGTAAATGAGTGAATTGTATAGGATGTGAATTATATCTTAATAAAGCTGATTTAAATCTTTTAATGAATGAGAAAATGAATAAATATGAATTATTTTCAAAATTCCACCACACTAAAATTTTAATTTTTTTCTGGAAAGGATTATGGGGATGGGGTATTCAGTCCCCACATTAGCAGGTGAAAGTGTAGATTCTGTCCAGCCAGTTGGTCGAGTAGGAATAGTGAGCGGGCAGTCAGAATTAGCCTTCAAAAACGAAGTACACATAGGGTTTCCAGATAAAATGAAGGGAGCCCAGTTAAATTTAAATTTCAGACAAATAGCAAATAATCTTTTAGTATAAATATATCCCAAATATTGTATGGGACATGACTACTACTAAAAAAATTATTCTTTGTTTACCTGAAATTCAAATTTAAATGGCTGTCTTTTATTTTTATTTGCCAAATCTGGCAACTCTAGGAACTCAATTACTATTTCAAAAAGTGTGTCATCTTAGGAAAAGTATAGATAATCAGCTGGGCGCGGTGGCTCACGCCTGTAATCCCAGCACTTTGGGAGGCCGAGGTGGGTACATCACTAGGTCAAGAGATCGAGACCATCCTGGCCAACATGGTGAAACCCTGTCTCTACTAAAAATACAAAAACTTAGCCGGCGTGGTGGCGGGCGCCTGTAGTCCCAGCTACTTGGGAGGCTGAGGCAGGAGAATCACTTGAACCCAGGCAGCGGAGGTTGCAGTGAGCCAAGATTCCACCACTGCACTCCAGCCTGGCGACAGAGTGAGACACCGTCTCAAAAAAAAAAAAAAAAAAGAAGGAAAGAAAAAGTAAGGATAATCAGATATTTGATGAGGCACATGTATTTTTAGTGTTGTGGTGTGTTATGCAAATGCAATTTGTAAAAGCAATTTGCATTTTCTTTATTTATTCTGTATAAAATACATTTTGCTTCTAAAATGAAGTAACCTGAAGGGATAATGTTTGATGAGTATATTTCATATTTCTTTGATTAAAATAGAGTTCAATGAATCTGCATAATTGCTACAAATGTAACTTGAAGGACATTTGGAGCATTGTTGGTTTTCTGCTTTTTTTGTTATTGAGTGAATGGGAATGACAGGAAGTCTCATTTATCACATGAGCTGTTAAAATATAAAGATCTATATACGTTTTTAGGTGATACAGAATCCATATAATATTCTCATCTCTAATTTACTTGCCTCAAAATTCAATTTTTTTAATCATACATTTTGTGAAACTAAACAGAACAAACTAGTTTTCTTCAAAATGACAAAATTTCAGTGGTAGTGAAAACTGTCATACTTTTCCTATCAATTCCTGAGTATGAATTTTACCTCGCTTATAATTTGCCCAGTAATAATTTTCTAGAGACATTGTTAAAATTCAAATGATGTGTTTTGAATTGTGTATGTTGTTTCTTTATTTTACAACTTACTTTATAATTTTAGGAGCCTCCATCATTGAAGCTGGGACCTCAGAAAGTTATAAAAATAATAAAGCAAAATTGTACTGGCATGGGATAGGTTTCCTAAATCATGAAATGCCTCCAGATATTATTCTTCAGGTAAAGCTAAATTAAGAATCACTTATTTCTATTTTAGAATTTTGTTCTTATTATTTATCATGAAAATGTTAATTTTAAAAATGGAGGCAATATAAGAGTGTCTGAACTTGTCACAGAATCTGAAATCATCTCATTATATTTTTATAGTCAGTACACTGCATGAATTATGTCTTATTTTATGGTCAGTAAACTATGATTAATTATTTACTTATTTATCATTTTAAGATTAGTAAACTAGATTATTTTATTTTCAAGTAAAACATATACATTCCATGTCTTTTCTGTAAGTTGATTCTGTGACCATCCTTTTCCATTGAAAACTTCAGTCATTCAACAAACATTTGTTGAAAGTACTTGTCTCCTAAGTGCCAGTACTGTACTATGTTAAGTGCTATTCAGACCACATGTTCTTAAGTCTAATTATAACAGGAGAAATCTCCAAGTAAGATCCCCACCAAACTTTTCAGTTACAGTCTAAAGGCAGTAGCCATCAATAGACAGCAGAGCACCTCTCAACTTTGATCCATACACCTGAAGTTAGTTGCAAATTTAGAACTTTCAGGGGTAAAACCCACTGATCTTATTCCAGGCTGTAGTTTATATCTACAAAGTAGTAGACCTCATTTTTCTTCTCTACCACCATAACCACCACCACCACCCCCATCTCCATCAAAACCCTCATCTTCATCACCACCACCAGCACCATCTTTCTTCATCACAACCTCCATGTCCATCACCATCACCGCCACCACCATCACTGCCACCACAGCCACCATCACTGCCACCACCACCACCACCTCACCATCTTTCTTCATCACCACCCCCATGTCCATCATCATCACCACCACCACTATCACTGTCACCACCACCACCACCATCACTGCCACCACCACCACTACCTTCATCACCACCATCACCACTACCACTTCAATTATCACCATCACTATCACCACCACTACCATTACTACCATCACCATTACCTCTACCACCACCTTTTTAGGTGATACCATTGCCATGACCACTATTGCAATCACCATCACCACTACCACTTCAATTATCACCATCACTACAACCACCACTACCATTACTACCATCACCATTACCTCTACCACCACCTTTTTAGGTGATACCATTGCCATGACCACCATTGCAATCACCATCACCACTACCACCACCACCATCACTGTCACCTCCACTGCCACCATTATTACCACCATCATCACCACAATGATCACAATGGTCACCATCATCATCCTCACTACCACCATCACTAGCCTTACCAGCACCACCACTCATGCCCTCTAGCTGCCTTATAACAGCTTACAGTCTAGTTAGAGCAATGAAAGAAAACATGCTCATATGATAAAGGGCTCTGATTGATATAAGCATACAGTGCTCTGGAAGAACAACCACACTAGAGGTGCCTTGGGAGTTTTCCTATTTGATAGGCATAAGAGAGATCTGCAGTCAATAGTGATTAGCTGACCAGTATTGTGGGAATGGATTCACATAACTAGTTAAGAGATTAATTCAGTGTTTTCTTTCCAGCCGGATGTCTACCCTGGAAAGTGCTGGGCTTTTCCAGGTTCCCAGGGTCATACCCTAATCAAGCTTGCTACAAAGATCATACCAACTGCTGTTACCATGGAGCACATCTCAGAGAAGGTGTCTCCGTCAGGAAACATCTCCAGTGCACCCAAGGAATTTTCTGTCTATGTAAGAAGCTATCTAAATTTGTCATTCAGATTGGCCTGATAGAAGGTGGTTGGCTAGGAATTAGGGGCTGTCCTCTGAACTAGGACAGATAACTAGTTGTGTCACTTATTTCCTGGACTTCTGCTTTCTCACCTACAAAGAGAGAGAGTTGGACCAAATGATTTATATTATTATTTTTACTTTTATCAAAGTTATACATGTATAAGTAAAAATCAAATATTTCCATAAAGTTTGTAAAGAAACAGTAATTCCTTGTCCCACTTCTCCACATCTCCAATTCTCATTATCCCAAAGCTTCTACTTGCAACAATTTTAGATGTTTATTTGGGTACTTGCCTCCATGTTGGCTTTTGCCATTATTTCCTGATTTTTCAGTTTTGATTATGACATCCTCTCATTGAAAATGAAGATTAACTCTTTTCCATGGCACTTCCATCTTCCCAAAATATTTATGTCTTAATTTAAAAAACAAAACAGGTTTCTGGAGATGTAATTCCCATAACAATTAATTCACCCATTTAAAGTACACCCTTCAGTGGCTTTTAGTGTATTCACAGAGTTGTGTATCCATCACCATAATCAATTTTAGAACATTTTTCTTACCCTAAAAAGAAACCCCATACCCCTTAGCCGTCACCTCCTATTCCCCTAGTGTACTCCTCCAGCCCCTGGCAACCACTGGTCTACTTTGTCTCAATAAATTTACCTATTCTATACATTTCATATAAATTGAATCATTTATAATGTGTGATCTTTTGTGAATGGCTTCTTTAACTTTGCATACTGTTTTCAAGGTTCATTTATGATGTAGTATGTCTCAATATTTCATTTATTTTTTATTGCTGAATAACATTTCATTGTATGGATATATGACATTTTATTTATCTATTCATCAGTTGATGGACATTTGAATTATTTTCATTTTTTTGGTCATTATGTATAATGCTTCAACAAACATTCATGTACAAGTTTTTGTGTGGACATGAGTTTTTGTTTTCCTTGGGTGTATACCTAAGACTGGAATTCCTAGATAGCATGGTAAATGTAGGTTTAACATTTGAGGCACTGCTAGAAGACTGTATTATCTTTTTGTTCAAGCAATACTCAATGTTTTCACAGTGACTATGTGAACAAAACAGCTCTCAGTTGAGCTATTTAGTGTACTTAAATACTACTTTCTTCCATTTTTTTAAATGTTTCTGAGTGTAATAATTGCTTTACATTTTTTTTTTCTTGAGACAGGGTCTCAGCTCTGTTGCCCAGGTTGGAGAACAATCACAGCTCACTGCAACTTCAAACTCGTGGGATTGTTTTTTAAATTTTTTAGTAGAGATAAGGGTCTTATTATGTTGCCCAGGCTGGTCTCAAACTCCAGGGCTCAGGATCCTCCCGCCTTGGCCTCCCACAGTGCTGGGATTACAGACGTGAGCCACTGGTGCCCAGCCTATTTTTCTTTAATTTGCTTAGTTTTCTGCATTCCTATTACTAAAACTTTCCCAAATTCTTCTTCAGAAGTACAAATATTCCCCCATTATGTTGATTCACATCAGATAACTTATAAATTTCTTCCTTTCTTTATTCCTTCCTTCACTTTCTTTTCATTTATTTTCTTTTTTTTTTCCCAAGATATCCCTCTGGCGCCCTCAGCATTTTGCTCCAGCCTTGTTAGGTAGGCCTGATGCACAACTGTTGTCGTGGGATTTCACTCATGCATCCTGAGGATTCAACTTACTGTCTAATTTATTATTTTTAAAAAGTGTTTCTTCTTTCCCTTTTCTGCTTTTTGTTCCACCTTCTGGAAGATCATATCAATTCACATTTTAACCCCTCTACGGAAATTTTCATTCCTGCTGTCATGATTATACTTTCTGAGACTTCTTGTTTCTATACATATTCCCTTTTTTAGAGCCTATATTTTTTTCTTTTATGAAGGCAGTACCTTCTCTTATGCTTCTGAATATATTAACTGTAGGCTTGTCTCATTTTCTTCTGCTCGCTTCCGGGTCTGGATTTCCTAGCCCCACTTTTCCCCCTTGCGGGTAGCGTCTCTCTGTTTCCTGTACAACACTTTTCTCCCATGTCTGTGATGCTTGTCACATGAATTGCTAGGCGGTGCAAAGCCGGCAGGAAGCTTTGCGCGCACGGTGGGGCTCATCCGTCGTGAGTTTGCAGCGGGAATCATCTGGTCGGGCCATTTCGTCGGGAGTCACAAGTGTGCTATCAGGAGAGCTGACCCTGAGAGGACTCCTGCAGTGCACAGGAGGTGCCAGCCTGGCCCACCACACCATGAGCTGCTGGGGAGAGGAGGGCCGCGGGGTCACCACTTTGTGCAGAGGCCATGCTCTTGTGGGCGGTTCTGGGGCGGCGCCGGCAGTGGTCTTAGAGATGGGAGGAAGAAGAGAGCCCTCTGCTGGGCCAGGCGGGGCTGGAGGGGCGTGGAGGCGTTGTAACTGCTTTTTGAAATGACTGTTAGCTAAGCCGCAGATTTGGGCTCCTTTCCCCCACACTCCCCCTCACGCTTTCACCCACACGCTCCCCACATGGACACCCTCCTCCGGCCTTCCTGGGAACCTGCCGCTTAAGTCCTGCGCTGCTGGGTCCACGTACAGCCCGAGTAGTTTGTGTTCTTTCTCTCCAGGCGCCATTTGGCCATCTTCACTTTTTGGTTTTTCTGTTTGTTTGTTTTGGGGTTTGTTTTGTTTTGTTTTGTTTTGTTTTTTGGTTTTACTGTCTACTCCCACTTTTGCCTTATATAGGTTTATGCCTTCAATTATGATCTTCCCATCTGGAGGAGGGCCCTGGGTTAAACAGCCTGCCTTATATGTCACCCAAATGCCTCTACATTCCATATCTGGAGTTTCAAAACAAAGGGCTGCTGTCCTTTCATAGAAGCCCACACCACCTGCAAGTGGTGTCTCTGAAAAGTTGAGTTTGAGCAGCTAAGTTCCATCTCAGAAAGGTGAACACGTTCATTATTTAGACAAATTATGGGTGAATCCCAAAGGCAGGAATCCTTTAGTAATAAAAACTGCTTCTCATCATTTTCTTCTACATTAAAGAATTTATGAACCAAGTAAAATTAAAACAAGGTGATAAAAGGACTGGGCGCAGTATCTGCTCCTGTGATCCCAGCTCCTTAAAAGGCTAAAGCAGGAGGATCACTGGAGCCCAGGAATTCGAGGCCAGCCTGGGCAGCATGGCCAGACCCCGTTTTTTTGGTTTGTTTTGTTTTGTTGTTTATTTGTTTTTTATTTTAACTTTTATTTTAGGTTCAGAGGTATATGTGCAGGTTTGTTATACAGGCGGTAAGTAGTAATACCCAACAGGTATTTCTCTGCTCCTCTCCCTCCTCCCACCCCCCACCCTCAAGTAGATCTCAGTGTCTGTTGCTCCGCTTTGTGTTCATGTGTTCTCATTATTTAGCTCCCACTTACAAGTGAGAACATAGAGTATTTGTTTTTCTGTTCCTGTGTTAGTTTGCTGTGGATAACGGCCTCCAGCTCCATCCATGTCCCTGCAAAGGACACGATCTTGTTCTTTTTTATGGCTGCATAGTATTCCATCAGATCCTGTTTCTTAAAAAAACCCAACAAGGTGATAAAGGAGGTAGAAATAAAACTAGCACTCCTGTCTTAAGCTAAAGAGAATATATGAGGCTTGAGTCATGTGTACATATGAAGGGGTGGCCTGCCCCTCCCCACCTGTGGGCGTTTCTCGTCAGGTGGAACGAGAGACTTGAGAAAAGAAAGAGACAAAGAGACAAAGTATAGAGAAAGAAGAGTGGGCCCAGGGGACCAGCGCTCAGCATACGGAGGACCCGCGCCGGCACCAGTCTCTGAGTTCCCTTAGTATTTATTGATCATTATGGGGTGTTTCTCGGAGAGGGGGGATGTGGCAGGACAATAGGGTAATAGTGGAGAGAGGGTCAGCAGGAAAACATGTGAACAAATGTCTCTGCATCATAAGGTAAAGAAAAAAGTGCTGTGCTTTTGATGTGCATATACATAAACATCTCAATGCCTTAAAGAGCAATATTGCTGCCAGCATGTCTTACCTCCAGCCCTAAGGCGGTTTTCTCCTATCTCAGGAGATGGGATATTCAATCGGGTTTTACACCGAGACATTCCATTGCCCAGGGACGAGCAGGAGACAGATGCCTTCCTCTGATCTCAGCTGCAAAGAGGCCTTCCTCTTTTACTGATCCTCCTCAGCACAGACCCTTTACGGGTGTCGGGCTGGGGGATGGTCAGGTCTTTCCCTTCCCGTGAGGCCATATTTCAGACTATCACATGGGGAGAAACCTTGGACAATACCTGGCTTTCCTAGACAGAGGTCCCTGCGGCCTTCCGCAGTGTTTTGTGTCCCTGGGTACTTGAGAGTAGGGAGTGGTGATGACTTAACAAGCATGCTGCCTTCAAGCATTTGTTTGACAAAGCACATCCTGCACAGCCCTTAATCCATTTAACCTTGAGTTGACACAGCACATGTTTCAGCCAGCACAGGGTTGGGGTAGGGTTACAAATTAACAGCATCTCAAGGTAGAAGAATTTTTCTTAGTACAGAACAAAATGGAGTCTCTTATGCCTACTTCTTTCTACGTAGAGACAGTAACAGTCTGATCTCTCTTTTCCCCACATACATATATAATTGTGAGTACATTATGTAACCATGATGTATCCAACTCTTTTAATAAAAATGTTATAGTTTGATATTAATATTTTTATTATAAAATGATTTAATGAATGTACTGTTTATTTTGCTGTGTTACAATTTAAGGAACCTAACAATAAACTTCAGATTCACAAAATAAATTAGTTTGCACCAGTGCGTTATCCTCTCACAAATCTTCAATTTGAAGGGTAGAGAAGAACAAAAAGCACAAGAGAAATTGCATACAAAGAAAAAAATCAGTGTTTTTGTCAGTCAACGGGAGCTTACTTTTCAGAGGAAATTATTTGTGTGATCAAAATCTGGCAATGGGCTTATGTTTATCTCATTTTGGTAAACATCAGTTCAGTATGGCGACGCATTTTTATTTTATTCAAAGTATGCTTATTGCAAATATAGTTATCAGGTCAAAGTTAATGTTGGGATTTGCTCTATATGTATGTATCTGTCTTCCATCTATCAGCTGTTTGTCAATCATCTATCTTCTAACTATCTATCTATGGATCTATCTATCTAGCTCTCTATCTATCTATCTATCTGTCTGTGTGTCCATCCATCTTCTATCCTTTTAGTCAGTCCCGTGATCAGCCTTGGGCCTCATTGACCCCTTGTTAAATATCCTCTGGGTGTATAGGTTAGTACTGGCATGATCACAGCACTGTGCCCCTGGTGGACACACAGAGATATTTGGTGAATTGTTGGTTCTTTTTGAAAACACAACTGCATCCATTCATTACAATCTCTATATCTGTTGCTTTCTTTATAGGGCATCACAAAAAAATGTGAAGGAGAAGAAATTTTCCTAGGTCAGTTTATATATAACAAAACAGGAACCACCGTTCAAACATTTGAACTCCAGGTAATGTATGCTCTGGGAAATGATATGAGTAGCTCTATCACTGGGAGAAATTTGTTGGGATTGCTTCATGTAAAGTGACGTATGAGAATAATTATGACAAAAGCGTGAGTTACACAAGGCTTATCTGATCTTCAATTCTGAGCTCGAAGTGCTTACGAGGATTTTAATGCAAAAGACAGACAAATGCAAAAGCAGTTTCTAAGTCAAATTCTTCCTCATCTGCTATCACTTTTTTATAATATATATATTTAATTTCTTGGTTCTTTCTTAACTATTCCATTCCCTGAATACTATTAAGTGTAATAGTTACTACCTCACCTTGCTTGAGTATAGGGGAGGAAGATGATGGTACAATATGAAGTGGACAGAGGCAGAGAGAAGCTCAAAGGAATAGAGGATAAAGATTTAATATCAGATAATACAAGTAAAACTCCTAACCCAGTGGGAGAAAATATCAACTGTTAGCTTATAAATCCCCTGAAACTCACCAAGGCAAATGAAATATATCCTCATTTTTTAAATTAGCCACAGGGAGTAACTGAAGAGATGTAGAAGACATTTTATATCATGTAAAAACAAGTGTTTTATGACACTTTTTGGCCAAATAGTGAGAAAATAAAGGTAAAACAATACATATATGTTAGAAATGAGCATATTTGTAGAGCTTCATATTTGATTATGTATTCATATGCATTTGGGCTCATATTATCTGTTCTTATAGTTGGCTTCATAGTTCTGGTTTTTAGACAACAAGCCCTCTTGCCCCTGCTCCTCGGCACAGCCAGCAAGGAGTGTAGAGGGGGGAAACAGCGGAATAGAGAGGTCACTTGGCCGCCATATTATCCTCCTCTCCCTCTACTTATCTTTTCATAAGCTCTTTATTCCAGTAGCTTATTTTCTCATTCATTAGACTGATATTTGAAAATAGTTATGTTAGAAAAGAAAAAGTATATAGGCCAGGCGTGGTGGCTTACACCTGTAATCCCATCACTTTTGGAGGCCTAGGCAGGTAAATCATTTGAGCCCTGGAGTTCAAGACCAGCCTGGGCAACATGGCAAAACCCTGTCTCTACAAAAAATTAATAAATTAGCTAGGTGCGGTGGCGTGTGCCTGTAGTTCCAGCTACTCGGGGGTCTGAGCTGGGAGGATGACTTGAGCCCAGGAGGTAGAGGTGGCAATGAGCCATGATCATGCCACTGCATTCCAGCCTGTGTGACAGAGCCAGATCCTATCTCGAAAAAAAAAAAGTATATAATTTAAAATTATATCAGTATTCATTGGGATTCTTTGAGATGAATTTCGTTATAAGGCATTGATTTTCTTTTCTTTATTTTCAGCATGCAGTTTCTGAATATTTATTATGTGTGAAACTTAATATCTTTAGCAACTGGGGACACCCGAAGTATACTTGTTTATATCGATTCAGGGTCCATGGCACACCAGGCAAGCACATCTAGAAGAGTTGGTACAGAAGGCCATGCCACATGTCCAGAATATTCAAGAATGCTTATTCTCTTAGATGATACCGCACCCATAGGAATTGAGAATTGGGAGTGGGAAGAAAACCTCAAAGTGGTTCATACTTGCCTGTAAAAAGTAAATGCATTTTACTAATAAAAAAATATGGAAGTAAATTAAATATCCTTGCCATAGTTTAGTCTTTAAGGATGCTTCATGTTGTTAGAGCATTGAAAACTCATTTTGTATTTAGAAGAAGATAGTCTCATCATCAGTCTTTCCCATAATAGCATCTTTGCCTTCACGGACTCATTTATTTACACCAGGCATGGATGTCCACTATCACTACTATCATTTAGTGCTGATCTGGAGGCACTGGTCAGCGCAATTAGATAGGAAACCAGTAATTTTTAAATTGGAGGTAAAAATTAGTGAGGAGTTCTGACCATGACCATTTGCAGATAATTTGATGAATTCCTTGAAATGCAATAGAGTCTATTTTAAAAGAATTAGAAACAAGGAAAAACTGTTGTAAGTTCGTGGATGCAAAATTCCCATATATAAATCAATATCATTCATAAAAACAACAGGGTATAACTTACAAAATCCATTATTATCTTTAGATAATAAACATCAAATAAAAGAAGAAAGTAAAATATCTATGTGAAAAAAATCCCAAACAGCAGTGAATGACTAAAAGAAGACTTAAGGCCAGGCACAGTGGCTCACAACTGTAATCTTAGCACTTTGGGAGGCCAAGGGTTGGGGGATCACTTGAGCCCAGGAGTTTGAGACCAGTCTGGGCAACACAGCAAGACCCCATCCCTACAAAAAATTTAAAAATTAGCCAGACGTCTTGGCACATGCCTGTAGTTGCAGCTACTCAGGAGACAGGTGGGAGGATCACTTGAGCCCGGGAGGTTGAAGCTTCAAGTGAGCTGTGTTCGAGCCACTACGCTCCAGCCTGGGCGACCCTGTCTGGAGAAAAAAAAAAAAAGAAGACTTCAGTAAAATAAATGGAAAAATAGATGTACCATATACTGTATCCTTCAATGGGAAAACTCAACTGTCAAGATGTCAGTTCTAAGTTAATTTATAAATGTAACTTGATCTCAGTTAAAAAGCAGAAAAATATGGACTTTATGGGACAGTTATGAGATATTAAAGAATTATCGTTAAAAAAAATAATTTGGGCTGGGCACGGTGGCTCACACCTATAATCTCAGCACTTTGGGAGGCCAAGGTAGAAGGACTGCTTGACTCCAGGAGTTCAAGATGAGCCTGGGTGACATAGTGAGACCCTGTCTCTATTAAAAATAAAAAAATTAGCTGGGCATGGCAGTGCACACCTGCAGTTCCAGCTACTTGGAAGGCTGAGGTGGGAGGATCACTTGAGCCCAAGAATTTGAGGCTGCAGTGAGCCATGATCACTGTGCTCCTGCCTGGGCGGCAGAGCAAGACCCTGTCTGAAAAAAATAAATTATAGGTGTCTGTATGATAATGGTACTAAAATGATGATTTTAAAATAAATCTTTTTATTTACATATTTAAATATTTAAAGTTGAAATGATATATGTGGGATCTTTTCCATAATAACATAAGAGGAAGAAATGGATAAGAAAATTCATGAAAAAGATTGGCCATGAAATGATCATTGAAGTTGAATGCTGCCAGTCCATGGAGCTTCATTATATTATTCTGTCTAGATTTATATATGTTCGATATTTTCAATTAAAAAGTTTTTTAAAAATTAAGACATGTATATATTTTTAAAAACCCAAAGGGGGGTATGTTTTAAATAAAATTGATTCTAAAGTTCATATGGAAATATAAACTTAGCAAAAGGACAGCCAGAAAAATCTCTGAAAAAAAATCAACAAAAAGAAATAGCTCTATGACATAGGTATAAAACAATAGTTAAAACTGTATGATACTGGCAAACAGATAGACCAATGGAACAGACTGCCGAGACCAGCTTGGTCGGGGAGACCCTAACCCAGCGGCGCTAGAGGAATTAAAGACACACACACAGAAATATAGAGGTGTGAAGTGGGAAATCACGGGTCTCACAGCCTTCAGAGCTGAGAGCCCCGAACAGAGATTTATCCACATATTTATTAACAGCAAGCCAGTCATTAGCATTGTTTCTATAGATCTTAAGTTAACTAAAAGTATTCCTTATGGGGAACAAAGGGATGGGCTGAATTAAAGGAATAGGTTGGGCTAGTTAATGGCAGCAGGAGCATGTCCTTAAGGCACAGATAGCTCATGCTATTGTTTGTGGCTTAAGAATGCCTTTAAGCAGTTTTCCGCCCTGGGTGGGCCAGGTGTTCCTTGCCCTCATTCCGGTAAGCCCACCACCTTCCAGCGTGGGCGTTATGGCCATCATGAACATGTCACAGTGCTGCAGAGGTTTTGTTTATGGCCAGTTTTGGGGCCACTTTATGGCCAGATTTTGGGGGGCCTGTTCCCAACAACAGACAAGTCCAAAAATATATTTACATGTATGTGGAAGTTGGGTGTATGATAATGGTAGCATCTCAAAAGAGTATGGGGGAAAAAAACAAATGGCTTGGGACAATTATCCAGTCATTAAGAAAATAAAATTCCATCCATATTTCTCACTTTACAATATGACAAACTCCCAGTATGGTAAAATATATACAAGTAGGTAATAAAACCATAAAAATATTAACAAGGAAACTTGGGATAATTCCTGTATGGTATTGAATAGAGGAAGGTCTTCCTAAATATGACTCAAAATTTAGAAGCCACAAAAGAAAAAAAATTCCACTATATAAAAATCAAGAACCTCTGCATGGCCAACAAAACTTAAAATGCAAAAAATATTCACAACTGACATTATAAGGACCAATCTTTCCAATATATACACAGTCCCAAGAAAGCAATTATAATATCAATAACCCAATAGAAAAATGGCCAGTAAACAGATCATCTAGAGACGCACATGAAAGATATTCAAGCTTATTTACTTAAGAAAAATGGCAAAAATTATACTGTACCATGTTTCACTGATGAAATTAGAAAGATCCAAAAGTTTGATAATGTTTTATTCCAAGGCTTTGGGGAAACAGGATCTCTCACACGTTGCTGGAAGAAATGCAAATAGGTATAACATTTATGGAGGGAACTTGGCCTATCTATAAAAATCGAGATGAATATATCCTTTGACTAAAAAACTTACCATGTGCAAAATGCCGTATATAAAATGTTATTCATCAGTAATATTTCCCAGGAGGAAATAAGGGGGTGCAGAAGGGTAGGGATGAACCTCTCCTTCCTTTGCCACTTTAGCTTTAGCTGGTAAATAAACATGCTCTGTAACCTCTTCTGTTACTTCACTATACTCTCCTTCCTTTTCCACTATGAAGCGTTCCTACCTCTCTGCCTGCCTTTGAGTCTCTGCTGAAATGCAAGTGATAATGGCTGACTCTGAATAAATAGGCTTTGCCTGTTCCATTTGGTTGGTCTTCATTTATTTCCACACTATCAATTGTTTTCCTGAAGGTCAAGTGTAAATAGAGCTGGTCCAGTCAGCAGGAGCATGTGGGTCACTGGACACTCAGCAATCCAGTGATGCAGATTCTCATCAAGAGTGTGAGGTAGGGCATGCCATGGCCAACATTGCCAATTCTATCTGTCCCCATCTTTAAAATGGGAATAATAGGCCGAGCATTGTGGCTCACACCTGTAATCCCAGCACTTTGGGAGGCTGAAGCAGGCAGCTCACCTGATGTCATGAGTTTGAGACCAGCCTGGCCAACACAGTGAAACCCCATCTCTACTAAAAATACAAAAAATGGTCTGGGTGTAGTGGCAGGTGCCTGTAATCCCAGCTACTCGGTAGACTGAGGCAAAAGAATCACTTGAACCCAGGACTCAGAGGTTGCAGTGAGTCGAGATTGCACCATTGCACTCCAGCTTGGGCAACAAGAGCAAGACTCCATCTAAAATAAAATAAAATAAAATAAAATGGGAATAATCATACTTATTTTACGTGTGTTTATATTATCTAAGTGATGATATCAGTGCAGAGTGCTATAAAATGAGAGCTATCTATCTCACCCTACTGATCAATAATATTTAAATAGTGCTTTAAAGGCATCCAATAAATGTTGATCACCCTCCTCTTGAGTAGGGGCTGGTCCCCTTCCTTAATCCCCATCACTCACCACCATGCCTGACACTTCTCATGTGCTCCACAAATCTTCATTTAGAAAAGTATCTATGGAATTTATTGAAGAATTTTTTTGACACCTAAAAGAGGAGAAGAGTCTTTGAAGAGCTGCTTAAGCAAAAACCCATCTCTTAGAACAAGTACAGTTGTCAAAAGACATTCACTCATGCCACCTCTAGGGTATGCTTTCCTTCATTTTACAGTTTTCTCATGTTAAAAAAAGAAGACAAATACTGCCTTTCAAATTTGATGCGTAACATGTGAGCTAGTCACGTTGTTTCCCTTGGGTAATTTTTCCAACATTAACTGCTAACAACAGGGCTGCAAATTGCTGTCTCTTCCCCCAGGGACTAGAGAAGATGAGTAAGTACCTGAAAGAGACTGGCCAAATACTTACCTAGACAGAGTTTACCATCTGCAGCTGTAGAGAGGTTATTTCCCTTACTTCCAACTATATGCATCCTGAATGACATTTTATTTGCACCACTGTTTATTTCAGTTTCTAAGACAAGATTAAGGCATTTACCTCCCCACTAAACAAACTTAATGAACAGCGTGAACACTGTTTCCCAAATCATTGTGTGACTGAATTACTAATCCCTGACATTTGGCAGTTCTTAAGTCAGAAGGCAATTTACTGTAGCTAGATGAGAACATGAATATACATTGCATTAGAAAACTCAGTGGTACATGGGGCTTCTAGAAATCTCTAGAGATCACATTCCTTGCCTCAAAATCATTTGGAAAGTAGAGAAGTAGTGTCAATATACTTAATTGTCAATTCTGAAGTTAATGAATTAATTTGCTAAACCTGTTTAAGAAAATTGCAAGAGCACATAAAAGATTCCTTTCTTCTTCCAAGAAAAGATAATTGCAGCTTTATTTTCTATTTCTTGAGTCAAATTCCTATATTATTTGGGCTTTTGTCCATGCAGAATGTATCATATCACATCTTCTTAGGAAGTTTAAAAAATTGCTTTATCAGTTTTTATGACATAAAATTAAGCAATTTACACTAAAGATCAAGATGTTACAAAACATTGTTTACAAAGTTTATTTAGATACATTCTTTAATTATATTCATTTATCTACTAGCAGCCACTTTATTTAATGTGATGCTCAACTCTTCAAAACTCATTCATGAGGAAATTAAAAAACAGGCTTTTTCCTGCAGATCATATGGGGCAAATAAAAAATGTTGGCATGGCCGGGCTCAGTGGCTCACGCTTGTAATCCCAGCACTTTGGGAGGCCGAGGCGGGCGGATCACGAGGTCAGGAGATCGAGACCATCCTGGCTAACACGGTGAAACCCCGTCTCTACTAAAAATACAAAAAATTAGCCGGGCGTGGTGGCGGGCGCCTGTAGTCCCAGCTACTCGGGAGGCTGAGGTAGGAGAATGGCGTGAACCCGGGAGGCGGAACTTGCAGTGAGCCGAGATTGCGCCACTGCACTCCAGCCTGGGCGACAGAGCGAGATTCCGTCTCCAAAAAAAAAAAGAGTTATGCCAACATTTTTTTTTTTTTTTGAGACGGAGTCTCGCTCTGTCGCCCAGGCTGGAGTGCAGTGGCAGACCTCTGTTCACTGAAATCTCCGCCTCCTGGGTTCAAGTGATTCTCCTGCCTCAGATTCCTGAGTAGTTGGGATTACAGGCACAAGCTATCACGCCGGGCTAATTTTTGTATTTTTAGTAGAGACGGGGTTTCATCATGTTGGCCAGGCTGATCTCAGACTCCTGACCTCAGATGATCCACCCGCCTCGGCCTCCCAGAATGCTGGGATTACAGGAGAGAGCCATCCTGCCCTGCCTGTTGGCATAACTTTGAAAGTGATCTATTAAGTTTGGTTTGGCAAACACTCGCATATGACAATGAAGATTAGAATTTTGCTTCATGTTATAGTCTTAAAATAGGCAAAAACTGCAATTTTTGTATTTTGCACCTTTTTATTATTATTACACTTTAAGTTCTAGGGTACATGTGCACAACGTGCAGATTTGTTACATAGGTATGCATGTGCCATGTTGGTGTGCTGCACCCATCAACTCATCATTTACATTAGGTATTTCTCCTAACGCTATCCCTCCCCCAGGCCTCCACCCCCCAACAGGCCCCAGTGTGTGATATTCCCCTCCCTGTGTCCATGTGTTCTCATTGTTCAACTCCCACTTATGAGTGAGAACATGCGGTGTTTGGTTTTCTGTCCTTGTGATATTTTGCTGAGAATGATGGTTTCCAGCTTCATCCATGTCCCTGCAAAGGACATGAACTCATCCTTTTTTATGGCTGCATAGTATTCCATGGTGTATATGTGCCACATTTTCCTTATCCAGTCTATTATTGATGGACATTTGGGATGGTTCCAAGTCTTTGCTATTGTGAATAGTGCCACAATAAACATATGTGTGCATGTGTCTTTGAAAATTATCTGGGCCTGGCGCGGTGGCTCACGCCTATAATCCCAGCACTTTGGGAGGCCGAGGTGGGCAGATCACCTGAGGTCAGGAGTTCGAGACCAGCCTGGCCAACATGGCGAAACCCCGTCTCTACTAATAATACAAAAATTAGCCGGGCATGGTAGCTTGTGCCTGTAATCCCAACTACTTGGGAAGCTGAGGCAGGAGAATCCCTCGAACCCGGGAGGTGGAGGTTGCAGTGGGCCAAGATCACGCCATTGCACTCCAGCCAGGGCGACAGAGCCAGACTCCGTCTCAAAATCATCATCATCATCATCTGCATTATCATTATCTTGATTCTATGTGTCAAGTTAAAGACAAGGTTCTAGTCTATTTGCAAAGGACATTAAAAATAACAATTGTTAACACAGATAATCTTTAGTCTTTGAAAAACCAAATTAGATACAATTGTTGCTTCATTTCCCCCTTTAAAATTTTTCCTTTAAAAAAAATCCTAATGACATTATTTATGCTAATAAGAATTTTATCGGATGTAATAAAGTTCGTCTTGAGGCAAACTGCAGAATTATCACTTAACGTCAGTGTTCTTTAAGCTTCCCGACTTTACCAACTAGCCAGTAATATGTTCAATTTTTTTAGAAGTCATTTGAAACAATTTTCAGAACCTTAATCCACCAAGATGCTTCAATACCAAAGTACCAGTACCGTCATCTGAGGCTGGAGGGTTTAAAGCTGCTCTACCTTAGGTATATTTAAGATAATATTGTTTAACCTTTATAAACGATTAATTTTATTTGGATATTTTAAAATAACACTTGAAATAGGTGTCACAAAATTCTTTCAAAACGTGAATTCTCAGAACAACCTCCCCGAATCTGGGGCTTGAAGCCTCCGCCTCACTAAAAGTAGATCCCACCATTACCCGGCAGCGCGGAGGCATACCCGGAGACTGGGACCCCCACCTCCCCCGGGGCGTGACCTGTGATCCTTGACCCGTGACCCCACCTCCTCTAGGGCGTGACCCCCTAGCCCCACCTCCTCCGGGGCGTGGCCCGGAGATAACCCTGGTAAGAGTCGCGTAGCCCGAGCCGGGCGGAACCACTGTTCGCGCTGCCGTGTTTCCGGGCGGGGACACTCAGGGCGCGACGCTTTTCTGTTACCCACAGAGGCCCGCCGCGGCTGCGCCATCCGCGGCCATGAAGTTTCGGGCCAAGATCGTGGACGGGGCCTGTCTGAACCACTTCACACGTGAGCAGGGAGGCCGGAGAGGAGCGAGGGAGGAACGGAAGGAAGCAGTGAGCGCGCGGTGGGGACCGCGCAGGAGGATCAGAACGGGGATGGGCGCCGGAAGGGGCCGCGGGAGGATGGGGCCGGGATGGGGGTGCTGGTGTAGGCCGCGGGAGGGTGGGGCCGGGAGGGCGCGGGGCGGGTCGGAGGGCACTTGTGGGGATGAAGGCGGCTTTCAAGGGACGTTTCTGAAACTTGATTCCGATCACGTGGCTTTAAAAAAAAGCGGCCACTGCTCCCATAGACGGCTTTATCAGGCATTGACATACCTTCAAGGCCCCATTCGTCCCTCCACCCTGACAGTGCCTAACCTTGCATTTAACTGTGTATTGCAGTACCTAGTAGTCAATAAATCCATGTTGAATGAATGAATGACTGGTAGGTGCCTGTTTTCTTATTTGAACACTGATGATGTGTGCTGTACATCTCCCCTAGTTTGTTGGGAGAATTGCGTGACATCAGGGGTATTAAAGTACTTTCCAGTGTGATACCAACGTTAAGTGGTTATTTTTCCACCGAGAAGTTGATGAACAAGAAATTCTGCAAAATAAGTTGGTCTCTAGGATACATAATGTGCATTTTAGTAATTCCTTATTTTAACCCCTGCTTTAGGAATCAGTAACATGATAGCCAAGCTTGCCAAAACCTGCACCCTCCGCATCAGCCCTGATAAGCTTAACTTCATCCTTTGTGACAAGCTGGCTAATGGAGGAGTGAGCATGTGGTGTGAGCTGGAACAGGTGAGCAAAAGCTTCTGAGAGGCCTGCACACTCTGCAGATTGTCACTGGAAAGATCACATATACCCTCCCTCATCCCTCATTTTTTTTCCCTTAGGAGAACTTCTTCAACGAATTTCAAATGGAGGGTGTCTCTGCAGAAAACAATGAGATTTATTTAGAGCTAACATCGGAAAACTTATCTCGAGCCTTGAAGACTGCCCAGAATGCCAGGGCTTTGAAAATCAAACTGACTAATAAACACTTTCCCTGCCTCACGGTCTCCGTGGAGCTGGTGAGTAGGAGAGTCAGGGTTTCTAACACAGAAGTCTTGGCCTCGAAGGAATAGACATAGTTAGCCTAGCCTTTTTAACAATAAATACTGTTGAAAGCTGTTTGGTTTATTTAAATTTAAAGATCTGGTCCATAACTATATTTTGCATTAGAGTCAGTTCCTCCTCATTTTAAAATTGTGTTGTTATCATATGCATTCAGCTAGAATGCTGCTTTTTCCAAGCCGTGAAACTTCCAGCCTCTCTGTTTCTTGTAGTGGTATTGTCACCTTGTCTAGAAATCATGGTTTCTCTATCCATTTTCACCTTTGACATGTTTTCTCCCCACTCCCACCCTGCCTCATCTGCTATAATAACCTTTAAATGGCCCCTCGTTCTTCAGTACACGTATGTTTTATATGCTACTGCCAGATGAATTTAGTGCACAGCTGTCCTCCAAACACACAAATACACAAACTCATGCGCATACATACAATCCAGAGTTGCTCTTCCTACTCATAGAATGAGGTTCGTATTTCCTTTTTTTTGAGACGGAGTCTCTCTATCACCCAGGCTGGAGTGCAGTGGCGCGATCTCGGCTCACTGCAACCTCCATCTCCCGGGTTCAAGCGATTCTCATGCCTCAGCCTCCTGAGTAGCTGGAATTACAGGCACCCACCACCACACCCAGCTAATTTTTGTATTTTTTTAGTAGAGTCGGGGTATCACCATATTGGCCAGGCTGGTCTCGAACTCCTGACGTCAAGTGATCCACCTACCTCGGCCTCCCAAAGTGCTGCGATTGTAGGCATGAGCCACGGCGCCCAGCCCAGCTTTTCTTCATAACTCTCAACTCTTTGCAGTCAGGCAGTTCTCAGAGCTAATTAGGGCATTTCATGTCACAGTATAAGTTTGGTATGTTTTTTCTATTGCTTAAGGAAAAGCAAGATAGTAACGTATAATACTTTTTGTCCAAAAGTGCAAGATATTTTGGTCTGTGAGTCTCATAGGAGCCCCTAGAAATAAATATAGTTTGCCTTTTAACTGTTAGAAACTGCAGCACTCTGAGTGTCCTATGCCCAAAGAATGGCCTTCTCTTGGTTGCGTCAACATAGCAGGCTTGCTTCTTTCTGCCTCACGGCTTTACATGTGCTGTTTCCCCAGCCTGAAACCCTGTCCCCTTGTTCTTGTCTTCCCATGGCTGCTGCTTCTCCTGCTTTTGGTGGTATCTGAAATGTCACCTCCTCAGTCTAAGGAAACTCCCCCACACTCACCCTGGTCTCTGTGGAGTGCTTTCTCACGGCTATAATGAGCATTTCATACAGTTTCATTTGTTTGCATTTTTATTGATCTGTTTGTTCCACTGGAACACTAAGGACCTTTTTGTCTTATCACCACACTTCCCAGTTCCTGGAAGTACCCAGAGTCTGTTCCATAAATATTGGCACCATCAATATTGGTCGAATGGCTTTTGAGTGAATAAACTGACAGCATTCCACTTAGATTTGGTATTTCAACTTTTTTGTCCCGGGTCTTCGGGTTTGTTTTGTTGTTGCTTAATATTAACAACATAAAAATATTTTTAAATTCTTTTCTTGGCAGTTATCTATGTCAAGCAGTAGCCGCATTGTGACCCATGACATCCCCATAAAGGTGATTCCTAGGAAATTGTGGAAGGACTTACAAGAACCGGTGGTCCCAGATCCTGATGTAGGTGATGCCTGCAGTCCTGCTGTACACCCCACATTAAATGGCATGACTTGAATTCTCTAGTTTTAGTTGTAGTCTTGCAGTATATTTTATTTTTAAAGGATACTTAACGAAAACATTAGATTATTTGCCTTTTGTTATTTACATAAAGCATCTTAAAAATGTTGCATATGATAGAAATGTCATGCCATCCTATATGTAGAAAATGTCTCGCTCAGTAACATCACTTAAAACACAAATGATACTTTTGGAGGACAATTAGTATTTATTAGTATTCTTGGCCTTAGACACCAATTTGGGTTTCACAGGACTTGATCTTTTCCTCAGCCGGTCAGGAGCGATATCTGGATGTGCACGAAAGCCAAGAAGAGAAGAATTTCATGGCTTAGGGCTAACATGGGGTAACGGTCATGCCGATGGTTAACCCTAGAGCTCCTGAAAGTAAAGATGATGCCAAAGGGCCCATTTCCTCTTGCTCACAATTTGTTTAAGAAGAAAGTACAGAAATATGCTGGGTAAAATAATTACTTGACTTTTACTAGATGGCACCTACACTGATTTTGAAAAAGCCTGTGTTTTATAGAGCACTCTTGGTAACAGTCTCAGATGTGATGCAGTGACTGTCTGCCATGTTTTTGTACAGAGCATGGAAAAGGCCCTTGAATCATAGGTGTAAATGTCCCTTAGAGGAGGGCCTCCTGCTGATTGCCTGAGTTATATTCCCCCTGGACCAATATAGGGGCATCTCAGCTGAAGTACCCTATTCCTTCTTGAGCCAAAAGAATGCCCACAGGGACATGGTTGCTGAGGTAACCAGAGGCAGGCATTCCATTCTTTAATTTTGCTTGAGCATCCTTGAGTTAGTGAAATAGAATTGGTTTTCTTTTTATATTTTTAAAAGAACTTTATTCAGAAAATTGTAAAATAGTATCCCATAGTTTTTGAGCATGCATGTGTTCTAGAGTTAGTTATGGGGCCCTTGTCATTACTAGAGTATATTAATATTTTTAATACTTGTGCTTTTTTCTCATTGGTTTTGTAGGTTAGTATTTATTTACCAGTCTTGAAGACTATGAAGAGTGTTGTGGAAAAAATGAAAAACATCAGCAATCACCTTGTAAGTCACAACTTCTTTAGAAAAGAACTCTGAAGTATTTGGTGGGACGGCGTGGGTTCTCCAGCTCACCCTGCAGCAGTCCATGCAGGTGGGCACCTCCTAACCGAGTTCCCACTTATGAGGACCTGGCCTGGTGCTGAGAACCTGCAGATTGCTAGTTGGATTTAGAAACCTATTCCAATACTTTTCAACTCTAATTCTTTGAGGAAAGCTTTTATATTTGCCTTTAATCTGCCTGTTTTTCCTCTTATATTTTGTATGAAACATTGTATCTTTCTTTTTTTTTTTTTTTTTTGAGACAGAGTCTCACTCTGTCGCCCAGGCTGGAGTGCAATGGCGCCATCTCACCTCACTGTAAGCTCCGCCTCCCGGGTTCATGCCATTCTCCCACCTCAGCCTCCCGAGTAGCTGGGACTACAGGCGCCTGCCACCATGCCTGGCTAATTTTTTGTTTCGTATTTTTAGTACAGACGGGGTTTCACCGTGTTAGCCAGGATGGTCTCGATCTCCTGACCTCGTGGTCCGCCCGCCTAGGCCTCCCAAAGTACTGGGATTACAGGCGTGAGCCACCGCGCCCGGCTGGAACATTGTATCTTTTACCTGCTAACGTGCCCGTATTTTTCTGTGAGTCACTGATATGACTGACAGTGAGTTTGGAGTTTCCTGTCTGCGTGCCAAGTGTCTTTCAGTGAGCCAGGGACAAAGATATGCCACACCATAGCAGCCTTTATTCCAAGCACACCTCACACCAAGCTAGGGGGCACTTTTATATTTCTGTTTATTTTCTGTTTATTTTGTGGAAGTCTCCTATGGCCACATGGCTCGAAATGTTACAGTGTGTGACAGTGGTGGGAAATGTGTAGGTTATCCTCATTCATACCTGGGGTTATTGTGAATTCTTCCTTCACTCACTGCCCCTCCCTCCTCCCCCTGCTCCCTCCTATCCTGCTCCAAAAAACACCCTTGGTTATGTCCCTGAATCTTCTAAAAACCACTGTCCACCTGATGAAGCATAAACTTTTGATCTTGACAGTGTACCAGGCCACCTTTATAGCCACATCTCTGTTGTATTGCCACACCCTCCCTGCAGAACGAGGCTGGGTTCTGGTATTCCCCCACAATGCCTCTTCTTTTTTGTTCAGTTTCTTTGCCATTTGACACATGGCTTCTTCTCTCCATCTCCCTGGAAGGCACTTAGCCATTCTCATGCTTCATCACAGACCTTTCCCCACCACCCCTCTGGAAGCTCCTCCATGGAGCTGAGCTGTCCAGTGTACATGGTAAATCACCTGCTAAGATCTCTGAAGGTCTCGTGAACCACCAGCTTCTTGATAAAGGAAACCCCATCTTAATCATCTTTGTGTCCCAGCTGCCCAGTGTGGGATTGCCACTCAGTAGGCAGCAATAAGTGTTGCATGGATCTGGAACAAAATTTAGCTTCAAGAGGTCTTTGAAATCACAAAAGTATTTTGAAGCCTAGAAAATGTACATTTGACTGTTTTTTTCTAGAGTTCTGCACACTAAGAGCAATGCTGTCATTGGACCTGGGTAACTCAAAGCTTTTCCTTCATAACTTAATCTATAAAATCTGTTTTCCATGAAGCAGTGTGCACTGTGCTGACGTTGGTGTCACCTGTGACTGCAGTGATGCTGATCCAGTTGTCAGGCTGGCTTCATCTGGGGATACCCTGGGGACTTCCAGAGAAATTCAGAGAGGCCCAGGAGAGAAAAGACAGGGCTGTTAATTGAAGGATGGCATTTGTTTGTTCTTTCTGTTCAATGAAAATGAGTCAGCAAGGTAGAGAGGTAGAAGGGTAGCTTAGAATCATCAGAGGTGTTTTGTTTTCTCTTTTTTGGAGTTTAAAAAAACATAGAAATATTGTGGAGAGGCTACTACGATCTGGAATTACTAAATGGAAAGTTATCAAGTTACTGTAGCAAAGTACATAATGAGGTCTTCCTGGGTATCCAGAATTCTGTATCTGAATATTACAGGCAGTAGAATTAAGGAAAATGGGTAGACTTAACACACTAAAAATGCCCACCTTCCCATTAGAGATGCCCAGTTACTTCCTTTCATTAAATGCGAGGTGTGACTGATGGGGTGGGTTGTATGTGACTCATGCAGGAGCAGAAAAAGAAGCAAGAACTGGAGGGAATTGACATCATGTTCTAAGACATTGCTTCTAAGTTCTACCATGCGTGTGAATCCCCTGGAATCTGGTTAAAGTGCAGGTTCTGATTTGGGAGGTCTGAGCTGGAGCCTGAGGCTCTGTTTCTGACCAGCTCCTGGGAGATGTCGATGCTGCCTGTCTTCAGACCACATCATGTAGCAGTACTTTGTGATGTGTGCCTGTATTACTCCGTTTTCACGCTGCTAAAAAGATATTACCTGAGACCAGGTAATTTATAAACAAAAGAGGTTTAATTGACTCACAGTCCTGTATAGCTGAGGAGGCCTCAGGAAACTTACAGTCATGACAGAAGGCAAAGGGGAAGCAAGGCACGTCTTAACATGGCAGCTGGAGAGAGAAGAACACAGGAAAAACTGCCATTTTTAAAACCATCAGATCTCATGAGAACTCCCTCACTATCAAGAGAACAGCATGGGAAAAGCTGCCCCCATGATCCAGTCACCTACCACCAGGCCCCTTCTCAGCACTTGGGGATTACAATTCGAGATGAGATTTGGGTGGGGTTGCTGAGCCAAAACAAACCACATCATTGCCATACTATATTGTACTTCAAATGTTATCTGAGAAACGGCTCTGCAGGGTCACCTAATGATAGAAACCAGAGTCTATGTTTAGGAGTCATGATATGGAAGAGGGGAGTCATTGGAGCCACATACCTGGGTTCAGCTCCAGGCTGCGCTGTGCAGTGAGTACCCTAGTGCTGGATACTACCCCAAATGGGGATAACAGTGCAGCTATGACAGGGGCTTCGTCAGTTTTTAAAAATTTAGAGATAATTTTTACTAGGTGCCCAGTATAGTCAGCATTCTATAAACAATAGTTGACTATTTTAAGGAAATCATTGAAAGATCTTACCCTGATACTTAAGAAATCAAGTGTGTTGTTGTGTATAATATCCCAAATAACTGAATCTTAAAATAGACATGAGTGACCAGTGTTCAGAGAATTAGTTGTTTGTTAGTTTCTTCAGTAAGTATTGACTTAAGGCCACCATGTGCTAGGCACCAGGTGTTAATGGTTAGGAGGGAGTTGGAATCTAATGTTCTGTTACTGAGATTCTTAGGAATTTGAAGAAAACACAAGAGAACATTTAAGCCTGAAGTGCATCTAGGCCCATTGCAAGTTGCATTTTTAAATAAGTATTTATTTATTTATATCTAAAACCATTGCTTTTCAAAACAATGGGAATTTACAGATCTTGGGTGTGTGGTTGTTTGGAACAAATGAGCTAAGGTCATGTGTTAGCCTTAGCCCCACTAAGCAGTCTAGCATATTCACAAAGATTGTTTTATATATTTTATTTCAGTCAACTATTGTTCCAGATTGTAGGAAAACGGGTTAGGAAATATAACAATATATTTTTTTGGATTAATGAAAGAAAAGGGTTGAAAATGAGTATTTCTCATTCAAAGTAGATTATACAACAGGTAAGTTTGGGGCACTATTTTTCTATTAATGTGAAAAGCTCAGAAATAAGAGCTCACCCAAATTAGAAAAACTTTGTTTCTGGAATGAAAACTATTCAGAGTTCACCAATTTTAAGGAATAAGAACAAGGAACACTAAATTGTATTCAGTAAACATGAACACTGATACAGAGCCGTGCAGACAGAGTGCCTTCTCTGTTTTCTTTCTGTGACACTGTGAGGATGGAATGGCCCTAAATAAGACCAGTTGCTAGGTGGCACTTTTCTAGTACTAGATGGCAAAATGCTATCCAGCAGACTACACACTGGCTTTCCAGAGACCTCCTAGGCTTTAACATTGGGCAGATATCAACATCAAAAAGAGAAATAACAGGTACTGGTTCTTTTAGGAGGAAATTTCATTGTAGGTGCGGGAGTGGACCAGGATAGGTTAGCAAAACCTCAAACCATACTGTGGCATATGCTTCACTTCTAGGTTCCATCCAATTAAAAGAACTGATTGGTTGTTGGGGTGGGTAGAGGAGCTTCAAAGGAAAGGAGTCCCTTGTGACCTGTGGAGACAGTCCCCGGGCAGCAAGAGCAGGAGTAGAAGAGGGGTGCCCGATGGTATATGAGGGGATGGCAGAAGTCTGGTAGCCTGGGCGTGTGGAGTTTGGCTCAGCCATCCTCAGTCCTGGTAACCCAACAGCAGCCCCAGACCCTTCTGGATTTGGACATTTCATTTTCCAACATGTGAGTTTATTTTCTAAATAAATGGCTATGTTCTCATGAGATTCTGAAGGCCTTATAGTCATATTAAATGTGTGTTTATGACAAATGGTTGATTTATATTTTATAAAAATAAGACACTGATTTCCACATTCTTCTCATTTTCCCCCTTCCTGTTTTGTAATGGTTATATTATGTCTACATCATCAGAGCATAAAATTTTATTACTACACGTTATTCTGTCCTCTTCATTCCTGTTGTTTAGTTTTGGTTCTAAAGGTCAAAATAAGGCTCACACTGTTTATGCTGTAACTTCTCCAATGATTTTTTTGGTTATTAAAAGCCTATTCTCTAGCATATCACTCAAGAAGGACTCACAGGAATAGGATTTCATTGGTTATCATGTGTTTATAATGTCAGTTTGGCTCACTGCACTGCATTGTCTGCTGGTGTATATTATTGCTATCAAAAAGAATGACTCCATTCTGATTTTGTTTCACAGCTTGGATTTATTCATTTGAAAGTGGGGACTAAATACCCTGGGGATTTTTCCCATTTTTCTTTCAATCCAATTGTCTTGACCATCCGGGGTCAGTTTTCCCAGGTGTGTGGTGTGTCCTTTCAATATGTGGGCCGAACTCTTCATTCACTTCAGGAAAGTTTTGAGCTGTAGTTGATAGCATTTCTTTTCCAGTGCTTTGTTTTTCTTCTGGGACTCAGAGGGCTTGGATCTTCTCCACTGTCTTTATTATTTTCTGTCAGATCCTTTTAACTCTTTGTTTCTGTTTGGTAAATTTTATCTTTCTCCTTTCCATCCCAGTTTCTCTTACTATTCTCTCTGTGGTGCCTATTTGCTCTAGTCTTCCTTCTAAACTAGTTTCTGTTTCTGAAATTTTTCCTTATGTTTCTAATTACTTCCTGTGCTGTCAGCTGTGTTTTATGTGCGTGCTCTCTGGTCATCTCATGTCTGAGCTTCCCTAATTCTGATTTATGTTGTTGTGTCATAGCGTCTATTATTGTTCATTTCTCTTTTTTTTTTTTTTTTTTTTTTGAGACAGAGTCTCGCTCTTTCACCCAGGCTGGAGTGCAGTGGCGCAATCTCGGCTCACTGCAAGTTCCGCCTCCCGGGTTCATGCCATTCTCCTGCCTCAGCCTCCCGAGTAGCTGGGACTACAGGCGCCCGCCACCACGCCCGGCTAATTTTTTGTATTTTTAGTAGAGACGGGGTTTCACCGTGTTAGCCAGGATGGTCTTGATCTCCTGACCTCGTGATCCGCCCGCCTCGGCCTCCCAAAGTGCTGGGATTACAAGCGAGAGCCACCGCGCCCGGCTGGTTTTTCTGGTTCTTTTAGGAGGAAGTTTCATTGTAGGAGTGAAAGTGGACCAAAATAGTTTTCTAATTTAATGACTCTAGAATTCTCTATTCTTTGTAACCACAAAATATTAAAACATGCATCCTCACCACATCCCCAGGACTTTCTGAGATCTGTCCCTCTTTTTCCTTCATTTAAAGTTTCATTCCCTTTTTTTTGCCCAAGGTGCCCATTCTGCTTAGTTGAGGCTCTTACTTCCCGTGGTTCCTTCTCAGTGCAGGACTCTCTCCTGCTGTGAGGGAGTTCTCATCAGCTCCACCCAGCCCTCCCTAGAGCCCTGCCCTTGTGCTGCTGTAGTCTCCTGGCAAGTCCTCTCGGAGTTCCACCTGTTTTCACATCTTCACTGAGTTCTTCATTCCGGGAGGCAGGCAGGGGGACTTCCCCTTTGAGATTTTTGGGAGATTTCTGAGTTCTTGGCTCTTGGGCCTTATCTTCTCACTTTCCCTGATAGCACGGGGGTCTCAGTGTGCTCTGAGGTGTTTTGAGGTTTTGTAGGGTACTTTGTCATCTGGTTGTGTGAAAGCTGTTGCCCATGGAGTTTTTTTCCTTTTGGCTTCCTTTTCTAAGACTATGTAAAATACTCAATTTGCAGGTTATTGAAGCAAACCTAGATGGAGAATTGAATTTGAAAATAGAAACTGAATTAGTATGTGTTACAACTCATTTTAAAGATCTTGGAAATCCTCCATTAGGTAAGTTTTCTAGTGGGTTATATTTTGCTTTGGATAAGTTAATTGTTTCAGATAACCTACCTGTTGAGGTCTCTTCATGTAAAAAGGTTGAAATTCAGTTGACTTTGTTTCATGCTTGGGTGAAGAACAAAGGAATTGAGACTGGACTATGTATCCCTGTGGTGTAGTGGGGCAGTTAGCCACCAGGGGGAGAAGCTGTGCCACCAAGTAGCTGACAGATCTGTGCAGGGTCTCCATCCTCTGTAGAATTCGGATCAAGTTACATAACCTCCAAGATCCCTTCCAGCTATTCAATTCCTGTCCTACTCCTAAAGATTTCTATTTCTCACCTGGCATGGATTCAGAAAGGTAGATACATTTGTTCTTATATTCTCCTCCTTCAGTTACTTCCATATGTATGAAATTAGTGTAGCAGATGCAAAACTGTTTCACTTGATCACATTTCTTATCTCATACAAGGTAATAAGGGACGATAGAGTCAGTTCAGCAAGTGGGGAGAGAGGGGACGGTTGGACAGTTTGGTGAGTTATAAGCCAAGAGGGGGTTAGAATCATGGCTGGAAAGTGGCAGCTGCACAGTAGCAGGGGCTGCCTGAGCAGGAAAGCAGGTAAAGGACCAGGGGAGAAACACCTGGGGATGATGAGAAAATCATTTTATGATACATAAGTGTGCCAGAACCAATAAAATCGGCCCTAGTCACATTTAAGTTACTACGAGTCTGCTTGAATATAAACACAGATTTTAGCATAGAGTTGGAAGGAATTTTTACTTTCTAGTTAAGAGCATCCTGCTCCAGCAGAGTGAAATCCATACGGTTATGCCTTTGATAATATTGTGTAAAGCGATTCATTCTGATGTCACTCATTTTGTTTCTTTTAATAAACATAAGGTGGGACTTATCTTTGGTACTTTCTCAGAGGTAGAAAGGATGTTTTCTTTTTTTTTTTAATTCCACTCCAGAATGACAGGCCTTGTATTAGTTAATGTATATATTTTCACTCTTAAAATACATAGTAAGTACAAATAAATAAAATTTTCTTTGACCTGAAGAGGGAGATTGAGTTATATTTCAAGTCCCCTGTAAATAAAGATGCCTTGGAAATTATCATAGTATTTTAAATAGTTAGGACCTAATGCTTAATGAATGACAACATTTACAAGTTGCAATATTTCTTCAGGATGCTAAAATCAGTGCTAAAGTGAATCATTTATTTAAGTAAAATGCATTGAGTATCTCCAGGTTTCCTGTTACGTGGGAAGATGTTGTATTTAAATGCATTCCTATCATTTTAGCCTCTGAAAGCACCCATGAGGACAGAAACGTGGAACACATGGCTGAAGTGCACATAGATATTAGGAAGCTCCTACAGTTTCTTGCTGGACAACAAGTAAATCCCACAAAGGCCTTATGCAGTGAGTGTGCTTCTCTGTTTTGTTTTTCATATTCTTTCATATTCTAAATACTGCAGTCAACTCTAGTCTAACAGATTGCATATAGTCTCATAAATCCAAAAAAAAAAAAAAAAGCTCAATTATGTGGACTTTAACTTCCTAGAACAGTGGGGTTTTTTAAATTTTCCTAGATTCAGAAGTACCTAAGGTGGCAGCAGAGAAACAACCCCTGGGCACTCTGTTAGGGCCTGAAACCTGCAGCCACACTGGTTGGTAGGTGGGTTGTGTGCTGCCTCAGTTGGCCAGCACACCTGGAGATGCCATCGGGAGAATGGGTGCAGATCATCCCACCTTCTCCATGGTCATCTAATTTGACCTGCTCAGAGTGCCAGACACGGTTTGGCTTGGATTTAAGTTTTCCCTTGTGATGTCTTGTTTCCTTTCTGTGGCTATGCTGGCCTGCATTCGCTGCCCCATATCTGTCCCTTGGCTGCTGGTTGTTAACAGTTGCCTCTTGATTCTGGCTGGGCCCCATCTTGTGAGGTCACACACCTGCTCCAGCACTCTTCATCTACTGACCACACATGAGAAAGGCATTACCTGCCAAGAGCTTTTCAAGGCATTTTTGTCACCTTACTACTGAAATCACAGCAACCTAAAAGCGACTGCATCCTGGATTTGAAGTTCCACGTTTTGTAGCATAGCTCCCAGGCTGAGCTGAGAGGGAGGTTGAGCCAACACTGCACCTCATCCCCTTCAGATCTGCAGTGTGCTGTAGAGAAGGAACAGAAGATTCTAGGTGGCAATGTCAAGGACCAGCCCTTTTGAATGAGAGACATGAAGAGAATCAGAAGAGACCATGGGAGGGGCAATGGGTGTTTGGGAATTGGGGAAGGTGTCACACAGTTGGAGTGATGGGCACAGAAGGAGATATCGCCAGAGAAGCAGCTCTGAGGGTAGAGATGGAGAAGCTAGACTAGGCCAGATCATGGGGAGTTTTGGGGTGAGGTACCTGTGCTGCATTTTAAGGAACTTTGACATGGACGATGTCATATTTCTAGGGCTGAGCATAGTGGGAGCTGTGTGGCAGTGCAGGGTCCTTAAAGGTGCTTCTGAGAACCTCGATGTGCATGGAGATCGCCTGAAGGTCATGTAAAGGGACTCCTTATTCATAGTTTGGGCTGGGCCTCATGGCTGCACTTCTCCCAAGCTCCTGTACAATGCCCAGACCCTTGGTCCTGACAAGCACAGTGTGAATGGTGAGAGAGTGAAATACCCCTCCTGTCTGCAGAGTGTGGAAACACAGGGTGTGGGGGGCCCCTGCGCTGCACAACATCAGTCTTTGAACTTGGTATTTTGGGGACTTTCTGAATCCAAGGCTGTTGAGGAACATGGAAGAGTTCTTATCAAAGGTGGTTGACTAAGCCAAGTGTCTTCCCAACATTCACTTTGGTGTCTCCACGTGTAGCAGAGAAAGGAAGACCAGCAAATTGTGATGTAGCAAAAATTTTTTTTAAAACACCGTGGGTTGAACTTCTCATACCTTCTTAACTTCCCAAAGCCCCTTTTCTGTCTCTGTTAGTCTCCTTCAGGTGTCGGCTCAATTGTCCCCTCCTCTAGCTAGGTCCTGCCACCCTCAGTCTCTGCCTCTCCTGTGCCCTTGCACCACCTCTCCTAAAGAATGTTTGTCTCCTGCTTGTCCTTTCTGGTCCTTTCCCCAACCTCCCATCTCCTGGGATTGGCCTCTCTGCAGCCTGCTCACACATGGTTTCTTGTCACTCACTCATATCTGCTGGAGAGCTTTCCTCGGCTGCTGTGCTGCAGCTCCCCGAGCTCTCGGTGGTTGTCACACTGTGTGCTCCTGCCCACCCTCATGTGCTCTTTACTTCCCTGCTTGGTTGCATGCCTGATGCCTTGGATTTTAGCCATCACCCATGGCCCTCACGGGATTGGCAGGACCGTTGAGATGCAGGGATCCATCCCATGTAGCAGTGTGTGACACAGCCTGCCCCAGGTGTTGGGGGATCCTGGCTCTTGGCTCTTCTCAGCACAGTTCCTCCACTCACTGGTGAGGAGCTGCTCTTCGCTGCAGAAGGATGCTCATGTGGGTGAATGTGGTTTGCCAGGAAGCCAGCCTGCTGGGTGTTTTGCCAAGGGCTTGGGCCGCTTCACTTTTCCTCTCCTCGCACAGGGAGCCGCCAGTGCTGGGGCCGTGATGTAGCCTCAGCTGTGGCAGTGAGAGTGAGAGACTGTGGTCTCTGCAGCTGCCTCAGGGAAGACAGATGCCTAAAACAGGAGGTGCAGGCTGGGAAGGCTGTTCTGAAAAAGTAGAGATCAAAATGTGTGTGCTGCACTAGGTCTCTAAAATCATGGCTTTTCTCTTCCCAGATATTGTGAATAACAAGATGGTGCATTTTGATCTGCTTCATGAAGACGTGTCCCTTCAGTATTTCATCCCTGCGCTGTCCTAGCACCCTGTCGCTGGAGTTGGCATGCAGAGACTTTGTCAGGATGGGAGAGGCCGCAGGTGTTGTGTTCTGATCACTGGTCTGTGCCCTCACAGCACCGCACATCGACACACTGTACTTATTTGTCCCTCTCTAACATTTTAACTAAAAGTTGATTCAACAACACACAGTTGGATAAACATATCACTTCATGTTGCTCATGTCTGTTTTGCTTTGTTTTTAAGACACTGAAAAGAAAAGCTAGAATTTATTTATTCAGACTTTAAAGAACAATTTCTCATTGATGTTGTGAAAATCGTCATGTATTTAGACTTGGTGTAGTAGCCAGAATTCGTAAAGCTGTTGCCTGGGAGCTTGGTACTTTCCCTCCAGGCAGAGGCTCTAGCTCAGCACGGCCTGTAGCGCACAGTCAGTCTTGCATTTCAGTGTGTTCACCCCGCTGCTCCTGCCCCTTGGAGCCCAGTGACAGAAAGAACAGCCTCTGTCACCCCGCCGCCACTGCCTTGGTTACTCAGAGCACTGTGGGGTGTCACAGCTGCAGCATTTGGAGTCTCTCTCTTGCTGAGGACTCAAGCCCACCTGAGTCCACTCCCCTCTTGATGCCTAGAGAGCTGGCCCAGCCAACACAGCTCTTAGCTGGGAGCTCCTTCTGCCATTCCAACTAGTTTCTTCCTGGGGCCAGTTTTGGGTTTAGGTTGTAATTCCTTATATTTCTTTCTTCCACAGTGTATCGGATCTGTCGTTCTGGAAAGAAGACCCTTCTATTTAGAGTAGAAACAAACGAAACTTCTAAGGTATCATCTGTGTTAAGTGATGAGACCATATTTCTTTGATGTTTCTGAACATCAAAGCTGATTCAGTACTGGTAGATGTGCTCATTCTCCCTGAAACATACCCATCATATTTCCTATTATAATTACATCTCATTGTCCTGTGGAGGTGGACATGATAAACATTATCTTTTGTTTTCTTGTTTTGTTTTGTTTGAGACGGTCTCATTCTGTCACCCAGACTGGAGTGCAGTGCCACAATCATGGCTCACCGCATTGACCTCCTTGGCTCAAGGCATCCTCCCACCTCAGCTTCCTGACTAGCTGGGACTACTGGTGTGCACCACCACACCCAGCTAATTTTCAATTTTTCATAGAGACAGGGTCTCACTGTGTTGTCCAGGCTGGTCTTGAACTCCTGGGCTCAAGCCACCCGCCCACCTGGGCCTCCCAAAGTGCTGGGATTACAGGCATCAGCCATCACACCCATCCATAAACATTATATTAATGTCACATTACAAAACTGAGACCTAAGTTGCTTAGGATAAAATGAAATTGGAAGACTAGCTAACATGAAAATTTATATTTTGGCTTTTTCATGTTTTTTGATAAAACCAGTGTATTTGAATGATTCTTTTGATGTTTAGTAATGGTTTTTTGTTTGTTTTTTGGTTTTTTTTTTTGAGACGGAGTCTCACTCTGTCGCCAGTCTGGAGTGCTAGTGGCGCGATCTTGGCTTACTGCAGCCTCCACTTCCCAAGTTCAAGCGATTCTCCTGCCTCAGCCTCCCGAGTAGCTGGGACTACAGGCGCATGCCACCACGCCCGGCTAATTTTTGTATTTTTAGTAGAGACGGAGTTTCACTGTGTTGGCCAGGATGGTCTCGATCTCGACCTCGTGATCACCCACCTTGGCCTCTCAAAGTGCTGGGATTACAGGCGTGAGCCACCACGCCTGGCCTATGTTTAATAATGTTGAAATAGGATGGAATATTTTGTTAAATTAACATTTTAAAATTAGAAGACACCGTTTTAATTTTTAAACCCTTCCTCCTCTCATTGTAACGAAATTAATTCCAGCTGCAGTGAGAAAACTTAAAAATCATGATACAAAATGAAACAATATCTGAAAGTAGTTTTATAAAACTGAAATTGCTGTTAAAGAGAATGTGTTAGTGACTTAACCATTTGCTCTATGTGATGTTTATTATCAAATACATATAATTTTGAAGATTTTAATGAATGGCTTAAGATTTTATCTTTGTGTAGAATGTGGCTAAAGAAACCTTAGTTGAGATTCAAGAAGTTGGTGTCTGTTTCTGATTCTTATCACAACTTGCTACTTAGTGTCTACCAAGTCCTCCACCTCTTTGCTCCTCAAAGAGCTGTGAAAAATGATGGCAGGAGCCGGTACAACACCACAGACTTAGAGAAGGGCACAGTGCTGCTTTATTGAATGATCTACCAAGGTAAAATTTTGCCGGGTCAAGAAATAGCAATTTAATCCATTTAAAGGAATGAATATAATTTGAAACATTAACTTATTTCAAGACTAACATCTCAAAGTGTTGAGACCTTTTTTAAAAGAGCTTTCTGGATTTTGAGCATACTTTCACTGGCTGTGATTTATAAGAATTTGTGGTTTGTGGAGTACTGTCCTAAATGCCAGGGTAAAATAAGGCAGTCCCATGCCTTACCTGCCCTGGGCTCAGGGCCTCACATCCTTTTGGTACGCACATCTTTTCTCTTCTCCCTTGTTCTGCTCTCCCGCAGCATATACCTCCTAGCCCCAGGCAATTACTTGTCTAATATCTATCTCTATATATTTGCCTATTCTGGCTTTTAGCTTTTTTTTTTTTTTTCCTGAGGGAGACAGGGTCTGGCTTTGTCCCCCATGCTGGAGTGCAGTGGTACAGTCATGGCTCACTGCAGTCTCAAACTCCTGGGCTTAAGCAGTCCTCCTGCCTCACCCTCCCAAGTAGCTGGAACTACAGGTGTGTGCCACTGCGCCCAGCTAATTTTTATATTGTTTTGTAGATATGAGGTTTTGTACGTTGCCCAGGACTCCTGGGCTTAAGCAGTCTGCCCGCCTCAGCCTCCCAAAGTGCTTGGATCACAGCTGTGAGCCACCACACCCAGCAATTCTTTTTATCCAAGAATTTTATCACCTGAGTTTTGAGGTCATTCTGTGCCATATCAGAGACACTTAAGAATTTCCCATTCCAGTTGCTCCTGGCTAGCATCCAAGTGGCCCTGCCATCCTCCTCCAGCCCTTCCTTGGCCCAGCAGGGAACTGCTTGGCCATCAGGTCTGTAGGCTGAGTTTATAGTGAGGTACTGTGCCTGGTGTGAAGGAGCCCACTCTTGGGGACCTAGAATGTGGCCTCAACAGTAGTCCTGGGGTTGGGATTCTGGTTCAGCCACTAGGCAAAGGTATTTAATGACATTCATGTTCTTAGTGTATGTTGCCAATTTAGCAAAGCATCCATCGTTTTGAAGAAATAACAATTCAGAACTTTTTAAAACAGCTGTATTGAGATATAATTCACATATCACACAATTCAACCATTTAAAATAGACTGTCTAGTGGTTTTTAGTATGTTCTCAGAGTTGTACAACCATCACCACTATCAATTTTAGAACATTTTCATCACCCAGTAAAGAAACTTCTTAACCATAAGTAATCATTTTTCATTTTTCTCTTCTCCCTTATTCTGCTCTCCCCCACCATATACCTCCTGGCCCCAGGCAATTACTTGTCTAATATCTGTCTCTATATATTTGCCTATTCTGGTTTTTAGCTCTTTTTTTTTTCTTGGGGGAGACAGGGTCTGGCTCTGTGCCCCAGGCTGGAGTGTAGTAGTACAATTATGGCTCACTGCAGTCTCAAACTCCTGGGCTCAACCAATCCTCCTGCCTCACCCTCTCAAGTAGCTGGAACCACAGGTGTGTGCCACTGCGCCCAACTAATTTTTGTATTTTTTGTAGAGATGAGGTTTTGCCACATTGCCCAGGCTGGTCTCAAACTCCTGGGCTCAAGAAATCTGCCTGCCTCGGCCTCCCAAAGTGCTAGGAGCACAGGCATGAGCCACCACACCCAGCAGTTCTTTTTATCTAACTGTAACTATATATCGTTGACCAGGATCTGCCTTCCCCGCTGCCCCCAAACACTTAAGCATCTGGTAACCACCATTCTACTATCTCCTATGAGATTTGCTTTTATAGATTCTAAATATAAGTGAGATCGTGTACTGTCTGTACCCGGCTTATTTCACTTAACATAATATTCTCCAGGGGTTCATCCATGTGGTTGCAAATGACAAGATTTTGTTCTTTTTTATTGCTGAATAGTACTCCATTGTGTATATGTCCATTTTGCTTATCCATTCATCTCTTGATGGTCACTTAGGTTGCTTCCATAACTTGGCTATAATGAATAATGCTACAGTGAACGTGGGAGTGCAAGATGCCTTTTTGATGTACTGATTTCATTTCCTTTGGGTAAATACCCAGTAGTGGGATTGCTGGATCATATGCTAGTTCTATTTTTAATATTTTGAAGAACCTCCATACTGTTTGCCTTAATGGGGATACTAATTTACATTTCCTCCAATAGCATACAAAAGCTTTTTTTTTCTCCGCATCCTTGCCAACACTTACCTTCTGTCTTTTTTTTTTTTTTTCCAAGAAAGGCCCAAACAAAGCTAATCTTTTGTCTTTTTGGTAATGGCCATTTTAACTGGTATGAGGTGACTGAGGTGATATTTCATTGTGATTTTGATTTTCATTTTCTTAATGATTAGTGATGTTGAACATTTTTTCATATACCTGTTGGCCATTTGCTTGTCTTCTTTTGAGAAGTCTATTCAGGTCTTTTGACCATGTTTTTTTTTTTTTTAATTAGAAAAATTATTTATTTCTGCTCCTTTCATACATCTTATTGTTCAGGAAACAGTCTTACATACATATCTGAAATAATCTACCGTCACACACTCTAGTTAAAGGCAAAGCACCATAGGTAAACCTGATCAGCTGTCCAGAGTTCTGAGCTTATGGAATCTTGCTTCTTGATTTTACGTTAATTTCTGAAAACAGAAACGCCATCTCCAAAAGGTGTTAAGGGGGTTGTAAAAAATAATCACTTTATTTGATATTACAGCTGTAAATATGGAGCTCTTTTTTTTTCTTTTTTACAGTTTTTTTTTTTTTTTTTAATTTTTTTTTATTGATCATTCTTGGGTGTTTCTCACAGAGGGGGATTTGGCAGGGTCATAGGACAATAGTGGAGGGAGGGTCAGCAGATAAACAAGTGAACAAAGGTCTCTGGTTTTCCTATGCAGAGGACCCTGCGGCCTTCCGCAGTGTTTGTGTCCCTGGGTACTTGAGATTAGGGAGTGGTGATGACTCTTAACGAGCATGCTGCCTTCAAGCATCTGTTTAACAAAGCACATCTTGCACCACCCTTAATCCATTTAACCCTGAGTGGACACAGCACATGTTTCAGAGAGCACAGGGTTGGGGATAGGGTCACTGATCAACAGGATCACAAGGCAGAATAATTTTTCTTAGTACAGAACAAAATGAAAAGTCTCCCGTGTCCACCTCTTTCTACACAGACATGGCAACCATCCGATTTCTCAATCCTTTCCCCGCCTTTCCCCCCTTTCTATTCCACAAAACCGCCATTGTCATCATGGCCCGTTCTCAATGAGCTGTTGGGTACACCTCCCAGACGGGGTGGTGGCTGGGCAGAGGGGCTCCTCACTTCCCAGTAGGGGCGGCCGGGCAGAGGCGCCCCTCACCTCCCGGACGGGGCGGCTGGCCGGGCGGGGGGCTGACCCCTCCACCTCCCTCCCGGACGGGGCGGCTGGCTGGGCGGGGGGCTGACCCCCCCACCTCCCTCCCGGACGGGGCGGCTGGCCTGGCGGGGGCTGACCCCCACCTCCCTCCCGGATGGGGTGGCTGCCGGGCGGAGGGGCTCCTCACTTCTCATATGGGGCAGTTGCCAGGCGGAGGGTCTCCTCACTTCTCAGACGGGGCGGCTGGGCAGAGACGCTCCTCACCTCCCAGACGGGGTCGCGGCCGGGTAGAGGCGCTCCTCACATCCCAGACGGGGCGGCGGGGCAGAGGCGCTCCCCACATCTCAGACGATGGGCGGCCGGGCAGAGACGCTCCTCACTTCCTAGATGGGATGGCGGCCGGGAAGAGGCGCTCCTCACTTCCTAGATGGGATGGCGGCCGGGCAGAGACGCTCCTCACTTTCCAGACTGGGTAGCCAGGCAGAGGGGCTCCTCACATCCCAGACGATGGGCGGCCAGGCAGAGACGCTCCTCACTTCCCAGACGGGGTGGCGGCCGGGCAGAGGCTGCAATCTTGGCACTTTGGGAGGCCAAGGCAGGCGGCTGGGAGGTGGAGGTTGTAGCGAGCCGAGATCACGCCACTGCACTCCAGCCTGGGCACCATTGAGCACTGAGTGAACCAGACTCCATCTGCAATCCCGGCACCTCGGGAGGCCGAGGCTGGCGGATCACTCGCAGTTAGGAGCTGGAGACCAGCCCGGCCAACACAGCGAAACCCCGTCTCCACCAAAAAAATACGAAAACCAGTCAGGCATGGTGGCGCGCGCCTGCAATCGCAGGCACTCGGCAGGCTGAGGCAGGAGAATCAGGCAGGGAGGCTGCAGTGAGCCGAGATGGCAGCAGTACAGTCCAGCTTCGGCTCGGCATCAGTGGGAGACCGTGGAAAGAGAGGGAGAGGGAGACCGTGGGGAGAGGGAGACCGTGGGGAGAGGGAGAGGGAGAGGGAGAGGGCTTTTGACCATTTTTAAACAGGGTTATTTGTTTTCTTACTATTAAGTTGAGTTCCTTTTATATTTTAGATATTAAACCTTTGTTGGATGTATACTTTGCAAATATAATATTTTCTCCCATTCTATAGGTTGTCGCTTCACTATCGGTTGTTTCCTTTGCTGTGCAGAAGCTTTTTAGTTTGATGTAGTTTGATTTGCCCATTGTTTGCTTTTGTTGCCTGTGCTTTTGAAGTCTTGTTCATAAACTTCTTGCCCATATAAATGTAATGAAGCATTTCTCCTGTGTTTCCTCTAGCAGTTTCATAGTTTCAGGTCTTAAATCTATGTCTTTAATTCATCTTGAGTTGATTTGTGTATATGGTGGGAGATAAGGGTTTAATTCATTCTTCTGCATGTGGATTTTCAGTTTTCCCAGCATCGTTTATTGAAAGACTGTACTTTCTTTTCAATAAATGTGTGTTCTTGGTGCCTTTGTTGAATATCAGTTGGCTGTAAATGTGTGGATTTATTCCTGGGTTCTCTGTTCCATTGATCTATCTGTTTTTATACCAGTACCATGCTGTTTTTATAACTTTAGTTTTATGGCATATTTTGAAGTCAGGTATTATGATGCCTCCAGCTTTGTTCTTTTTGCTCAAGATTGCTTTGGCTATTCAAGGTCTTTTGTGGTTACATACGAATTTTAGGATTTTTTTTTCTATCTGTGAAGAATGTCATTGGTATTTTGATAGGAATTGCACTGAATCTGCAGATTGCTTTGGACGGTATGAACATTTAAGAAATAATTCTTTCAATCCATGAACACAGGATAACTTTCCATTTATTTGTGTCTTCAGTTTCTTTCATCAGTGTTTTATAGTTTTCATCCTAGAGATTTTTCACCATGGTTAAGTTTATTTCTAGATATATATATATATATTTTTTTTTAATTGTATTGTAAATGGGATTTTCTTGATTTCTTTTTCATATAGTTCACCATTAATGTATAGAAATGATACTGGTTTATGGCTGTAATCCCAGCACTTTGGGAGGCCAAGGCAGGTGAGTTGCTTGAGCTCGCGAGTTTGCCACCAGCCTGAGCAACATGGCAAAACCCTTTCTCTACAAAAAATACAAAAGTTAGCCAGGTGTGGTGGTCCCAACTACTTGGGAGGCTGAGGTGGGAGGATTGGTTGAGCCCAGGGAGTTGAGGCTGCAGTGAGCTGTGATTGCAACACTGCACTTCAGCGTGGGCAACAGAGTGAGATCTTGTCTCAAAAAAAAGAAATAATACTAGTTTTTGTTTGTAGATTTTGTATCCTGAAACTTTACTGAATGTTTTTTAGTTCGAACAGTTTTTTTGGTGGAGTCTTTAGGATTTTCTCTACTTATGATCGTGTCATCTGTAAACAGAGACAGTTAACTTCCTCCTTTCCGATTTAGATGCCTTTTCTTTCTCTTGCCTAATTGCCTAATTACAGCATGTTCCTATTCTGTAAATGTTCAATGAACTAGAGAATGATTCTTGGGTAGTTAATATTGTCAATGTTGATGAACTCTTTTCCTTCGCTGAAAGCAGCTACTTTGTTGGAGGTTTCAATTCTGCGTGGCAATTTGCAGCATTTCTAGTGGTACTGCTCCACATTTTACAGCTTTATGAAGAAGGTGTTTACTTTTTTTGAAATTACCTTGAGACATTTCAAACTGTGCAGAAGATATATGCACAAAAGCAAATGTCTTGCAGTTTGCTATAGCCACTTATACATCATCTGGCTCTTGAATAGCTTTAATTCAGCTGTTGAATCTCACTTGAATTTGAGCAAAACCTTCATCTTTATATGTATCTGGACAAATTACTTCAATTGCTTGACAGTAATGACCAATCAATTTATTTAAAATAGTATCATTTAGTAGGACAGTGTTTTTCTCTGGTTTGAGCAACGAATTCAACCAGTCCTCTGGGTTGATCATCATCATCATCATCATTTGGTTATCAGTTCCTGAGTTATTTTTACCAGGGAGTTTTATACCTTTAGACAGCTATTTTGAATTATCTCAGGAATGTCATATATCTCTGCCTCTTTAGAGTCAGTCACTGGCACTTTGTCTGTTTGGTGACATCATGTTTCCCTGACTGTTCTTCATCTTTGTAGTTATACATTGATATCTGTGCATTGAATATGTAGGTATTTATAAACAGTCTTTGCAATCTGGCTTTGTCTGTGATTGTCCTTGTATAGTAGGTCTGTCCAGAAATTGTAAGCATACTGTCTTTTTTGGTCTTTAAGCCCGTGAACGCTACAGCCCGTGTAGTGCCAAATGGTGCCCTAAGCCCAGGTTCCCTGCAGTCCACTCTGTGATTTGTTTGTTGACTGCTGTGAGCCCCACCCCCATTCTTTGTTTCTAATTTACACCTAGCAGGCTAACCCTGCTGGCACCTGCAGTGCTTCCAGGGGGAAAGGACCATAGTGTGCCCCTGTGAAGAGTCTCAGAATGGTGCGGAAGGTGAATGCCCACCTCCCGCTCTCTTTTCCCACTGTAGAAACTGATTCCAGAGAAATTCTCCAAGTGCGGTGCTATGTGGGCTTGCGGGAGAGGTGTTATGATCAAACAGAACCATTCTCTTTACCCTCTGTTCATGGTTTTTCTTGGCTCTGTGGTCCAGTGAGTTGTCACAGCTTCACTCCCAATTTCTGGGATATTCAGGGCAATAATCTTGCCACTGGGTATTTGCTAGTTGAAATTATGTGGTAGGGAGAGAAGCCAGTAAGCTTCACTTCTCCGTTTGGCTGATGTCACTCTCGAATTCTGTACTTTCATACGGATTGTAATAGGGAGGGTCTAAAAGGAAGCTTCAGTTTTGGATTTTTAGAGCTTCTTCTAAGTACAATTGTTGAATCAAGAGGTAAAAATGGTATGTTATAACTGGAAATACGCTGAGATTAAAAAGGAGATAAATTAGCCCCATTGGGACAGTGCTATTGGGAATGTGAATTGATACCACTTTCCTGGAGTCTAGTTTAGTATTTATTTTATATGTAATGCCTGAAAAGATGTGTGTCTCCTTTGACTCAATACTTATAGGAATTTACACAAAGGTTATAATCAAAGATTATAGAACTGTTATACTGGAAAAACACGAAATATTCTAATTATGAATTAATTGGGGATTGGTTAAATAAACTATGGTTTGATATGCTCTAAAAATAATGTTACAGAAAAAAGTGTACTGATATGGCAAAATGTATGACTTATAGTTAAAAAAGCAGGTTAGATGTTGATAGATACAGTATGATAGAAAAAGATCAGGAAGGTATATGCTGACATTTAAATCTGGATATTTATGAGTGTTTTTTTTATTTCAATCTTTGTACATGCATGTATTTTCTAGAAATTGTATTACTATCTTTGTAATAAAGTAAATTATTTTTAAGGGACTAAATAATAAATATTTGTTACTTGAGTGCCTTACACATTCACTCGGCAATTACAGTTTCCCGAACATTGGACTTCAGACTCTTTTCACAGCACATCCTTATTTTCATAAATAGAAAATTAAACTTTTTATTTGTCATTTTGATGTTATGCCAGGTTTAGAATACTGGAGTCTCGATCAATAAGGTGGCACCACATTGCAGAATCATCTCTTTTTACCATGGGCCCAACATGGATGAGGATCAATCAGTGTCTGTAACAGTCTTTGCAGTGAGGGCAGAGTGACCAGTTATTAAGTTGTAGGCTAAAAGATCCTGGGAGAGACCAGCCACGCACAGGACTTCACAAATCACTGGACAGTAAGGAAGATGACCCTGTGGGTAGCACGAGAAAATGTAGCCGCCTTCCTGGAATCTAGTTCCTATTCGCCTGTAGCACCAAATGAACCAATCTTACAACCATAACCAGCATATGTAGCTTGGAAAGATGCTGAATTCCACACCCTAAGATCTGGGAATGGATTTTGGCTCTTTCCAGCGTCCTAGTCTGGGGCAAGTCATTCAGCCTCTTGAGACAGTTTCTCTAACAGTGACTAAACATGCTGACCACCTGTGGTGGTTGGAATAAGAGAAAATAGCATTACTCATTGGCAGGTTTCTAAATTGGGAAGCGTAAAATGTGAGCATTTATAAGCGGTCTTAGTCTGTGTTGTGTGGCTATAGCTGATTCCCACAGACTGAGTCATTTATAAAGAAAAGAGTAATTACAGTTTTAGGGGCTGGGGTGTCCAAAGTAAGGTAAGGGGATGCATCTGGTGAAGGCCTCCTTGCTGTATTGTCCCCTGGCAGAAGGGCACAAGGCAGAAGTGGGTGCAGGAGACAGAAAGGAGGCAAGAGGGGCAGACCATCTTTGATAACAACTCATTCTCCTGGTAACAGCATTAAGCCATCATGAGAGCAGAGTCCTTGTGACTTCATCACTTCTCATCAGGCTCTGCCTCCCAACACCACTGCAGAGGACCAAGCTTCTAACTTATGAATTTAGGGGACACACTTAAACCATAACATAAGCCTTACCAAACAAAACAAGCAAAAATTGGCTTTTTTCTCAGTGAAAATACGCTGCTAACCAGAGGCTGCCAGTTCACGGCAGCACACAGTGCAGACTGGGTGACTTCCATGGCTCTTCCGAGGCTCATAGAGGTTTGGTTGGCGTGTCTTAGCGCACCATGACATCATCCAGTGACCTTAGGGCTCAAACCTTGTGACCAGACAGCCCTGTGTTTCTAACCTCAAGCTATTTAAAAATTTAAAGGAGGCTACATATATACACTAACCACTTTTTACCATACTAGTTTCAATTTAAAATTATCTTTTTGGTTATCTTCCTTGCTGAGAGAAAATTCTAGTGAAGCCTTCTGGGGGAGGATCCTCCCCTTACAGGGGAAGAAAAACATGACCAGACAGAAGTGAGAACCAGAACAGAGTGGAGGGCATCTACCTTGTGTTTTTGTCTTTTCTCTGTTCACTTCTTTCACTGTTTGCAAATAAACCCTGCCAAGGAGGCAGAGCACATAAGGGGCCCTCGTGAGGGAAGTGCTTGATGGGATGCTGGACTTCCTCATTAACACTTCACCTAGTTCAAATTTGGCCTTCCCACAGCAGCTCCTACCTGGGGCTTTACCAGTTTTTGGAGCATGCAGTCTTAAATCTAGAAAGAAATGCCCAGTGTGATTCTTAGATGTTTGGTGGCTTAACCTGTCCCAAATGACAGGTGGGCCTCCCTTCACACTGGACAGGTCTGAAATAACCAAGAGAAACAGTGGTGCTCCAACTCAGCTCCATGGGGAAGCTGAGAGGGACCATGGGACTTGTCCTGGGTCTGCCTTGGCATGTACCATCATACGATCTGGGCTCACATAAGTAGCAGTCCTTTCCTAAGAGGATTCTATTCATACTTCATGAAATACCAGTTGTCTATATCAAATAATCAGTGTGGAGAAACCACTCCAGACGAAAGGACACCTTGATGGAAACAAGGTGGGCAGGTGAGGGTGAGGAAGCTGAGATGATACGGATAATTGTATACTACTCAAAATAAGTGCTTGAGGGCCTAAAACATTACCCCATGTAATACATGTGTTATGCTTTTCTTAACAATTGCATTGGAACAAGATAAATGCAGAGGTGGTTATGGCAATTCCCTATTTGTAATGTACTTTTGAGACAGAAAAATCAAAGTGATCACCAAACTGTAGTGCTGAAAGATGATTCCTACTGTGATCATCGCATTCCTTCAGTGGAATTGCTGCATGTGACTTTGCAGAGAGAACAGTTAGGGTATGGTTATGTTCCCCTACACTCCAAGTGGCCAAAGGACCCAAGGCATTTGGGGGCAGCCTATCAAGGTATTTAAATATCAAGCCATGATATTTAATTTTATTTTGAAGCCAATGGAAAGCACGGAAAACTACAGAAGAGAGAGGTGCCATTTATAATTCAAATTATTGAGGATTTTATATAAGACAGAGTACCTACTTTTAGTCCCAGGTATAGCAAATTTGTCTTTTCTAACTTGACAATGGCTTTAAAAGTGTACCATGATGCCCTTCCACTGCAAATTACAGGGCACTCAGCTATTTTTCACAAAATCATGATACTTCAATAACTATGTTGTTTTTCTTTAGTGGAGCTACTATTGAGCCTCACAGATGATTGACACATATTTCCCTGCAAATTAACATCACTTAGGACATACTTATCTCAGAGAAAACGGCCCAGAAGCATATTGGGGTGAAGGGAGGCTAAGGCCCCAGAGCTCTTCTGGGCATGAGATTTCTTTCTCAGGGGGTGCTTATGATTGGCTGCTTGTCCCAAGATGCTAATGGAGGCAGGGAAGGCTCACTGCTCCAGCCCATGGGGCGGAGCAAGGCCAGTCCCTGTTGCTTCGGGTTCCATTTATGGGCTTTCTACCTGTGCTCACTTCCCCAAAGCCACCCCTGATTTGAATGCTGATCAGCAGCCCCATTGGAGCAGCCTGCTTGCAAATGGGGTGGAGGGGGCTGATCGCAGCCTTGCCCCTGCTCTCCTTGGTGCAGCCTGCTCTGGGAACCAGCTCAAAGGATGGTAAGTTTGACATTCTACCAAGATCTTATCAATTTTTCTTTCTTTTCACCACAACTAATTACAAAAATTTGCCCAAGCACTGTGTTTGTCTCCGTGAGTGTGATGGGACCCAGAGCGTGGGCTGGGAGTGGGGATAGGGTGTTAATTAAAAAAAGATGTAGAATATCTAAAGGTAAATGAGTAGAGGTCCACAAGCTGCCTCAAGGAACAGAATGGAAATGACAGTGACTGGCAGTCTTGCTAGGAAGGGACATGTCAGCATGTGCTACTGCTCATCCAAAGAGAAGAAGGTCAAGTGATGCTGGTGGGCCAGGTGCTTTCCCGGGAAGCTCCATTTGGAGGTGAGAAACTGAAGCAGGCAGAAGATGAGATGATAATGATCAGAACCTGGGCTTGCATTGAAACCTGAGAAACGAAGTTGGTTGCTCATGATAACCATCATTCTAGTGTTATTTTTCCTTGTATATTTTATGTATACACTTGCCTGAGTTGCAAATGTAATATTTCCCCAAATCTGAAACTTAGTATCATTAAATGCCATCTATTACATCTTCAAGTATGAAAACCCATGTGAGAACAATTGCTGAAGTTTCCATCTGAGGAGGAACCCTGTGCTGTGTAAACTGCAGCTCTGTGCCTTTTTACACTGTGAACTGTGTAAACACCTGTGTTTGCTTTTCTACTTTGACTACTGAAAGTCTTCAGGCAGTGCTACCTACTTTCAGGTATTCATTCTGAACTATGTGCATACTAAACACCTTAAGTCTGTGGAGTAAGGCAGGGGTTGACTAAGTGAACTATTACCTAAGAAGCAGTTTTAGAAACTAAGTATTAAATCTGAAATACAGAATGTGGCTTAAAAACAAATTCTAAGGAGGTGGCTTTTGTTTAAAACAATGAAGACAAAGGGAAAGACCTCCCAGGATCTCTTCCAGCCAGGGGGTTCCGTCCTTGCACATTGATTTCATGCAAAGAAATGATTTTTCTTGTGTTTTTTCCTCCTTTCAGCAAGGTCATAAGGAGAGTCAAAATCCTGATCGAGTCTTTGTTTCTAAATGAGGAGCTTAGATAGTGATTTCTTAAAATGGGCCATATTTGGAAGCCATTTACCTAATTTTATTCAGAATATTTTTACTTAAAGCAGTTTTCAAAACTCGACGTTTTCCAGTTTGCTTGGCTGCATCCACGTCTCACCTTAAGCAGCACACCCCTCCGTCCTCGGGAGGGAAGCAGTGAGTTTGGTTCTGTGTTGTGCTCCCTGTTGTACCAGTGCAGTGCTCGGCAAACCCCAGGTGGAGGAGTATGGCCCAAGAATGTAGATGAACTGGGAACCCCTCCCTTGTCTGGATGCAGCTGCTCTGAGGAAACAATGCTGGCCGCACTGCCCGGAAAAAGGCGAGGCTGCCCAGCCCAGCGCTGGCCCCGAGGGTGTTCTGCAATGATGGAAACATTGTATAGTTTGTATCTTGGCTACTGAGCCCTTGAAATATGGCTAATGATGGAGAAGCTAAAGCTAATTCTTTTTTTTTTTTTGAGACAAGAGTTTCGCTCATTGCCCAGGCTGGAGTGCAATGGCACGAAGTTGGCTCACCACAACCTCTGCCTCCCCGGTTCAAGCGATTCTCCTGCCTCAGCCTCCTGGATAGCTGGGATTACAGGCGTGCATCACCACACCTGGCTAATTTTTTTGTATTTTTAGTAGAGACGGGGTTTCTCCAGCTAATTCTTAATTCTATTTAATTGTAAGTAACTTAAGCTCCAGTAGCTGAGAGTGGCTATGAGAGTGGCTATGAGAGTGCCTCCCACGTAGGGCAGTGCAGGCATATTTCTTCCCTCAATTATGTCACTTTCTTTGCTCCTCCTCATTTCCTGGCATCTTTGGTTAGCACTGCTGGCTTCAAAAACATCACAAACTTTAAATGTAGGCCCTGTTCTCAGGATGTCCAGCCCCACAAGGAAGGAACAGGCAGCAGCAAGGTCAGAGCATCCAGGTGTGCGTGTGGGTATGGATGCCAGCCCAGCAGGCAGGGTTGCACAGGTGTCTTTACCCAGTGGACTCTGTTTAGATTTGACAGGAAGGTGTCAGAGCAAATCACAGGGGCTTCAGAAAGAAGGGATTTTGTTCGTTTACAAACTGCAGTTTGCAGTTTATCCTTTTCTTGGTCACAGGCGCATTTGAAAGTGTATTGCTAATGAAATTGGAAAGTATGCATTTCCCCCAAATCTGAGATTTACTCACAACAAGCACAGTGGGGACAAAGCCAGAGGCACTGACAAGGCAGTGTGAGAAGAGCAGAGGTGGCAGCAGGCCCCAGGAGACAGGTGTGTTAGGTCAACAGCAGGCCCCTTAACCCACCACAGGGCTCTGGTTACTCACCTCATTGGCAGCAAAGTTCCAGAAAACACAGGATCCAAGGCCGGACACCCGTAGCTTGGTTCATCATTGTTCAAGGGGTCTGTGTTCCCATCTGAGAAAGAGCTTGTGCCTGAAAACGTTCCCACTCTTCTTGGTATCACTCTCTTCAGAGTGGAGAGAAAAAATATCTAGTGTTCTGAGTAAAACATTAAGTTTTCTAAAATCTCTGAAGGTTTAAATGTTGGTATAAAGAACTAAGACAACTAACAAGTGCTTTAAAAATATAAGAGAAAATGTTTCGTAATGGAGAGAACTCAGTCTGACCCGCCAGTTGCAAACAAGGAGAGGTGCAGGAGGTTCGGAACCAGATCATTCCTAGGTTCTGCCGTAAGACAGAGTGCGCCTAGTGTGTGCCTTGCCAGCCTTCCTTAGGAATGCTCTTCTGCTCTTGTGGAAGGTATCCTGTTCCCCAGTGCAGTTGTGGACAGTTACAGCTTTTTTTTTTTTTTTTTTTTTTTGAGACAGAGCCTCGCTCTGTTGCCCAGGCTGGAGTGTGGTGGCACGATCTCGGCTCACTGCAACCTCCGCCTCTCGGTTTCGAGCAATTCTCCTGCCTCAGCCTCCCGAGTAGCTGGGACTACAGGTGCGTGCCACCATGCCTGGCTAATTTTTGTATTTTTAGTAGAGACGGGGTTTCACTATGCTGGCCAGGCTGGTCTCGAGCTCCTGACCTCGTGATCCGCCCACCTCGACCTCCCAAAGTGTTGGGATTATAGGCGTGAGCCACCGCGCCCAGCCAACAGTTACAGCTTTTTATTCTCAGACTTCTCTCAGCTTCCATGTACAGTCTCTCCCTTGAGTAGTGATCTGTTTCAGGCAGCCACAAAGATCCCTACCTAAAACACACTTTTGTTTTGTTTTGTTTTGTTTCATTTTGTTTTTGAGGCAGAGTCTCACTCTATTGCACAGTGGTGCAATCTCGTCTCACTGCAACCTCCACCTCCTAGGTTCAAGCAATTCTCTCGCCTGAGCCTCCTGGGTAACTGGGATTACAGATGTGTGCCACCACACTTGGCTATTTTTGTATTTTTAGTAGAGACGGGGTTTCACCATATTGGCCAGGCTGGTCTCAAACTTCTGGCCTCAAGTGATCCACCCACCTTGGCCTCCCAAATTGCTGGGATTACAGACATGAGCCACCACGTCTGTCAAAAGCACACTTCTTAGGAAGGAATTTGTCTGACAGTGTTAGGAAAACAAAAGCTGTTTCTGCTTGGGAAAATGTTACTGGAGTTTGGATTTTTCCCTCTGTGTTTGATGTGTGTCCTGATAAGAGGTCACAAGTACAGAAGCTGGAAGCATTAAGCTCTATTTCTTTGTCTTCCAGAGGATGTAGGAAGAAGCTGGTCTGCTGACTGTCATACTTGTGACCAGCTTGCACAGGACATGGCCGAGGAGGCAGCCCAGAACATTTCTGATGACCAGGAAAGGTGAGTTATCACTGTTCTCAGAGGGTTTGGTAAGCTTGATTTTAAAGTATGCATTCAGAAATTTTCTTTCAAAAGTCATCACCTCTAGGATGTGGGCTCACTCTGGCACGAGTGGAGGCCCTGTACCAGGAGGGTGCATTTGGCCGGCGGGGTCAGTTCAGAGGTTGGAGTTGGTGTTGAGAATGGAGTTTTTTCCTGAAGGCTTTTGAGAAGACTCCTCCAAGCGGATGCCTTCAGCCATGAGAAGTGCTGATTGCTCTTCCTGCAAATGCAGGATACCTTCCAAGTTCGAGGACTTTCTGCTGCCTGGTAGTAGACAAAGTTAAGCTATCTGCTTGTCTGCTAGGTCCCTTGCATGGAGACCAGGAGAAACCTGGCACAGGAAGAGATCATGGGGTCTTGGCCCAGGGGTCTTATTTCTTTTTTTTTGAGACGGAGTCTCTCTCTGTTGCCCAGGCTCGAGTGCAGAGGTGCGATCTTGGCTCACTGCAAGCTCTGCCTCCTGGGTTCATGCCATTTATCCTGCCTCAGCCTCCCAAGTAGCTGGGACCACAGGCGCCCACCACCACGCCCGACTAATTTTTTGTATTTTTAGTAGAGACGGGGTTTCACTGTGTTAGCCAGGATGGTCTCGATCTCCTGACCTTGTGATCTGCCCGCCTTGGCCTCCCAAAGTACTGGGATTACAGGCATAAGCCACCGCACCCAGCCTCCATGGGTCTTATTTCTAAACCCTCTTCCCCATGCTCTGTGCGCGCCAGCACCCATGTGTTGTTGAGGCTGGGCAGCCTGTGTGCTCTGCTGTTGACTGTCTCATGGCAGTGTGACATGGTGCAAACCTCCATGCCCCCTTTCCTGGGCGTGAGGCCAGCAAGGTGACCTGCCTGTGGGATGTGGTAAGGACCCAGGTGGGTCACCGCTGTCCCCTGGCCTGGCATGATGGGAGCCTGTGCCTGCAGATCTTGCCCAGTGGGGTACCCCGCCACTGCAGGTCACTTTACCTCCTCACCCCCAGATTTCTCATCCTGAAAATCTGAGTACCCCTGTTGTCACATCTGTAAACTCCAGAGGGTCGTTATAAAAATCAGTATCCTTGATGAATGCTTGCTGTCAGCATTTCTGCCTTTGTTAGCTTACTGTCTTTGTGCCATCACCATCATTTTATCAAAGAAACCCAAAGCAAACCAGGATGAGAAAATGAGGCTGCACGTGTTGACGGGGTTGGTCACATTCATGCTTGGAAATTTCTTTGCCTTATGTCACTCACTGCTGCCAAGCATTGTCTGATTTTGGCTACAATTTTTTCCCTTATTTTTTCTGGTTACCTCATGTTTCTTTTATTCCAAATGCCCATGCTCCTGCAGACTCCCAGAGCCTTGATGTTGGCCCAATTTGACCTTCACTCTTATCAGTCAGGGAATTGCAAGGAATTACCCCTTTGCCCTTAGAAAGGAAAGAAAAGCTGAGGAGCGGAAGTCGCTGACTTGATGTTTTTTCCCCTGTATATTTATACATCTTGTACTTGCAGACCAACTAGTTCATGCACGCACTAGCCATTGTAATTGGTGTCGAGGCCCCATTTCTGAAGTCATAGCCTTTTGGGGTTTCCTGAGTCACCTAAAGCAAGACAGTGACTGATCTTGTTCATAGAAACAGAAGAGGTTTCTTGACTCTCCTGTAGCCCTCATTTCATGGAGTTAGGCCTGTAGTGTCTGTGTGTGTGTGTGTGGTATAGGACATGTGTGTGGGTGGTGTGGTGTGTGGTCTGTGTGTAGTGTGTGGTGTATGTGTGGTATGGTATGAGTGGGGTATGGTGTGTGTGTGATACATGGTGTGTGCTGTGTGATGTGTGTGTAATGTGTTGGTGTGTGTGTGGTGTTTGTGTGTATGGTGTGTTTGTGTGGTGCGTGGTGTGTGGTGTGTGCGATGTGTGTGTGGTGGGTGGGTATGTGCTGTGTGGTGTGTGTATATTGTGTGTGATGCTGTGTGGTGTGTTTGTGTGGTGTGAGTGTGGTGTGGTGTGAGTGTGTGGTGTGTGTTTGTGTGGTAGGTATTTGTCCTAATGCTCTCCCTCCCCTTGCCCCCCAGCCCCTGACAGGCCCCGAAAAACACTCACTCTTAAGGGATTCTAAGAGATCTGTCATGTAATTCAAACAAATGGCTCGACTAGTTCCCTTGAGGCACATGATGCCTCAGAGACTGTGTTTGAGCCATCAGTATCATCCTGTTCCCCGACAGTCACAGTTAACTAAGAGGAAGCCAGGTACCTCTGTGAAAATGGTGCTGATTCTGTGCCAGGGCCTGGGGACCTGCCTCCTCACAACACCAGGAAAAAGAGCCTCCCTTGTATTTAAATTATCTCCCCCTTCCATTTTTTTTATTTGAAAAGACCTCTGAAATCTCAAGGAAAATTAGCTTTGCAGCACTATCCTTGGCGCCTCTGTGAGTGGAGGACACACCTGTTGGGGATGTGTTTCTCACCTTCTGAGACAGAAAATTACTTCTCAAGGGCCAACTATGTCCCAGGAACCAGGGCTGGTGTTTTCTGTGTGTAGCACTTGGAAGTTATCCTGTTGTGGGGGTGTCTGGGAGGGTCTCGGAACTTGGTGGGTGCCAGGGCTATCTAACCTTGTGTGGGCCCAGAGTGGTGGGCAGTCTCACAGCTGTGGACTGTGGGGCGCACGTGGTGGACAGAGGTTAGGTTCGTCCTTTCCTTAATTTTATTTGCCCGCTAGATCATTGCAGAAATCCTCTAAGTCTGATCTGGTCTGGTCTGTATGATTCCAAAGTTGTCCCCTTTTCTATTATTGTTATTTTTTATTTTTTCATTTCTCTGGCCTTTGGAAGACAAGCATAGTTGAGAGTAGGCAAGGAAATCCTTGGAATTATTCAACAGTTTGAGGCCTTTGACCTAGTGACCATCTTCATCTTCAAAATAACAGCTTTTCACCTCCCTGCACACTTTCCTCAACTATAAATATTGTCCTCGTCTGCCCTCTGGTGGCGGCTTCTTGGGCATCAAGAACCAGGCTTGTAAAAATTGGGTGAAACTATCCAGTTTTATCTTTGTAGAAACCTTGCTTAAGATAAAGTAGATATCCTCTAGACTTTATAGACATCCAAGACAGGTAAAAAAGAGAATTCTAAAGAGCTGAATGCATTTTTCAGGGGAAAGAACAAAGGCGAACACCTTTAGCAGCTGGTTACCAAGCATTTAGCTAATACAGGGCGGCCCTTTCTAGAATGACAGTCCTGGCAGCAGCCCCGTGAAGTAGGTCTGTGTCGTTCCTCTCAAACAGAGAAGGAGACTGACACAGAGAGGCAAGGTGACTGCCTGTGTCTAGAAGAAGTGGATGTAGAGCCTGCCCTTCTCCTTAGCACAGCAGCCTATATGGAGCTGGGAACTTGGCAACGGTTCCCATTGCCCTGTCGCTGGGAATGGGCATGGAGGAGAAACCCAAATCACACCATCCATTTCTGGCTGAATCAAGACCAGAACCCAGGAAACCCGCACCTTAGTTCAGGACTATTTCACTCGCTGCACTTGATCTTTCTCAAGTCGATTGGTGCCAGACACAGATACCTCAGGACCCAAGGAGCTACAGGCTGAAAGGGAATGACCAGGGACCAGATGATGACCCACGATGATCTCTGCTGACAAACATGAGAGCAGCAGACAGCTGTCAAGGCCTAGGGAGTCCAGAGGGAAAGTCACCAGCTGTGCCAAGGGGCAGAGCTTTGGGGCTGACTTCAGCTGCAGCTTGAGCTCTGGAGGCACACCTGTAGAGAGCTTTGAAGGAAGGTGCCATAGAATTGGCATCGGCTTTGGGTGTGCTGAGAACCAGGTTTAAACGTTGGCTCTGCCTCTCACTGATGGTGTGAGCTTCGCTGAGTTAATTTGTTTTGCTGGGCCTTCATGATCCCATCTGCATTAGGCTATTCTTGCATTGCTATAAAGAAATACCTGAGACTGAGAAAGGAAGTTTAATTGGCTCACGGTTCTGCAGCCAGTACAGGAAGCATAATGCTGGCGTCTGCTACTGGGGAGGCCTCAGGAAGCTTACAATCATGGTGGAAGGTGAAGGGGGAGCAGGTGCATCACATGGCGACAGCAGGAGCAAGAGGAGGGGAGGAGATACCACACACTTTTAAATGACCAGATCTCGGAGAACTCACAAAGACAGCACCAAGCCATGAGAGATCTGCCCCCGTGATCCAAACACCTCCCACCAGGCCTCACCTCTAGCACTGGGGATTACAATTCAACATGAGATTTGCACAGGGACAAATACCAAAATGATACCAGCATCTGAAAAAGTAACTGCACGGAACCTCTCAAGTCTGTTGTGGAAATAAACAGGGAGGATGCCATGCAGTGCCTACTCTGTGTCTGCGCTGGCATCTCTCCCCAGGGTCATGGGTTCCATGCTGTTCTTTTCTGCAGCATGCCAGATCCCCATGGGCTGGAAGAATGTGCTCTTAGGGCTGTGAGTGAGCAGCAGGAATGGGGATGATGAGGCAGGAAGAGAGGAGGAGGAAGAGGAGCCCTGGAAGCTGCCAGACCTTGCCCTGGAAGGTCAGCTCTGTGCATCTGGGCAGGAAGCCCTGGAGGCAGCAGGAAGAGAGATGGATCTGTTCGGAGGCTGTTTTAGTAGTCAGATGGGAACTATATTTCAGTTAATCTTCTAAAACAGACCCTGAGTTTGGGAAATATGAAGTGAAAAGAACCATAGATGCGAGTCTTTTTGTTCATATGGCAGCCAATTTTGTACTTAATACTTTTGTGGCAGAAATATGGATATGGATGGAAGAGTGGTCACAGGATGTCTGTGATTAAACGATTGTACTTAATTTAATTTTCCTCTGGTTATTTTCTTTCCCTTAGGTGTCTCCAGGCTGCCTGCTGCCTTTCCTTTGGTGGTGAGCTGTCTGTGAGCACTGACAAGAGCTGGGGTCTTCATCTGTGCAGCTGTAGCCCTCCTGGAGGTGGATTGTGGGTCGGTAAGGCCTTGGGGAAGGAGGCATGGCCACCATGATAAGAATGTTGCTTTATTTCCCTGGTATAAACAGGACATCTTCCACATGGGAATTTCATTTTCTGCTTTTAAGAAACAGAAGGAAGGTCAGAGTGATCTTAAACCTGCTGTTTTGCAAGTGCCTCTAACTTAAATAGTCCACATGCCAGGATGGTACACACACATATATATATATATATATATATATATATATATATTTTTTTTTTTTTTTTTTTGAGACGGAGTCTCACTCTGTCACCCAGGCTGGAGTGCAGTGGCATGATCTTGGCTCACTGCAAGCTCTGCCTCCTGGGTTCACGCCATTCTCCTGCCTCAGCCTCCTGAGTAGCTGGGACTACAGGCGTCCGCCACCACGCCCAGCTAATTTTTTGTATTTTTGGTAGAGACAGGGTTTCACCGTGTTAGCCAGGATGGTCTCCATCTCCTGACCTCGTGATCTGCCCACCTCGGCCTTCCAAAGTGCTGGGATTACAGGCATGAGCCACGGCGCCTGGCCAGGATGGTATATTTTTAACTCCTTCACTGGGCCCCACCCCTGACTTTCTGCTTTAGGAGGTCTGGGGTGAGGCTGAGATCTGGGGGCCACACTTCGAGAACAACCAAGACTGTAAGTGGGGCCTCCCAGAGCCCAATGAAGGGAATACTTAGGTTACAGGAGGTGTCTGCATGGCCACAGGTGTGGGGTTTTCCTCCTCGTCCTTAACACAGAGAGTATCTCTGTTTTTAATTTTTAAAATGAAAATTCTAAAGTGTTGCCTGAAACGTAATTGCCAGGATTCCTTTAAGTAGAAGGAATTTTTGAGTTTTCAACTTAGGCTACACATTTGGTAGACCTGAGAAACGGATTTTTAAAATTAAATTTAAAAAAATTTTTTTAATTTCTAAAGAGACGGATTTAAATGGAGTGGGGGGGCGGGGGCGCGGGGCAGGAGGCGGGTGTGTGCCTGGCATCAATGTTGAAACAATGCAACGCCAATTCTTTTGCAATTCTTATGTTAAGATCATGTGGAATTGTTACCTAAATGCCAGGGGTTTGCCTGACATCCTGCTGCTGCTGCTTACGTACAGAGCATAATCATCATGAAGACTGCGAGGATTGCCAGGGAAGAAAGCTTTATCAGGTGCTGCAGATGAGGAGAAGGGAGATAAAGTCTCAAATATATCTCCCCATCTGACTAAAACTTGGGGGTTTATATAGCAGGGAAGACGAGAAAACAAAATTAGAGAGGGGTGAGGAAGCAATCTGAGGAATGAGGGGCCTGGCTGGATGCAGGGATCTGGTGGGTCCCTTTCCTGGGTTGGTTTCCTGAGGGAAGAACTCAGATGAGATGGATGTTAAGTTTCAGGTTTTAAGACTAGGAGAGTCAGTTTCCATGTTTATTCAAAAAACCTATAAATATCACTTCTGTGGGACAATTAAGCCAATTTCAGGATTAGTTTCACTCACTTAGTTTATTTCTCCTTTTGTGACATACTTTATTCAATTTTGCAATTTTATGTACTTTTTATGATTTTTTATTTATTTCTTTCTGTTCAGGGGTATATCCACTTTTTTTTCCAGATAATTTGAGCACAGTGACTTTGATGACTAATTGGTTTCAGAGAAATATGAGTCACTTGACTATTCTAGCTTATTCCGAAACATTTTCTAAATATTTCTTCCTCTCGGATGTGTCCAGTTCAGGAAATTACTTCATACCTCAGTTGGTGCATCCAGCCTGCATGGGTGCTCAATGGCACTCGATGGCATTTGTAGCACGTCACATATTAGGCCAGGAACACGGCCTTTGATTTTTCCTCAGCTTTTGTTATCACAAGATATTAATACACTGGACTCTTGACAGTAAATAGTGACTTTGACTCACAATGTTAAAACTGGATTTGATATTGTCCTAGGCTAAACTTGAGAGTGTCCTGGGAGGCTAGGGGCAAGCTGACTGCCAGCACCACTGCTGGGGTGCAGGGATTGGAAGCCACATCCCCTGTGAGGATGGCCCAGCCCTGGCCTGGAGCTCCTGGAGAACCTGCTGCTCTCGGCGGCCTGCAGGCCTTTGGGTTCCTTTTAGCCTGAGCAAAGCTGGCCAGAATAACAGACTGGGGTTAAGAGAGCCCAGGCAGAAACAGGTTTCCTTACAGGGACTCGGGTCTGACAGAAAAGCAGCAGGGTGCTCCAGTCCCCTCTTCACCCGCCACCCCCACTTCCTTCCCCTCCTACCTGGGGATGAGAGGGGTGGGGGCTTCAGGGAAAGCAGCTCTTGCACCCAAGGCAGTCGCCTGGCTTCTTGCTGAGAGTGGCTCTGTGCAGGGCCAGGTCTAGCAGAAATATTTTCTTTTAACTTTTATTATGGACATTTTCAAACATCTGCATGAGTAGAGAGAATGGCATCACAAACACTCAAGGACCTGTCATCGCTGGCAACAGTTGTCAGCTGTGCGCAGATCCTATTCCAGATGCTCTCACAGACATGGGATGTGGCAGGGCCCTCAGCCTCCCAGCCGGGTGGACACTGGCTCCGCTCACTGCCCGGCCTTCAGCCCTCAGAGATGGGAGGAGTGAACGTCAGCCAGGTCCGTGCTACCATCAGGGCCAGATTGCCTGGGTGGGAACATCCTGCTTATAAACTTTGGAGTGTCTTTAATGGTCTTCCTGTTTGTCCAACAGCTCCCCAACCACTCCTTCCGACTGTGGTGTTGCCCCCTCTACTACACACCCCTGAGCAGGACCTTTGACCCTCATTATTTTATGACCAGACCACTGGGTGTTTCTGGAACAGGCATTCATTATCAGCGTGGCTGGTGGTTGTGCGTTTCCTCATATTGCTTAGTGTGGGCTACACCTAAGACATTGTTTAAGCAAGGAAATAGAAAGAAAACACACACAGCAGGACACGGCAGCCCAAGGACACGCATCTTCATGATCAGCCCGTTGTTAGGCCCAGGTGGCTTTGACCTTATGTATAACTTAGGGCTTCTCCAGCTTTATGTTCTCACCTTCCCAGCACATTGCAGTCTTCAGAATGTTTGCTTTTTTTTTTTTCTCTAGAGGTCTATGCTAATCATGTGCTTCTTATGAGTGATGGGAAGTGTGGCTGTCCTTGGTGTGCTCTGAATGGAAAGGCAGAAGACCGGGAATCACAGAGCCCATCCTCATCAGCTTCCAGGCAGAAGGTATTCCTGGATCTGGGGAAATTAGGCTTTTCTTCCTGAATACAGTACATGTACAGTACAGCTAAAAAGCACCTCCATGTTTCATCAGGAATTCATCAGGGATTGTTTTCCTATCATGTGTGTTTGTGCCAATGAAGCAAGTGTGACTTATAAAGCCTTAATTCAGCTCCAGAGCATAGTTCCACATATAAGAAGTGCAGGCAGGGCTAGCCCAGCCCAGAGGAGTAGGGGATAGCCCTCAGATGGGGAGTGAGGGGTAGCCCTCAGGTGGGGAGTGGGGGCTGCCCTGCAGGTGGGGAGTAGGGGCTGCCTCCCAGGTGGGAAGTAGGAGGGTAGCCCTCAGGTGGGGAGTGGGGGCTGCCCCTCAAGCGGGGAGTGGGGGCTATCCCCGGGGTGGGGAGTGGGTGCTGTCCCCCAGGTGGGGAGTGGGAGCTGCCCCGAGATGGCTCCAGCACAGACAAGGCTTCCAGCAGCCAAAGCACTGAAACCCTGCTTAACTTGCGCAGTGTGGGGAGCTCGTTGAAGACCCCTATTAATTAAGACTGGGCTACCTGGATGTTTGTGAATTCCCTTGCATCTGTTTATCAGAGTAGCTAACAGGGCTTGGGTCTGAAGGCCTGGGCAATGCCCTGGAGATGGAGGAGAAGCGTGAGAGGAGTGACTCTCACATCTGTGGGTGGGGTCCGAGAGAAGAGTGAAAACTTCTGAGTGAGACATGCTTTTCACCCAGAATAAGCATTGGTTCCAAAGGGACATGCACAGACAGCCCAGAGTTGTGCGTTTCTAGTTCAAATTTAAAGAAGCCAGTTCTCTTTGAAGCTCCCAGAACCTCTGCTGTCCTTGGCAAAGACTCTCCTGCAGTTCATTTTTCAGTATTCCTCATGCAGAGCAGCGTTATTAAACCACCCCCTCCGTAGCACATCCATCTGAGTTTATATTGAAATGAATTTGATCTCAACCCACAGTGTTTGTGTTTGGGAGCTTTTCTCTGCTCTGCCATCACTTTTGTCAGCGAAAGTTCAAGGAGGCATTTTTAGGTTCCCAAGGAAGGATATTTAGTAAGATGAGCGTCTGATGGTTCTGAGAACAGGAGGTTGGGGAGAGGTGTTTTAGAGGGGAGGTGATATTACCTGCGTTTCTCACATTACACAATGTAAATAGCCACATACAGTGACTTCCTTAGGCTTTTAGTGCCCTCACCTCCAAACACAAGGGGGCAAACAGACCTCATGCTTCTTGAACACTTGGTGCAGATCTGCTATGCAGAATCACCTAGGGAGCTTAAAAGTCAAAGAAACCAAACAAAACCATGCACAAGCCCTGCCTCTGAAGATTCTAACAGACATGCTGTGGCGTGGCTCAGGGTGATGGTGCTTCAACCCCACCCCACCCAGGTGACTCCAAGGTTCAGCCACCTGGGACCTCAGCTTTGGGCATAGATCGATGCCTTTAGGATTTGACCATCATGTCCCAAAGGGCTTGGTCCTGGTGAAATGTGCAATCAGGGGGCTCTCTGGTTTTGGTTGACTGGGAGACCCATTTCCAAGCTGCATTCTGGCCGCTCTGCTCTCTACAGCCCCAGTGGGCTCAGGCGAAGGTCACACAGGGCCATACACCAGCTCCTGGACGTGCTGGGCAGTTTGCTGATTGGGCATAGTTATAGGATAGTGTCTTGCAAAGCCCTGTGTCTCCCATGCTGCTCACTAGCACCATGCCTTTTAGGGGTTGTAGGTACATGCAGCTGTCTCAGCCCCTGGGTTTCACATCCTCAGGAAACTGCCAGGATCTACCCAGGTCCTGCTCTGGGAGGCCACAGAGGGGTTCCCTGTTCTCGTCACAGAAGAGGGGCAGGTGCCAGGCGTATGCACTCAGGCACGAGCTGGCATCTTTCAGCTCCCACTCTGGCCTTCTTGACACCTTCCTGTGTTGTTCTCCTGAAAGATGAAGCACCTGATGTCCTGTAGTTACAAATCTGTAAAAGGCCCACAGCACAGGGAGCGCACATCCCAGGGAGGGGCTGGGCCGTTGGTTAACCTATACTAACTTCTTAACTGGCTGGAACTACTTCTGGTAACAGCTCTCTCAAGAGCCAGAGTGAGGCCCTGGGCCCTCAGTCTGAGGGATGGTGGCTGCTTTTTGTAATCATGTCCACAGTGGGGCGTTGTCTCTGGACAGGCGTCCTGTGTAGGAAACAAGGTGGCCAGCTTCCCGTAGGCCAAAAGTGTCCCCCCTCCTCCTGTGCCGTGGGCACCTCCCTGCTTTCCTGGTGCCACCAGGATTGAGATTTTGTCACAAGGAGAGCTGCACAGGTCAATGCAAGGTCAACAGAGGCCTCATGACCAAGATGGGCTCCCAGCACCCCTCACCTGCCCTCCAATGCCCCCACCCCACCTAAGCTCTCAGTGTGCACAGGCCGAGCAAGCCCAGTGGCATTGTCTCTGAGTTCTCTCTTGGGCTCCATCTCACTTCCAGTCCAGCAGCCAGCCCGGCCACCCCATAGCCTCAGAGGTGTTCACCCTCTGCCTTCACTCCACAATCAAGACCTGCCATCCTCATAGCCCTCTGAGTGGATCCCCTGCTGCCACTCCTGCCTGCCAGGCTCTCTTCAGTACCGCAACCACACTGTTGCTTCTGTGCATTGGAGCGTGCCACTCTTGTGCTCAGAACCCTCCATCTCATTCAGAATGAAACTCCACTTCCTGAGTCTGACCCCACTTGGCCTCCCGTAACTCTGAGGTCACCTCCTGTGCTCTCTTGGTTCCCACTTGTGGCTGCAGCCCCACGAGACTTCTGCTGCTCCTGCAGTGAAGCAGGTGTGCCTCCACCTTCGGCATAGCTCTGCATTCCTCCTCTTCCAGCTCTGCTTAGATGTCGTCACACACAGCGGCCTTCTCTGACCCTGTGTATAAAAAAGCACCGCGCCCCCCCCCCCCACCCCCACCCCGTCCCGACCCCGCACGAATCCCTCCTGCAGCTCTATTCTTCCGCAGCACGACCCCCAGCAGATGCTGTTATGGCTACATGTTTGCTTTCTGGCTTCCTCTGGCAGAACAGGAGCCCTGGGAGGATGAAGCTGTCTGCTTTCCTCGCTGTTGCTTCTCTGGTGCCCAGCACAGTGCTGGGCGCACAGCAGGGGTCCACTGCTATTTTGTTAATGAAGTAATATTACTTTCCCAAATGTACTGGGTTTTCATAAGCAGCTCTCTCACATTATTTTATTATTTTTTCTTACAGAACATTTGGAAAACAACTAGTGAAGCAGCGTTAAGTGTTGTTAATGAAAAAACACAGGCTGTTGTTAATGAAAAAACACAGGCGCCTCTGGATTGTGATAACAGTGCTGATAGGTATGTCAATGTACCATGGCGAAATATTGCTTTTCTGAACATGCAAATGACATGGAACTTACAAAGAATTGCTCAGATGTGAAAGTCGATGCTTGTTCCTACATGGCCCGAGGGTGGGTTAGCAAATGCAGCTCTTAAATTGATGGAAAAAAGAATGGTGTTCTGAAGTTAATTTGCAGGAGTAGAACAGGTAGTATGACAAACCCCCGAATGCTGGGAGCCGTAGAAGGTGATGTCATACAAGAATCATCATCATCTCTATTTTGAAATCTGGGAAGGAATATGGTGAGCCTTCTGGGTACAAGCACTCAACATGATGGTAATTGGTTATTTCATGGTGCATAACATACAGACTTTAAAACAGCATTCGATGAACCTTGAAGACATTATGCTTTGTGAGATAAGCCAGTCACAAAAAGACACATCCTTTATAATTCTACTTATGCGAGGTCCCTAGAGTAGTCACATTCATAGACACTGAAAGGAGAGTGGGGTGGTTGCCAGGGGCTGTGGGGAGGAGGAACGGAGGGTTGTGTAATGGGCACAGAGCTTCAGTTTTGTAGGATGGGTAAGTCCTAAAAATGTACTGCACAACCATATACATGTGCATACACTTAACACCACTGAACTGTGCCTTCAAATGGTTCAGATGGTAAATGTTATGTTATTGTTTTACCACAATTTAAAAAAACACAATAGCACCAGGCAATACAAAATTTAAAGTAGACATAATTTTAAAAAATAGTTGGCCTTCTCTAATGTCACCCTGTACCTGAAATTGATGGTTTTACTCCTTCTAATGGAAATTAAACATTTAAGCATATAAAGAACAAATGTAACTTTTCTTTCTTAAAGGAAAAACATGGGTAAATGTAGATGTTTGTTTTCCTCGTTATTATTCAGTTCCACTGTTTTCACCGATGCGACTTTTCCTTTCATGTTATTGTTCAAAGGCAGTGACTGGTAGTGGCCCATCAATGTTGCCAAGAACAGCTAAACTGATCACAGTTCTTTCTGATATACCTCCAATCCACCTGATCTTTACTCTTGATTTGCTGCTATAATATTGCTCCTTTTATTTATTTGTAAAATCCTCAAACCTGACAGGACAGGGGGCAGGGCAGAGCATGTGGCTGGCACCATGCCCTGGGAGACCACGGGCCAAGTCCAACCTGTGCCAATGGACGCACATGATTCAGCCCCTAGGTGGAAATTTAGGAAAAGAAGAATCCGTGACAGCCACCTGTGAGGGCAGGCCACGCTGCACACCTGACTGTGTTCCCCCCCATTGCAGTCTCCGAGTCTTTGCTGACAGCAGTATTGGGGAGAATTGGACCCTTCAGATGGTTTGTGACCCAGACACTTGGATGCGTGGGCCCAGGTCTGTTGTTTTTCGGACTCCATTTTGCTAACAATATGCCTACCTTTTATGGCCGGATTTGTCTGTCTGTCCCCCGGAAATCTGATCGCTGAGGCCCTGTGTAGCATCCATTTCAGGGCAGAGCATCTCTGTGTGAAATTCTTACTTCTTTTGGATTCTACTGGGTAGATTGGCACATCCCCTGGAGCCCCAGTTAAGAAAACTCATTCTTTGCTGCTTGAGCAGAACAATTTTCTCCAATGCTAGGGTCAACCAATGAAGAATTTCGCAGCTTATTTTTGAGAAATTATTTCAAGACTTAGCTAAGGTGTAAGTAACTGTTCAATTAGCAAGAAATCTTCAAGTGGAATCAGCACTCCCTGGGTGCCGCCACGGGAATGTCATTCTTGTCTCTCTGCTGAGGCCTGGCAATGCAGGCAGGGCCTGTGAATACACACGAGAAACAAGAGCAGAGTGGGGTCTCCCTCTGCGGGAGCTCATTGACTCCACCTCCCACCTCCTGCTTAGCTGCCACAGTCTGTCTTGGGCCCTCACTGGTTACAAATCCGAAGTGCTTGGGTGAGCAAACCTCTGGCCTGTGTGCTTGGTTAGAAGGAAAGGGTCTTCCTTCCTAGCAACAGAAGACCTTCTTAGCTGTGAGCAGAGTTAAGCCTGGTGGGGGTACTCTTGTGTCTGTCTCCTGAGGCCTGAGCGCAATCCCCCCACCCCCAAGCCAGTCCCTGTTCTGAGGCCCTTTACTTTTGTGATTGAATCACAATCAATAAAAGCCTGACATTGTGGAAAGACACAAACATGCACGGACTTTAATCTGGACAGACACGGGTGCCCTTTTCTTTTTCCCCAGGACTCAGCTAAGACATGCAGGTTTGTTGTTGTTGTTTTCCTAAAGAAAATCACTACATTAAGAACTAAAGGGATATAAAAGGAAAAATAGGAAGCAAGTGACTAGGATGATGAATGGACTAAAAATATGTCACATTAGGAACAGCTGAAGTGACTTCAGATGTCCCTCTGGGAGGACAGAAGATCCGGGTTGACATGCCGTTGGAAGTACCTGGAAGTGGGCTTCATCTGACAGAGTGGACAGCATGTGAACCCCTGCACCACAAGCCCCAGAGCCGAAGTGTCATGAGTAGTGCAAGGTTAGAGATAACTAGGTCCACGCATGTTTGTGTTTTTCCACAGTGTCAGGCTTTTATTGATTGTGATTCAATCACAAAAGCCATGAGCTACATGGAGCTCCTAAGGAGGCAATTTTCCGTAGTATTTCCCATTACTTTGCAGCCAGAGCTGCGGGCACACAGGCTGATGCCACTCCATAAGTCAGTCAGTATTGCAAACCATACATAATAGTATACCTAACCTATAAATGGTGTAAGGTAAACATTCCACAGCAAACAAAGTAACATTTAACATCAAGAAGAAAAAGAGATAGGAGAAAGGGTTAATGAACCAGTCCAGGGGAAGCCAAGAAGACAAAAGGAGTCCCAGTCTGGACCGAAGGATTCATCAGTCTTACAAGAAAATCTTGAAGGTAGCAGAGCTTCTGGCGGCAGATGTCAAGCTCTCATCACGAGTGACTGCAATAAAGTGGCAGTTAAGACGGCCATTTGGAGCTGTTCAGGCCTAATCTTGTATGGTCACAGGGCCCTCTGGTGAGAACCAATAGTGGAAGAGTGTGCGCGTGTCCTTATCTGGTTGGATGCAGCCTTTATTTATTTATTTATTTATTCAACAAAATATCTTCTCCTTGTTGGCAGAGTGCTCTATGAAAAGAAATGGAGGCTTTTTCTAAGATGGAGTTAGTTATGTCATGGGTACACCATACACGAAGGCTGATCATGGTGAAGAGAGGGTTGGGGACAAACAGGGCGGCCCAGGCAGTGGCATGGTGGTCACTGTGAACATCCCAGGGCCAGGACGTTGCGTTGGATTTGAGGTTAAGTGCAGTCCACATTGTTGACCTAAAGAAAGAAACCGAGGCAAAGTTAATAAACAGGGAGTTTATTTGGGCCAAGGTTGAGCACCGCAGAATGGGGAAGTGCACACTGCACACTGGGAAGTGCTTTGGAAAACAAATGAGAGGCTCAAGTTTTAAAGAAAAAATGACGACTCAGGAAGGGGGCAATTACAGAAGTTGTTCCTCAGGAATTCTCGTTGGTTTACAGAAATAACATTGGTCAGTGATTGGCTATACATTGTTGAACTATAAGGTGAATGGCATTTTTTGGCTACTTGGCGTCAGTCAGTTTAGAACCCACATAGCAAGTGGCTTCAAGAGGTCATTGTTTAGCTCAAGTGGAGTGAGACACGACTGCTGTCATATTTTAATGCATCTCTGGGCCTGATCATTTAAAGGGACTCGCATTCCTCAGATAAAATGTTTCTTTTTCTTTCTCATCATCTAATAGTTTACTCTGCACCGGGGCAGGTCTATTCTCTGAGCTCCATGCTAACAGACACGGACAGTGAGCCTCAGCTGAGGCACTAGAATGATGACTCTTGTATAGGTGGGGACTGAGCTCCAGAGCCTCTGACCCTGGGCCTGTGTCCTCCAACGTGCCTCCACCACCTCTTCTGCAGAGCAGAGCAAGCCCAGAGCCAGTTGGCTGCAGGCATTGGAAATACTTGTCTTGGATTTTTCTCATGCATGATTATAATGCTGGCCTGGCCTTGCCACAGCCTGAGACAGAGACACTCACCTCATTGGAGCCATGTGGGAGGAGGGAGGCTGAGAGTAAGGCTGGTCTTGCCAGAGGTGGGGCCTGGAGCCGCCGCCGAGAAAGGAACCTGCTGTGCCTCACCCACTCCTGCAGGGCTCGCTGGGGCTCATCAGCAGGGTGAGGTGGTGATAACAGCTGAAAACAGGGTCCTATGATGGGGGACACGAAGATGACCGGCTAACTGACCCTCGTCCCTGCTGGCCAGAGGCACGGTCCTTGAGTCCCATTCCCAAGCCCTGCCTCCCTGCCAGGTTTGACTGCACTCGGAATAAGCAAGTAGTTACCACCAGGCCTTCCGCGGTGCCCCCTCAGTCACTGCACCACAGTATGTTCCAGTCAAGTCCAGGCCCCACAGGGAAGACAGAGCATGTTTTGTATGTGACTCGCCCCTTTGGGTGAACTGTCTGAAGCAGTGGCCATGGATTTTAGTCAATCGTTTAATAAGCTCTACTCTACCTAAGACTTCTCCCTCGAGTGCCTGCAGCAGCCCCGCTGGTTTGGCTTCTAACCACATCATATCCCCATGGTCAGCCTGGGCCTGACTCCCAGGAATGAGCCTGCAATCACAGCAAGGGAATTTCCAGCAAAGCCTGGTGAAGGGCATGATTTGTAATCAAATAAGCCAGATATGTGACTGAAACATGACCGGGTTTCCTTTTCTTTCTGCACTTTCCTTCCCATACAGAATTCCCCACAAACCTTTCATTATAATCGCAAGGGCCTGGAGCAGTGGTGGCCCCAGGTTCCATCACAGGCGGCTGTGTGCTACTGGGACCGCAGACAGCACATTCTCTGCTCTTCTCCAGGTTGGTATCTAACCCCTGCAATTGAATTTCATCAGAAAGCTGCTGGTGAGCATCTGATGCATATGGGGGAGACTCACCCGTATGTAGGCGGCCTCAGAGTTTGTCAGTGAACCATATTTTGCATTTCTAAGTCATTTGGACACTGCTCAGGCAGTTTGAAGGCATCTCTAAAATTTGTCACCACAGTAAGGGAAAATATTTTTGCTTTCTGTAAGAGCATTTTTGCTGTCTGTAAGAGCGCCATCTCCCAGCTGACAACCTTATAGAGTTATAGATGACCTTATGCAATTGCTAATTTTCTATTGGCTTAGCTGAAGGGGTAACATGAACTTCTAATACTAAGCAACCCTGAAATTCCTGATCAAACATGCCTCATAGTTCTAGCTGGTGCCAGCTGGGCGCTGTCTTGGCTAGTATGCTGGAAAGTGTGAATCCTACCACTCACAACATAGCGCCAATGCACGGGGCCAATTTGTGGTCACCCACCCAAATAGCAGAGACCTCAGTAGCAGTGGGGCTGTTTGTTAAATTGGCTTTTTGAGCATGGCGGACATCAGCTACTGATGCCAGACGAGGCCATTCAATAAACCCTGAACTGTTCTTAAACTTTTAAGCTCCAGGGCACCACTTCTGCAGCAGCTCCCTGCAGCCTGAAGATGGAGGCTTCCTGCTGTGTCCTGAGACTGCTGTGCTGTGCGGAGGATGTGGCCACGGGGCTGCTTCCTGGGACTGTCACGATGGAGACCCCCACCAAGGTGGCCAGACCCACTCAGACCAGCTCCCAGCGAGTGCCCCTGTGGCCGATTTCACATTTTCCCACTTCTCCCAGAAGGTACGGTGAAGGAGGTATGGAGGCCAGCACCACTTCTCCAATCCCCAGTCTGGAACCATCCATGCCCAATCCGTTAGTGATTTTAGTATCTTCGTTGTTTGCTTTAATTATAGTTGCAGTTGAGTCCAGTGACTTTCAAGTTACAATGCTGTAGACATAATTGGCCACTGTTTGCCATCAGGGACCCATGCCACTTGGTTGCCTTTATGTTTCCCATCAATCACATACTGAGACTAAAGCTTTGTCTGACTGTGTATATTTTGTTGTTGTTGTTTGTTTGTTTGTTTTTTTGACAGAGTCTCGCTCTGTCACCCAAGCTGGAGTGCAGTGGCGTGATCTCGGCTCACTGCAACCTCCGCCTCCCGGGTTCAAGCGATTCTTCTGCCTCAGCCTCCTGAGTAGCTGGGACTACAGGCATGCGCCATCACACTGGGATAATTTTTGTATTTTTAGTAGAGATAGGGTTTCACCATGTTGGCCAGACTGGTCTTGATCTCTTGACCTCGTGATCCACCCGCCTCGGCCTCCCAAAGTGCTGGGATTCAGGCATGAGCCACTGCACCCGGCCGACTGTGTGTATTTTATTTTATTTTTTTTTCGAGAGGGAGTCTTGCTCTGTCACCCAGGCTGGAGTGCAGTGGCGCGATCTTGGGTCACTGCAAGCTCTGCCTCCTGAGTTTATGCCATTCTCTTGCCTCAGCCTCCCAAGTAGCTGGGACTACAGTCACCTGCCACCATGCCCGGCTAATTTTTTGGATTTTTAGTAGAGACCGGGTTTCACCGTGTTAGCCAGAATGGTCTCGATCTCCTGACCCCGTGATCTGTCTGCCTGTGTTTTTTAACGGGACATGCACAGCACACTGGAAGAGGAAAAAAAAAAAAACATGGGAGCATGAGAATTGGCCATTAAGATACTTAAGCCATTTCTACCTCCATGATCTTCCTTTTCCTGCTTTCTTTAATCTTTCGTTTATGCCACGTAATGGTACCAACACCATATGCTTTACTCAAGACCAGCTTTTAACACATAAATGATCTTGAAAGTCCTGTGTGATTGGAAGCTGAGACTTGAGTATCCTAGACTATTTCCAACTCCCCAACCAATTTGCAGCACAAGGAGCTAGGGAGAAATGTAGAAAGGGTGGCACCCACCCTCACGGGGAGCTTTTCGCAAAAACACAGGAAGTAGTGACTTGTGGGAGATACCATCTTTCGTGTCTATTAAATCAGTGATGAGAGAAACTCTACCTTTTACTGTTACTAATGTAGCTAGAGCAGTGACTCCCAAATTTTTGCTGACCTCAGATTCACCTGGGGGCTTGCTGGCCCCACCCCAGTTTCTGACCCAGTGGGTCAGGGGTGGGTCAAGAATTTGCATGTCTCACAAGCGCCCAGGTGATGCTGATGCTGCTGGCCCTGGGACCCCACTCTGAGAACCAGTGGAAGTGAAGCCTTTCATCAGGTTTCTCAGACTTGGCTTCTAGCTGGCTGGACCCAGGCCAGGCTGCTTGGCTTCTGCCCTCCCACCCCAGTGGTCCACTGTCATGAAATCTGAAGCCTCTCCCTCTCTCCCACAGCTCCCACGGCCTTCCGCCTGGCATTCCTCGCACCCCCAGCTTCACGGCATCGCAGTCTGGTTCTGAGATCCTCTATCCCCCTACTCAGCATCCTCCTGTGGCCATCCTAGCTCGAAATTCTGATAACTTCATGAACCCTGTTCTTAATTGCTCCCTGGAAGTGGAAGCTCGGGCACCTCCAAATCTGGGATTCCGTGTTCATATGGCTTCTGGAGAGGCTCTCTGTCTGATGATGGATTTCGGGGACAGTTCTGGGGTTGAAATGAGGCTACACAACATGTCTGAGGCAATGGCGGTGACTGCCTACCACCAGTACTCAAAAGGTAAGGTGCATGGTGTCCTTATCAGGAGCCTGGGAAGGAGGTCCTGAGCTAGGGGACCCAAGAGGCAGTGTTGGGAAAAGAAAAGAAACTGCATTCCGTTTCTCTGGACTCAGCCAACCTTCCTGGCTCCAAGAATAGTAGCTCAGTGGCACACTGCGGACGTAGGTGGGTTTGTGCACTGTGTTTTGCACTGTGACCAACTCTACATACTTCATTGCATTTAATCTTTCCACTTGCCTTGTGAGGTAGATGTGGTGAGGCTGGGGACTTGCCCTGAGGTCCCAAAGGTAATGTACTGGCGCTTCATCCTACACAGAAGCAGAATTCTAAAAATAATAACTATTGAAAAATTACTTAAATTGTCCTTCAAGCTCATGCACACACATATGCACACACACAATGTTCTATATGAATTCTTTTGCACTAAAATTTCCAACATTTTGTAGTCTCAACAAAAGTAAGAAAAAATTCTTTACATTCCAGCGTTGGACCCATTCTACTCAGACAACTACTAAACCCCTAGAGATGATGATTGGGGGTGGAGGGTGAGTGGAGAGTTCTGATACTTTTCCACTTACGGATAGGATTTAATTTTTTCTTTCTTTTTTTCTTTCGTTCTTTCTTCCTTTTTTCTGAGACAGAATCTTGTTCTGTTGCCCAGGCTGGAGTGCAGTGGCGCAATCTCGGCTCACTGCAACCTCCACCTCCAAGGTTCAAGGGATCCTCCCGCCTCAGCCTCCCAAGTAGCTGGGATTACAGGTGTGCACCACCATGCCCAGCTAATTTTTTGTATTTTTAGTAGACATGGGGTTTCACTATGTTGGCCTAGCTGGTCCCAAACTCCTGACCTCAAGTGATCTGCCTGCCTGGGCCTCCCAAAGTGCTGGGATTACAGGTGTGAGCCACTGCACCTTCCCCCCCGGCCTTTTGTTTTTAAAGTTACTTTTTGAACATATACATTCTCATGGTGTAAACTCCCACATTCTAGAAAGTTATATAGTAAAAAGTCCTTTTCTATTGACCCACAGTCAACTACTGCCTTCTACTTCTTATATCTTTTATGTGTATAAACAAGTATAAGTGTTGTTTCCCCTCCTTTCCACAAATGGAAGTATACCACACACAGTATCCCACTCCTTGCCCACTTAAATGCATATCCATATCTAGACGGGCTTCCCTGTCTACACAGAAAGAGCTTCCCTGGCTTTTGGTGTGGTTGCTGAGTAGTCCATTAATTTAATGGACCAAATCTATTCAGCTCTTTCTTTTTATTGCTGAACATTGAAATTGTTTCTGATCTTTCAGCATTGCAAACAACATTGCAGTGAATAATTACATGTGTATGTCATTTAATGGAAAGCCAAGATTATTGCCTCAAATGCTATGTGCATCTGTAATTGATAGTTAATGCTAAATTGCTTTTAATTAGGACTCTTGTCCTATTTACATTCCTGTGAACGATGTAGAGATCAATATGATAGGTAAAAACAGTATCTTTCTGAAGTTTTAAAATTTACATTTTATTAGGTTCATCCTTGTCAACTGCCAGTGTATGACCATATTCAACCAAGCTGAGCACTTTCACAGTTCCATCTAATATGGGGTTTCAATGAGCTCTTTTGTTATTAAGAAAATTTGTCGGCTGGATGTGGTGGCTCACGCCTGTAATACTAGTGCTTTGGGAGACCGAGGCGGGTGGATCACGAGGTCAAGAGTTCGAGACCAGCCTGACCAACATAGTGAAACCCCATCTCTACTAAAAATACAAAAATTAGCTGGGCGTGGTGGCGCGCCCTACTTAGGAGGCTGGGGCAGGAGAATTGCTTGAACCCGGGAGGTGGAGGTTGCAGTAAGCTGAGATCGCACCACTGCATTCCTGCCTGGGCGACAGGGCAAGACTCCATCTCAAAAAAAAAAGAAAATTTGTCTTTTTAGTACTTTTTTTTTCAATTTGTTATTTGTGTTTTGGTTTTACTTATAGTTTTTTTTTCTTTTCATGTAGGAATTTTTAACTTTTATTAAGTATACTTTATCAACCTTTTTTTCATGGTTTCTGAGTTTTATGTCATAGTTAGAAATTTTTTCCTTACTCTGAGTTTATGGAACAATTCTCTCATGGTTTCTCCTAGAGTTTCTGTTATTCTGTTTTCTCATTTAAATATTGAATGCATTTGAATATATATCCTGGCATAAAGCCTGCATTATAGATTCCATTTGACTGTTTCCTGAATGGCCACCCATTTGGCTCAGTGTCATTTGCTGGAAGATTCCATTGCCACACTGATGGGGCGTGCTCTCTCTACCTATGCTGGCTTCCTCTCTGCCCTCAGGCCGTTTGCTGGCATCCCTTGTTCACTCATCTTCTCTAGCATGGCCATCCATTTGGCTCAGCATCATATGCTGGAATTCGGTTGCCACAATGATGGGGTGTGCTGCCTCTACCAATGCTGGTTTCCTCTCTGCCCTCAGGTGATTTGCTGGCTTCCCTTGTCACTCATCTTCTCTAGTGTTATTCTTGCCATTTTTGCTTGTTCCTTTTTCCACATGAACTTTAGACTCACACTGACTAGTATAAAAATATCTTATTGGTATTTTTATTTAAATCATGTGTTGATGAAAAGAATCAAACTAAGTAAAATTTTTGAATAGATTTATTCTGAGCCAAATATGAGTGACCATGGTCTGAGGCACAGCTCCAGGAGGTCCTAAGAACTTGTGCCCAAGGTGGTCATGCTACAGCTTGGTTTTATACATTTTAGGGAGACGTAAGATATCAATCAATACATCTAAAATGTACATTGGTTCTGCGCAGAAAGGTGGGACAACTCAAAGATGGGGGTCAGGGAGGCTTTCAGGTCATAGGTAGATACAAAGATTTTCTGATTGGCAATTGGTTGAAAGAGTTAAGTTATTACCTAAAGACCTGGAATCAATAGAAGGGAGTGTCTGGGTGAAAATAAGTGGTGGTGAAGACCAAAGATTTTATCATGCAGACAAAGCCTCCAGGTAGCAGCCTTCAGAGAGAAGAGATTGTAAATGTTTCTTATCAGCCTTTAAAAGGTGCCAGACTCAGTTAATTCTGTCCTGGATCAGGAAAAGATCTGGAAAGGGAAGGGAATTCTCTACAGAACATAAATTTTTCCCTGAACTCCTGGCCTCAAGTGATCCTACAGCCTCAGCCTCCCAAAGTGTTGGGATTACAGGCATGAACCACTGCGCCCAGCCTGAACATTTCTTCATATGGAATTTACATGTTGCTTGTATGATATTTTATTTTTTGCACTATTTATTATAAAAGGGATATTTTTTCCCATTTTGTCCCCAAACTGGTTGTCATTGGTATATAGAAAAGCTGCTGCTATTTGCTGTTCATTTTGGGTCTCCTCTTTTCGTAGGACAATTTCAAAGTGTCAAATATATTTTGGGGTAAAATACTTTGATTTCTTTCAGGGCCTGCTATCTGTCATGTTGGTATCTTATTGCTACAAAAAGTCTGTTTTGTCATTCTTAAGGCCTCTGTTTAAATGTTAATGCTGGTCAGTTGTGCCTCAATTCCAATGGGAGGAGGGTATCGTGGGGCATGTCTGACCCTCCCTTCCCATTATGGCCTGAACTCATTTTTCAGGTTAACTTTGGAATGCCCTTGGCCAAAAGGAGGGGTCCATTCAGTAGGTTGGAGAGCTTAGAATTTTATTTTTCATTTACAAATGTTTAATATATAAATTAATTTATGTAGAGTCTTTATATTTACGAGTCTCCCACTGCATGAACTGCCCTGTTCCTGTCCATTTTTTCCGTGCATCTTTCTTTAAAAGTATTTTAAACATTTCTGTTTTTTCTTTTCTTTTCTGTTTTAATAGAGACAGGAGTCTCACTATATTGACCAGGCTGGTCTCGAACTCCTGGCCTCAAGTGTTCCTACAGCCTCAGCCTCCCAAAGTGTTGGGATTATAGGCATGAACCACTGCACCCGGCCTGAACATTTCTTTATGTAGAATTTACCTGTTTCTTGTATGATATTTTATTTTTTGCACTATTGTATTATAAAAGGGATATTTTTTCCCTTTTTTTTTCCATTTTGTCCCCAAACTGGTTGTCATTGGTATATAGAAAAGCTGCTGCTATTGGCTGTTGATTTTAGGTCCTCTTCTCTTTCACTGAATTCTCATGTTGTTTATAGTTATCTTGAAGTGTATTCTTCAGTGTTTTTCAGCTATGTAAACATATTAATTATGAATGGTGATTATCAACCTCTCATTTCCAATTTGACCTCTCCAGTTTCTTTCTCTTGTTTAATTACAATGGCTGATACTGCCAGAACAGTGTTAAATGAGATTGATGATGATGGGCATGTCGGTCTCAAGATCCTTCCAGTGTTTTTGAACTGCTTTTGTAGAATTATAAGTAATAAGAGTGATCTAGCATGACTGACTCCATCTTGCTTCTAACTTCACAGACTAAATATTTTTCTTGCTTACTGTAATGCAGAGGCCAAGATAACTATGAGAAGGATTAGGTTTATCATTATACTTGGAGGCAAAGGAAACTGGCACCCTCCATGTCTGAAGATTAAAGCCACATTCATAAGGCAAGGTTAAAATTATGATAGGGGTTAGGACTTTGCTAATGAGTAGGCATTAAACCATAACCTGCCATTGCTTAGTTTGTGTTTCTATAGGTTGTCTATTGCCCCAGAGTCACGTAACTGAGGGTTGCAAAATGTGTAACTTTCCCAACTACTCCTGTAAATAACATCACTATTGTGAAACCTAAAGATCTGATTTTGAGATATTTTTTGGATTTAACGTTTCAGTAGACCAAGAGACACCATCTAGTTCTAAGACTACCCCCTCACATCCCTGCCAAGGAACTAACTCAGCTGCACAAAGACAGTTTGGGATGCTCCTGTGATTTCATCCCAATTGTTCAGCCAATCATCTGTTCCAGTTTCCCAGAACCCTGCTGGGAAAGTACTTTTTAAAAAGTACTTTTACAAAACCCCAGCCTCCAAATTCTGGGGGAGACAGGTTTGAGAACTTTCTCCCTGTTCTCCTTGCTCAGCAGGCCTGTGATTATTACATTCTTTGTTGCAACTCCTGCTGGTCTCATTAGTCTTTTTTCAGGGCAGTGGGAAAGAAGAACCCATCAGGCTGCGACATTGTTCCATTAAACTTGATACTAGATTTTTGACATATATAATTTATCATGTAAAGGCAGTTTTCATCTTTTCCTCTCTTAATGAAGACTTAAAAAAAAAAGAGTTGTTGATTTTGTTAAATTCTCTCCAGCATCTGTGAAGCTGATTTTATAACTTTTTTCTTTGCTTCTTTAGAACTCCAAATCTCATGTGTTCTATTAGCCAATATCTTATTGACTCATTCTTGAATTCCTAGGGGTGAAAAACACTTGATTTTGGTGAATTACTTTTTGATTATGCTATTGCATTCAGTTTTCTAACATAGTATTCATGGTTCTTCCTCATAAATGGCGTTGGCTTCTAATCATTGATTTTATTTATTTATTTATTTTTATTATTTATTTATTTATTTATTTTTGCCAGAGTAGGCACAGATTTATTGAAGACAATTCACAGAGTGGGAGCAGGCTTGAGCAAGTGGCTGCTCAAGAGCCCCCTCAATTAGTGTTTTTTGTTTTTTTTAAAATTTATTTCCATAGGTTATTGGGGAACGGGTGGTGTTTGGTTACATGAGTAAGTTCTTCAGTGGTGATCTCTGAGATTTTGGTGCAACCATCACCTGAGCCATATACACTGCACCCTATTACTAGTCTTTTATCTCTCACCCACTTCCCACCCTTTCCCCCTGAGTCCCCAAAGTCCATTGTGTCATTCTTTTTTTTTTTTTTTTTAGTATTTATTGATCATTCTTGGGTGTTTCTCGGAGACGGGGATTTGGCAGGGTCATAGGACAATACTGGAGGGAAGGTCAGCAGATAAACATGTGAACAAAGGTCTCTGGTTTTCCTAGGCAGAGGGCCCCACCGCCTTCCGCAGTGTTTGTGTCCCTGGGTACTTGAGATTAGGGAGTGGTGACGACTCTTAACGAGTATGCTGCCTTCAAGCATCTGTTTAACAAAGCACACCTTGCACTGCCCTTAATCCATTTAACCCTTAGTGGACACAGCACATGTTTCAGAGAGCATGGGGTTGGGGGTAAGGTTATGGATTAACAGCATCCCAAGGCAGAAGAATTTTTCTTAGTACAGAACAAAATGGAGTCTCCTATGTCTACTTCTTTCTACACAGACAGAGTAACAATCTGATCTCTCTTTTCCCCACATTTCCCCCTTTTCTATTCGACAAAACCGCCATCGTCATCATGGCCCGTTCTCAATGAGCTGTTGCGTACACCTCCCAGACAGGGTGGCGGCCGGGCAGAGGGGCTCCCCACTTCCCAGATGGGGCGGCTGGCCGGGGTGGGGGCTGCCCCCCACCTCCCCAACGGGGCGGCTGGCCGGACGGGGCGGCTGCCGGGCGGAGACGCTCCTCACTTCCCAGACGGGGCAGCTGCCGGGCGGAGGGGCTCCTCACTTCTCAGACGGGGCGGCCGGTCAGAGACGCTGCTCACCTCCCAGACGGGGTGGCGGCGGGGTAGAGACGCTACTCAGTTCCCAGACGGGGTCGCGGCCTGGCAGAGGCGCTCTTCACATCTCAGACGGGGCGGCGGGGCAGAGGTGCTCCCCACATCCCAGACGATGGGCAGCCGGGCAGAGACGCTCCTCACTTCCTAGACGGGATGACGGCCGGGAAGAGGTGCTCCTCACTTCCCAGACTGGGTGGCGGGCAGAGGGGCTCCTCACATCCCAGACGATGGGCGGCCAGGCAGAGACGCTCCTCACTTCCTAGACGGGGTAGTGGCAGGGCAGAGGCTGCAATCTCGGCACTTTGGGAGGCCAAGGCAGGCGGCTCGGAGGTGGAGGTTGTAGCGAGCCGAGAGCACGCCACTGCACTCCAGCCTGGGCAACATTGAGCACTGAGTGAGCTAGACTCTGTCTGCAATCCCGGCACCTCGGGAGGCCGAGGCTGGTAGATCACTCGTGGTCAGGAGCTGGAGACCAGCCCGGCCAACACGGCAAAACCCCGTCTCCACCAAAAAATACGAAAACCAGTCAGGCGTGGCAGCACGTGCCTGCAATCCCAGGCACTGGGCAGGCTGAGGCAGGAGAATCAGGCAGGGAGGTTGCAGTGAGTGGAGATGGCAGCAGTACAGTCCAGCCTCGGCTTGGCATCAGAGGGAGACTGTGCAAAGGGGAGAGAGGGAGAGGGAGAGGGGGAAAGGGAAGGGGAGGGGGAGGGGAGAGGGGAGAGGGAGAGAGGAGTGTCATTCTTATGCCTTAGCATCCTCATAGCTTAGCTCTCACTTATAAGTGAGAACATACGATGTTTGGTTTTCCATTCCTAAGTTACTTCACTTTGAATAATAATCTCCAATCTCATCCAGGTTGCTGTGAATGCCATTAATTCACTCTTCTTATAGCTGAGTAGTATCTCATTATATATATATATATATCACAGTTTCTTTATCCACTCATTGATTGATGGGTATTTGGTTTGGGTTGGTTCCATGGTTTTACAATTGCAAATTGTGCTGCTACAAATATGCATGTGCAAGTATCTTTTTCGTATAATGACTTATTTTCCAATGGATCGATATCCAGTAGTGGGATTGCTGGATCAAATGGTAGTTCTACTTTTAGTTATTTAAGTAATCTCCATACTGTTTTCCATAGTGGTTTACATTCCCACCAGCAGTATAGAAGCGTTCCCTGTTCACTGCATCCACACCAACATCTACTATTTTTTTATTTTTTGATTATAGCCATTGTTGCAGGAGTAAAGTGGTATCGCATTGCAGTTTTGATTTGCATTTCCCTGATCATTAGTGATGTTGAGCATTTTCATATGTTTGCTGGCCATTTGTATATCTTTTTTTTTTTTTTTTTTTTGAGAATTGTCTATTCATGTCCTTAGGCCACTTTTTGATGGGATTGTTATTTGTTTGAATTCATTGTAGATACTGGATATTAGTCCTTTGTCAGATGTATAGATTGTGAAGATTTTTTTTCCCACTCTGTGGGTTGTCTGTTTAGTCTGCTGAATGTTTCTTTTGCCATGCAAAATCTCTTTAGTTTAATTAACTCCCAACTATTTATCTTTGTTGTTATTGCATTTGCTTTTGGGTTCTTGGTCATGAAATCCTTACCTAAGCCAATGTCTAGAAGGGTTTTTCCAATGTTATCTTCTAGAATTTTTACAGTTTCAGGTCTTAGATTTAAGTCCTTAATCCATCTTGAGTTGATTTTTGTATAAGGTGAGAGATGAGGATCCAGTTTCAGTCTCCTACATGTGGTTAGCCAATTATCCCAGCACCATTTGTTGAAAAGAGCGTCCATTCCCCACTTTATGTTTTTGTTTGCTTTGTTGCAGATCAGTTGGCTCTAAGTGTTTGGGTTTATTTCTGGGATCTCTATTCTGTTCCATTGGTCTGTGTGCTTATTTTTATACCAGTCCCATGCTGTTTTGGTGACTATGGCTTCATAATATAGTTTGAAGTCAGGTAATGTGATGCCTCCAGATTTGTTCTTTTTGCTTAGTCTTTCTTTGGATGTACAGCCTCTTTTTTGGTTCCATATGAATTTTAGAATTGTTTTTTCTAATTCTGTGAAGATGATGGTGGTGTTTTGATGGGTATTCCACTGAATTTGTAGATTGCTTTTGGCAGTATGGTCATTTTCACAATATTGATTCTACTCATCCATGAGCATGGGATGTGTTTCCATTTGTTTGTGTCATCCATGATTTTTTTTCAGCACTCTTTTATAGTTTTCCTTGTAAAGGCCTTTCACCTCCTTGGTTAGGTATATTCCTAAGTGGTTTTTTTTTTTTGTTTTTGTTTGTTTGTTTTGGTTTTTTTTGCAGCTGTTTTAAAAGGGGTTGAGTTCTTGATTTGATTCTCAGCTTGGTCTCTGTTGATGTATAGAAGACCTACTGATTGTGTACATTAGTTTTGTATCCAGAAACTTAGCTGCATTCTTTTATCAATTCTAGGAGCTTTTTGGATGAGTCTTTAGGGTTTTCTAGATATACGATCATATCATCAGAAAACAGTGACAGTTTGAATTCCTCTTTACTGATTTGGATGCCCTTTATTCCTTTCTCTTGATTGCTCTGGCTAGGACTTCCAGTACTATGTTGAAGAGGAGTGGTGACAGTGGGCATCCTTGTCTTGTTCGAGTTCTCAGAGGGAATGCTTTCAACTTTTTCCCATTCAGTATTATGTTGGCTGTGGGTCTGTCATAGTTGGCTTTTATTATATTGAGGTATGTCCCTTGTATGCCAGTTTTGCTCAGAGTTTTAATCATAAAGGGATGCTGGATTTTGTTGAATGCTTTTTCTGCATCTATTGAGATGATCATGTGATTTTTGTTTTTAATTCTGTTTATGTGATGTATCATATTTATTGACTTGAGTATGTTAAACCATACCTGCATCCCTCGTATGAAACCCACTTGATTATGGTGGATTATCTTTTTGATATGTTGGATTCGGTTAGCTAGTGTTTTAAGGATTCCAGCATCTATGTTCATTAGGGATATTGGTCTGTAGTTTTCTTTTTTGGTTATGTCCTTTCCTGGTTTTGGTATTAAGGTGATACTGGCTTCATAAAATGATTTAGGGAGGGTTTCCTCTTTCTCTGTCTTGTGGAATAGTGTCAATAGGATTGGTACCAATTCTTTAAATGTCTGGTGGAATTTTCCTGTGAATTCGTCTGGACCTGGACTTTTTTTGTTGTTAATTTTTAAATTAACATTTCAATCTCAGTGCTTATTATTGGTCTGTTCGTGGTATCTAATTCTTTCCTGACTTAAGCTAGGAGGGTTATATCTTTCCAGGAATTTATCCATCTCTTCTAGGTTTTCTAGTTTATGTGTGTAAAGGTGTTCATTAAGTAGCCTTGAATGATCTTTGGTATTTCTGCAGTGTCAGTTGTAATATCCCCTGTTTTGTTTCTTATTGAGCTTATTTGGATTTTCTGTCTTCTTTTTTTGGTTAATCTTGCTAATGGTCCATCAATTTTATTTATTTTTTCAAAGAACCAGCTTTTTGTTTTATTTATCTTTTGTATTTTTTGTTTGTTTGTTTCAATTTCATTTAGTTCTGCTCTGATCTTGGTTATTTCCTTTCTTCTGCTGCATTTGTGTTTGGTTTGTTCTTGTTTCTCTAGTTCCTTGAGGTGTGACCTTAGATTGTCTGTTTGTGCTCTTTCAGACTTTTTGATGTAGGCATTTAGGGCTATGAAATTTCCACTTAGCACCACCTTTGCTGTGTCCCAGAGGTTTTGATACGTTGTGTCACTATTGTGGTTCAGTTTGAAGAATTTTTAAATTTCCATCTTGATTTCATTTTTGACCCAGTGATCACTCAGGAGCAGGTTATTTAATTTCTATGTATTTGCATGGTTTTGAATGTTCCTTTTGGAGTTGATTTCCAGTTTTATTCCACTGTGGTCTGAGAGAGTGCTTGATACAATTTTGATTTTCTTAAATTTATTGAGGCTTGTTTTGTGGCCTATCATATGGTCTATCTTGGAGAAAGTTCTATACACTATTGAATAGAATGTATATTCTGCGTATGTTGGATGGAATGTTCTGTACATATCTGTTAAGTCCATTTGTTCCAGGGTATAGTTTAAATCCATTGTTTTTTTTTTTGTTGTTGACTTTCTGTCTTGATGACCTGTCTAGTGCTGTCAGTGGAGTATTGAAGTCCCCCACTATTATTGTGTTGCTGTCTATCTCATTTCTTAGGTCTGTTAGTAATTGTTTTACAAATTTGGGAGCTCCAGTGTTAGGTGCATATATGTTTAGGATTGTGATATTTTCCTGTTGGACAAGGCCTTTTATCATTATATAATGTGCTTCTTTTATCATTATATAATGTTCTTCTTTGTCTCTTTTAACTGCTGTTGCTTTAAAGTTTGTTTTGTTTGATATGAGAATAGCTACTCCTGCTTGCTTTTGGTGTTTGTTCACATGAAATGTCTTTTTCTACCACTTTACCTTAAGTCTGTGCGAGTCCTTATGTGTTAGGTGAGTCTCCTGAAGGCAGCAGATCGTTGGTTGGTGAATTCTTATCCATTCTGCTATTCTGTATCCTTTAAGTGGAGCATTTAGGTCATTTACATTCAACGTTAGTATCGAGATGTGAGGTACCATTCCATTCATCATGCTATTTGTTGCCTGTATACTTTAGTTATTGGTTTTGGGTTTTTTTAATTGTAGTTTTGTTTTATAGGTCCTGTGAGATTTATGCTTTAAAGAGGTTCTATTTTGATGTGTTTCCAGGATTTGTTTCAAGATTTGGAGCTCCTTTTAGCAGTTCTTGTAGTGGTAGCTTGGTAGTGGTGAATTCTGTCAGCATTTGTCTGAAAAAGACTGTATCTTTTCTTCATGTATGAAGCTTAGTTTTGCTAGATACAAAATTCTTGTCTGATAATTGTTTTGTTTGAAGAGACTGACCAAACCCTTCCGGCTTATAGGGTTTCTGCTGAGAAATCTGCTGCTAATCTGATACGTTTTCCTTTATAGGTTACCTGGTGCTTTTGTCTCACAGCTCTTAAGATTCTTTCCTTCATCTTAACTTTAGATAACTCAATGACAATGTGCCTAGGCAATGATCTTTTTGTGATGAATTTCCCAGCTATTCTTTGTGCTTCTTGTATTTGGATGTCTGGGTCTCTAGCAAGGCTGGGGAAGTTTATTCCCCTCAATCATTCCCCCACATATGTTTTCCAAACTTTTAGATTTCTCTTCTTCCTCAGGAACACTGATTATTCTTAGGTTTGGTCATTTAACATAATCCCAGACTTCTTGGAGGCTTTGTTCTTACTTTCTTATTCTTTTTTCTTTGTCTTTGTTGGATTGGGTTAATTCAAAGACCTTGTCTTTGAGCTCTGAATTTCTTTCTTTTACTTGCTCAATTCTATTGCTGAGACTTTTCAGAGCATTTTGCATTTCTATAAGTGTGTCCATTGTTTCCTGAAGTTTTGATTGTTTTTTATTTATGCTATCTGTTTCCTTGAGTATTTCTCCTTCACTTCTTGTATCATTTTTTGGATTTCCTTACACTGGGCTTTGCCTTTCTCTGGTGCCTCCCTAATTAGCTTAATAACTAACCTCCTATTCTTTTTAAGGTAAACTGGGGATTTCTTCTTGATTTGGGCTCCTTGCTGGTGAGCTAGTGTGATTTTTTTGGAGGTGTTAAAGAACCTTGTTTTGTCATATTACCAGAGTTGGTTTTCTGGTTCCTTCTCATTTGGGTAGGCTCTGTCAGATGGAAGGTCTAGGGCTGAAGGCTGTTGTTCAGATTCTTTTGTCCTGTGGGTGTTCCCTTGATGTAGTACTCATCCCCTTTTCCTATGGATGTGGCTTCCTGAGAGCTGAGCTGTAGTGATTGTTATCTCTCTTCTGGATCTAGCCACCCAGCGAGTCTACCAGATTCCAGGCTGGTACTGGGGGTTGTCTGCACAGAGTACTGTGATGTGAACCATTTGTGAGTCTCTCAGCCAAGTATACCAGCACAGTATTTGGGGTGTCTCCTGGGTCCTGCAGGAGCAATCCACTTACTTCAGGGAGTCTGTGGGTCCTCTCAGCTTTCCTGATTTATTCCTGCAGTTGTTCTGGAGCAAAAATTGACTATGCGAGCCTCCACACACTGCTCTGTCCATCCAAGTTGGAGCTGCAATCTAGTCCTGCCTCCCATTCACTGTGATCCCCCATTTATTTATTTATTTATAAAAAGTGGACTAAGGCACCTAAATCTTAGAACCCAAGTTCCACTTAATGAATAGGTCAACTCTAGAAAGAACTCAGAAGGTAACAGCAAGACCTATGATTCTAAATGCCAAAATCCTTAAAGGCATTTGCAAATGCAGTTGAAAAATAGTCCAATTTTCCAGTTGCCTCATTATAGCTTTTCTCCTCGATGACAGGTAGGTAGATAGGTACTGGATCACCTTCAAATGGCTGGTGCAGAACAATTTCTAGTCATTGATTTTTGTGCAGTAGTTTTGGTCTTTGATATCAGTGCTGTGTGAAAGTTTTCTTTGTCTTTTATTTGTCCTGAAACAGTTTGAATAGCATCGGAAATATATATTCTATTTTGGAGAATTTCCTTTTTAACACTCTGGGACTGGTACTTTCTTCTTACTGCCGTTGGAGTAGCTCAGTGATACCTTCTTCTATTTCTTCTATGGAAATTCATCTGTTAAGAATTTTAATTTCTCCACTAGTTAGTTCTTTCAAGTTATTTTTTCTTTTATAATTATCTATTTAATCTAGGTTTTAACATTTTTTTGCATAGAGATGAGCAAAATAGGCTCTTATAGTTCTTTTATTTTAATTGGCATCTGTATTTTCTTCTATCATTTTTATTTCGTTGTATTTCTTTTTCCTTCCTTAATTGGTTGGGTAAATTTTCATTAGTTTATTTAAAGAACTAGCTTTCAGATTTTGTTTATTCCACATTTTCCCCTAGTTTATTAATTTCCACTTTTATCTTTATTTTCTTCTTTTTGCTTTTATAGGTATTTTTTTTCATCTTTTACATTTTCAGTTGGATATGTCCACCTACAAAGAAGCAGAGACACAAAATACAACTTTAAATGTTTACTTGTGCCAAAGTGAAAACAGCTGCCTGGAAGACTCAGACCCCAGTAACCTTGGATATGAGCTTATTTCTGCCTTTGTCACCAGTATGTTTTTAAAAGCAAAAAGAGGCCACAAGGAGTGGGCTGATATAAAGCTGTTTGTCAGGAATTTTCATTGGTTTACACAGATGACATTGATTAGTGATTGGCTATACACTCTATGGGCTACGGTGTCCTGTGTGTGGCATTGTTAGGTTAATTTATAGCCACTCATGGGATAGCTAGCAGTTTTAAGACAGGATTCCTTAGCCCAAGGAGGGAAGTGGTCTGTGACTGCTGTCTCATTCCCACGCGCCTCTGGGGACTGATCATTTAGAGGAGGTTTGCATTCCTCAGATAAAAGCTCCTTTTCTTTCTCAGATGCTAAATTAGTTATTATTTACATTTAAAATTTTCACATGTCATGTGGCCTCTTTTGTGAACTGCTTTCGTTATTAATTTCTAGTTTTAATGTAGCATGATAAGCAAATCTTTTCTCTGCTGTTTTAACTTTAAGTCCTGATGTTGTCTTTATGGCTTAAAATGTGGTCAGTGTTAGGAGCAGCATGGCTGCTCAGGAGGTTACAGGGAGTTGCAGCCCTGTGTCCCTCCTGTATGGTGAGTGTGGGCTGGCTCCAGGTATCTGCTATCTGCTGAGCCCCTTTGCTCACCCTTTTCCGTGGTCCTCATAACCACACCCCACCCACCAGTGGGAAAGGCTGATGAGGGAGAGGGGATGTTGGGGGGGAGAAAAGAGAGAGAGAAAGAGAGGGAGGAAGGGGAGAGAAAGGAAAACAGATGGAGAGGGAGGGAGAGAGAGAGGCAAACATTGGGTAAGATGAGGTTGAGGATCAGGATTCTGGGTGATCCTCCCACAGGGTTGGCCCTCTGTCCTGAGTAGGAAAACATAACCCTGTTTTACCCTTTTCACTGGAAATCCCAATTCCTTGAACAACCCAGGTGGCCCAAGCCTCTTCCTTTGTGTCTTCTGCCCTGCCTTGCCTATGAAGACCCCTGCAGCATGGGCACTCCCACCTCATCACACAGCCTCTCACAATTTTGGAGATTATTTCATTTGCCACCTTTTGGAATCACTGTCCTAGATGTTTCTCTACAATGGACTTGGCTTTGCTGTGTGAATCATTCTGATCATTCTTATTTGAGATATGTGAGTTTAGTGATTTTTGTCTTTATTGAAATGACAGATGTTTGTCATATTTTACATTATGGGCTCTGTGTGCATTTTAAAATACATTTCATTAAATAGTCTTTTCTTTCTTTTGTATGTTCATCTGAGTTAGCCTTCTGATACTTGAAAGGTTTGTGCCTTGTTTTAGTTGACCTCTTTTATTTATAAAATGTCCTTATCCCTCTGTTTCTTTAGCGTATCCATTCATCAGCTACTATGAGCAATGATGAAATTAGAATATTTCCCATCTTCCTCTTCCCTTCTCTCTTCTTTATCACCAATTTTACTCATTTTTTTCTCATATATGCTTTCACCTTTCTTAATTGCTTTGTTAAATCTTCATGTCTTTTGATTTCCAGCAATTACTAATGAGGCAATCTGCATTATTCCACAGCTCCTACCTCTTCTCTTCCCCAGCCCAAATTTCGTTTACTGTATGATTTCTACATTGTCAGAACATGAAATGTTTACCTTTTTTTCTGCTACTTATGTATTAGTTTGTTCTTGCATTGCTATAAAGAAATACCTGACACTGGATAATTTATAAAGAAAAGAGATTTAATTGGCTCACAGTTCTGCAGACTGTATAGGAAACATTGATGTGGGCATCTGCTCAGCTTCCGGGGAAGCCTCAGGAAACTTACAATCATGGCAGAAAGCGAACAGGGAACACACACGTTACATAGCCGGAGTAGGAGCAAGAGGGGGGGAGGTGCCACACACTTTTAAAAGACCAGATCTCATGAGAACTCACTATCATGAGGACAGTACCAAGTGGCAGGGATTGGGGGTGACACTAAACCATTCATGAGAAATCTGCCACCATCATCCAATCACCACCCACCTCCTCACCGCCAGTGCTGAAGGCCCAACCTTCAATACTGGGGAATGCAATTCGACATGAGATTTGGTGGGGGCACAGATCCAAATCATATCAACCTGCTTTCCCACATTAGTCTTAGTTCCGGTTCTAGAGCTAATATATTCGGTCCTCACTCAGCTTTTTTTTGGCATGGTGTTCCTGTTTGGTTGTCTGAAGTTTGTCCTCTAGTAGATTTTTTTTAGGAAAATTCATGCAATAAGCTTCCTCTAAGTTCCCATATTCAAAACTGTTGCTGCCATTATGTTGGAACGACAGTGTGCTGGCTCTGGACTCCTTGGACACATGTTCTTTTCCTGGGGAATCTGGTTGTCTTTCCATTCTGTTCTCTCCTGTAACCATGGTTCTCCAAGTTTGGCCCAGCAGCATCATGACCACCTGAGACTGGCTTAGAATACAGACTCTCAGGCCCACTGCAGACCTACTGAATCAGAAATTCAGCTGGTGGCCCTGACACTCTGTCTGAAGAAGCCTCCCTGAAATTCTCCATTCTGTCTTTCTTACCTTGTGGTGATTCCAAAGTCAGCCTTCTTTTTTCCCCGTCATTGATTAATGTTTTTCTGTGATTGTCATGAGAATTATTTCTTTTCTTTTTTTTTTTTTTTTTTTTTTTGAGACACAGTCTCACTCTGTTGCCCAGGCTGGAGTACAGTGGCATGATCTCGGCTCACTGCAACCTCCATCTCCTGGGTTCAAGTGATTCTCATGCCTCAGCCTCCCAGGTAGCTAGGATTACAGGCATACACCACCACGCCTGGCTGATTTTTGTATTTTTAGTAGAGATGGCATTTCACCATGAAGGCCAGGCCAGGCTCAAACTCCTGACCTCAAGCGATCCACCCGCCTCAGCCTCCCAAAGTGCTAGGATCACAGGTCTGAGCCACCGTGCCCAGCCGGTAGTTATTTCTTTATTTGCAACTCCAGCAGCTTTGCCAGCACGTGTCTAAGTGCTGGCCACTCTGGGTCACCTTTCTCCAGCACATGGTGTACCTTTTCAATGTGTCCTTTGTTTCAGGAAAGATTTCTTGAATTAGATCTTTACATTGTTTCTATTCCAATATGTCAGCTTTCTTTTTGGGAGACTGGCATACATCTATTAGTTCTCTTTTGTCTTTTCAAATCTTTTTTGTTTTTCCTTTTTCATCTGATCCGCTTTCCTCATATTTTCCTCTGCATCCCTTCTTTTGTGTTCTACACTTTCCATTCTCCATTATACTCTAAAATGTTGACTTTGTTTCCTTCCAAGACCAGATGCTCTCTGGTCTTCCATCTCAGAAGATAACGATTCCTCAAGTTGTTCAGTCCTGTTCTTGTGGACAGTGTTTTTCTGATAAATTATCTTAATCTATTATGAGTATTTCCTGAATTTTCCCTCTTGACTCTTATAGTATCTTGTACATGCTGAATGGTCTTTTCTCCCTCCTTTTCTCCCTTTATCCTTCCCTCCCTTCTTCTTTCCTGCCTTCCTTCCTTTCTTCCTTCCTTTCTTTTTTTTTTTTTCTTCACAGCATTACTCATAATTTAAAGAGTTGCATTTTTTTCTGAACTAACTGCTGGTGGAGTGTGTGTGTGTGTGTTGCGTACACACATGTATGCGTGTTGATGATATTCACAGCCACTGAGCCCTTTGGCAACTGAGTTCTCACTTTAGGACGTTTTCTGTTTTCTTCCTTCAATACGGTTCCTGCTCATGCATGCTTGATATTTGCCGCTTTTAGCAGTTTTTGCGTCTATTTTGTATTCTGAACATGCTAGCTACCTCCTAGTTTCACTAAACAAAGAGAGAAAAAGTTTTTATTTTTATTCACTGTTTTCCTTTTTGTTTTTGGATTAACTCCTAGAAGATTAAGTAGAAGGCTAAGTATATCTCTATTTCACATCAGGACTTGCTCTATTATAATAATTTTAAGCATCTGCAACTTTGATACATATTCATTGGTTTCTTTTGTTGTTTTATGAATAAAGTAAGGAATTGGTATTTGTATTAGGCCATTCTCCAATTGCTATAAAGAAATACTTCAAACTAGGTAACTTATAAAGAAAAGAAGCTTAATTGGCTCACGGTTCTGCAGGTTTTACAGTAAGCACGGGTGCCGACATTTGCTTAGCTTCTGGGGAGGCTTCAGGAAGTTTACAATCATGGTAGAAGGCTACAGGGCAGCAGGCACAGCACACAGTAAAAGCAGAAATGAGAGAGAGTGAGATGCCACACACTTTTAAATAGCCAGATTTCAAGAGAAGTCACTCACTATCGCAAGGACACCACCAAAGGATGGTACTAAACCATTCATGAGGAATCCACTCCCATCATCCAGTCACCTCCCGCCAAGCTCTACCTCCAACTTTGGGTATTACAATTCGACACATTAGATTAGGGAGAGGTAAACATCCGAACTATATCAGTATTACATCTTTTATCAGGGGTTAAGTCTAAAGTCAACTTGAGGCTAGGTGCAGTGGTTCATGCCTGTAATCCCAGCACTTTGGGAGGCTGAGGTGGATCACCTGAGGTCAGGAGTTCGAGACCAGCTTGGCCAACATGGTGAAATCCTGTCTCTACTAAAAATACACACACACACACACACACACACACACACACACAAAATCAGCTGGGCGTGGTGGCGGACACCTGTAATCCGAGCTACTTGGGAGGGTGAGGCAGGAGAATCGCTTGAATCCAGGAGGAGAGGTTGCAGTGAGCTGAGATCATGCCACTGCACTCTAGCCTGGGCGACAGAGTGAGACTCTATCTTAAAAAAAAAAAAAGTCAACTTGAAAGTAAGATATGCCTGGCCGGGCGCGTTGGCTCACGCCTGTAATCCCACCACTTTGGGAGGCCAAGGAGAGTGGATCATGAGGTTGGGAGATCGAGACCATCCTGGCTAACACGGTGAAACCCTGTCTCTACTAAAAATACAAAAACAAAATTAGCCAGGCATGGTGGCGGGCACCTGTAGTCCCAGCTACTCAGGAGGCTGAGGCAGGAGAATGGCGTGAACCTGGGAGGCAGAGCTTGCAGTAAGCCAAGATCATGCCACTGCACTTTAGCCTGGGCGACAGAGCAAGACTCTGTCTCAAAAAAAAAAAAAAAAAGAAAGTAAGATATGCCTAAGATTTGGTCACAAAGATTTCCAATGCCAAATTCCTCTGAGTCCGTGGAGTGTATTCTTAACTATTATATAAACTGCCTTTTCTAACTTGTGGTCGTGAAATCTGCCTTTTGACATGAAACAACACGTAGCACACTCTTAGTTAAGTTCTGGTTCCTGTGCATGGGATGACCTGCATGGCTATCTATTTCACTTTCTACTTGTCATTAAAATTCCTGTGCAAAATTATTTTGGACACAGTTAAGAGGAGCAGTATTGTAAGAAAATTGCAATAGAGTTATGAATGTTGTCTCAACATTTGAGATATAGCTTCCAAGATGAGAATACAATTTGGGAAAGTGTACCTATTTCTTCTACATGTTAATCTGAGTTGTGCTTAGAGTACGATGCCCTTCTCTCTGGCCTCTGCTTATCACAGTATTCCCAAATCCTCCTGCATGCTACCATGTTCACTATTCTTCCCCAGAGATAGACTTTTACTCTTTAAGATCATTCCCTTTTTTCTTCTTATTATGCTGCTAGTAGATCCACATATTATTCCATATAATTTGGATGCAGCAAGTGAAGAGAGAAATGACTATCTTAATTCCTAAGAAAGCATTGCATACTCTAGGCCTATAGCACATTGTTTAACCTTTTGAGCTTCAGTATTCCATTCTGTAAACTTGATTGGTCCTTTGATAAACATTTATTATGTATGTACTAAGTGTTCTGTGATGAGGTTTGAGGACAAGAAAGACAGAGAATGTAGTGAGTCTGAGAGGGAAACCTGGCCCACGTTCTGTAGTCAGATGCCAGGTGAAGCCAGTGATTCTGCCTGGGTCATTCAAAGAGGCTCATGGTAGGTGCGAGTTGGCCAGATGGAGGCACAAAGAAGGATGTTGTAAACTGAGATAAGCCTGCACAGGGGCATATTTGTGATGGAGACCGGCCGTCTGAGCAGTGGAGCCTGGTTTTGTGTGGCTGATGCATCAGTTGTGGGCCTGGTGGAGTCAAGGATGAGTGATGGGAACCAGCTCAGCTGAGAGGGAAGGGCTCAGGTACAGATTTGCTCCTGTGACACATGAGGAATCACTTAACATTATCAAGCTGGGGAATGACACAATCAAATGTACAGTTTAAGAATATTGTGTAGGGAGTTGAGGTTAGAGAATTGCTAATGTCTTTCCAGTTCAGTGGAATTGTATTGACAGTCTATTGCTGTGTTAACAAGCCACCCTAAACTTAGTGCCTTAAAACATAACCTTTTATTCAGCTCCCAGTTCTGCTGGGAGTTCTTCAGGTCTGAGCTGGTCTTAGAGGGGCTCACTCACAGATCTGCAGCCAGTCTCCTGGAGGAGACTGACCCTTGGCTGGGGCCATGGGGAGACTCAGTCATGTGTATCTCATCCTTCAGCAGACTAGGCCAGGCTATTCACATGGAAATGACATGGTCCCAATGACAATGACAGAGGTCCCAAGACAAGAAAGAGAGGGCAAGCCCCAGTGTGCAAGCACTTTGAAAATCCACTGGCCATATGATTAGCACTGATTCGAGGGGTGAAGCAATAGTCTTCTCCACTTAATGAGAGGAGCCACAGAGTCATATTATAGTTGTATTGTAAGTGTGTGAAAAACGGATAAGGGTTTGGGACCATTTTTGTCATCCATCATCATAGTTATTTGATATATTCCCATTTGGCTGTTTAAGTATTATTTGTCTAGCTGTGGGATAACTAATATCTATTTTCTTCCTTATGAATATTTCCTACTGCAGAGGATTGGCAACGTAATTCACAAGGCCCAGTGGAAAATGAAAATGCAGGACTCCTTGCTAAAAATAATTATGAAGAATTTCAAGATAGCAGAGCATTAAATCACTCACATAGCTCCATTGCGTGAGGGGCTCTGTGCAACTGTATGGGTCACATGCCCATGAAATGGCCCTGCTGCTACAAGAGACAAGAAAGATCACCTCTCCTGTATCAGTTCCCATATTAATCACCCCATTTTGACCATTCTACAAATGTTAACTGTTATGCTTGTTATTAAAAATTCATCAAGTGTCCGTTCATTCTTATTTTTCCAGAAGGAGTCTATATGCTCAAGGCTGTTATTTATAACGAGTTTCATGGAACCGAAGTGGAGCTTGGGCCTTATTATGTGGAGATTGGCCATGAGGCCGTGTCTGCGTTCATGAACTCCAGCAGTGTCCATGAAGATGAAGTGCTTGTCTTTGCTGACTCCCAAGTGAATCAGAAAAGTAAGACGTATGTCTGGAGTCTGAGCAAGCACACTTCAACTATAAATGAAGCAGGGTATCTCCGCTTTACTTATACTGTTCAAGTTATAGCAGTTCTAAATTTGATACAACATCCTTCATTCATTCTTCCCTAATTCAGAAAATATGTCTTGCAGAATACTGTGTTCTGAGGGAACATGAAGATAAAGTCATACAAAGTCTTCATCTCAAGGAATCTATTATCTTAGTGAAAATATTAAGATATGCATAGGAGCAAGATGAGACACGACATTAAAAATGCTTAGGAAGGATATGGCTAAGGGGCTGGGAGATTTTAGGAGATAGGAACTTTATCTAACTGTGGGGACAGGGCACATCTGAGGTGGGAGCTGGCATACATAATGAGCCTTGCAGCACGGGCTGGAGGCACATTTTGGTCAGACAGCATGGCCTTGAGCTAAAACAGAATTGAGAAAGCATCCGGTGCTCACTGAGTGTGCCAGGTGCACACTGATGCATTGATGAAGGACAAAATATCCATTCCACTTTATCCACTGCTAACGCCTCACTCGTGTCACCCCACTTTATCCGCACAGCTACCTGTAAGGGAGGTATTTGCTTCATGTCAGTTTTGTAGAGGGAGGGACCGGAAGCTCAGAGGCCATTGGGGGTGGGAATGGGGAACTCCAGCCACTTACCGTAGAAAAAAGAGTCCCTACACTTTGCAACAAAGCAAATGGGAGCCAGCCAGAGGCACTCCCAAAGTGCCCAGCCTACATGGGTGGGATGATGGGGTCACATTTCCCAGAAACAGGAGAAAGGAGGATCCAATGAAGGGATGAGTCTCAGTGAACTCATCCATGTAAGAATTCTTTCCAGCTGTTCCACACAGTGGCTGTACCTGTTTATAATCAGACTAGTGAGAAACTCTCCATCCAAGAAGTTATGACATACATATGGAAGGATTTTTTTAACCTGTTTGCCTACCCTAACTAGCCGGTTGGTCATTCATATTGACTTGTCTTATCTAAACCTGAATAAATAAGCAGCACGTCTAGCCAGTGCAAGGGCACAATTCTTGTAAATTTCCGATGGTTCCATGCCAGGATTTAGAATAGGAAGGTCCAAGTTTGCATCCAGCCCTACAGATTGATAATAGGGTATTCTTGTGCAAATCTGTAAACTATATCTTTTTTTTTTAACACTTTTGATTATCAGATTGTGCTCAGAATTAATTTTCAGGCATGCTTAATGAGACCATGTGATATTTATTTATCATATATCTATTTTTAGTCATATGATATTTATTTTTCAAAAATTCTGATGCATTGATGAAGGACAGAATACCCATTCTGCTTTATCTCTGTTATAAACAAGTATTTTCTCTTTATAAAGAGAAAATTATGCAGAAGAACAGTAGTAATAATAAATAACCCTCCTTTCTTAATACCCTTTTATGATAAATGAGTTGCTCTAAATCTTCTTAGACATCACAGTACTCTTTCAGAATCTGATTCAGTGTTTGGTATCCACCTCCATATGTATGTACATACATATGTACATGCATGTGTGGTATGTCATAGGAGGGTATGTGTGATATGTGTGTACATGTGCATATGTGTATAGTGCATATGCTGTGTATGGTGTGTATATGGTATGTATGTGTGTATATGCTATATGTGTGGTATGTGTATGGTGTGTGTACATGTATATATACATATATGCACAATCTTACATTACATCTTATAGGACTTAAAAGCACAAGGCTTATTAGACCCCTATTTAAGAACTCCTGTGAAGTGAAGACTACTTAGTGTACATATTGAGAAATACTTTAAAAACAAGGCCATCTATCAAAGTAATTAACATATTTCAAAGGAATTAGCATATTTAATACCATGCAGGGAGTTCTCATTTAGAGAAAATATACAAAGAAAAATTTAATGACAGAAATTCTGTGATTAAGTTTATGTTTCCCAGGTATGTCTGATTTCAGAGCACATGCTTAGAATTTTGAAATTTATTGAGATTCAAAGGGGGAAAGTTAAAAATGAAAAATACTGACTGTGTGTTGCATGATAAAAGTGAATTAATTTTAAGACTTTTTCTCTTATCTCCTTTTTTTCTCATTTTAGGCACTGTGGTTATACATCACTTTCCATCTATTCCTTCATATAACGTGTCCTTTATTTCTCAGACTCAAGTGGGTGACAGCCAGGCTTGGCACAGCATGACTGTCTGGTATAAGATGCAATGTATGTCTTTGTTTTAATTCCAGATTTAACAAAAACCTCCCTCGCGCAGTCAGCTGAGATTAGGAAAGCCGTAGGCAGCAGCAGGTTTTGTTATCGGCTCTGCTGGAGAGCCCCATTTGTCATTGAACAGGTTCTTTGTTCATCTGCCATTTGTTCTGGGAATTTTCTGAAACCACAGGCATTAAGGCTCCCAATTGAAGGAATGGGAAGGTGGGTTATCGGGACTGTTATCTGCCAGCTCCATGTGCCACACCCTTTCTAGCAGAATCTCAAAGGGAGTTGGCCCTATGGCCTTAGGAGCACCTCCTGTGCAAGCACTTTGGGGCCTTTGAACCAGGGCCAGCACTGCCTACCGCGTGCCCACAGCTGCATCCTTGCTGCCAATCTGCATGCATATCAGAGCTTCCTCACCATCACTCAAGCCCATGACCAAGTGGGAAAGTAGAGGTACTAGTTTCTCTGGAGATTCCAGCCCTCCTATGTTGACATAGACATACCTTCCTTTCTTTTGCCACAGCCGTCTCTGTCTACACAAATGGAACTGTGTTTGCCACAGACACAGACATTACATTTACAGCTGTTACCAAGGAAACAATACCCCTGGAATTTGAGTGGTATTTTGGAGAGGATCCACCAGTGAGGACAACTTCAAGAAGCATTAAAAAAAGACTCAGCATCCCCCAATGGTCAGTAAAAGTAGCAGTCCTGCTGAGTAGCTGTTTGTACTGCAGCCTATACTCAGTCTGAAGATCACCATGCTGCTACCGAAGGCATTTTATGGCTGTTGCATTTGTATTATAATGGGCCACTAGGTCCTTCTGTGAAGCAAACTCAACATAAGATTTAAGGGAAGATTTCGTTCATTTCTCTTCAGCTTGAACTAAGGGAAACGGTGTAGGGCTTTGAAGCAGACAGTCCTAGGTTCGAATTCTATCTCGGCCACCCATGTGACCTAAGAAATTCCTCATCTAAGAAAGGGCAATGATGCTTACCCCTACTGCTTTGAGAAATGAATTAAATAATGAAGAGGGGGGTAGTCAAAAATATCAACCCCCTTCTCCTCAATAAGATGAAAATCACTAGATACTTTTGTAGTTCTTACAAATTAAATGCTGCCTCCCCCTCCCCCGCCTTCCTCTTAAAGTATAGCAGACGGTTTCTCTAGACCTGACCCTGTTCTTGTCTTGCCATCTGCCTTCCCTGCCCTCCTTTCCCCATCCTGCAGGTATCGTGTGATGGTTAAGGCTTCCAACAGGATGAGCAGTGTGGTCTCTGAGCCCCATGTCATCAGGGTGCAGAAGAAAATTGTGGCCAATCGGCTCACGTCCCCCTCCTCAGCTCTGGTAAATGCCAGTGTGGCCTTTGAGTGCTGGATCAACTTCGGCACAGATGTTGCCTACCTGTGGGACTTTGGGGATGGCACCGTCAGCCTGGGGAGCAGCTCCAGCAGCCATGTCTACAGTAGGTGAGCCACTGCAAGGCGGCGGAGTGCTCTCTACAGACAGCGCGGGAATCAGAGTCTTAAGGCATCAGCCCTTGGGTTCCACATAGAGACCTGCCTGTCAGTCAACGTAGGTGACAGATGATTACACAGAGACAAATAAGACCTGACCATGCTTCTCAAGGAGCTCCTAGTCCAGGGGAAAGACAAAGAGGAAAGAGATGCTTTCAGTACAGGGGCTGTGGCTGCAAAGGAGGCCTGTGATGTGGTGGGGATGGCTTACTGAAAGTGATATCTTGAGTAGGAGCTTGACAAAGGGAAATGGGAGAGAGGCTCCCAAACAGTGACAAGGTCCTGGGCAAAGGTGCTAAGTGAGGTGCCAACAGGAGATGTTTGGAGTGACTGGCAAGACGTATATAGAAGGGTGAGATGAGTGTAGGTTGGCAGATTGTGAAGGGCCTTGATGTCATATGGAAGAGCATGAACTCTGTCCTTTAACTCTGCATTTACTGAGTGTCCACTGTGTACCTGGGACAAAGCATCGTGGAGATATGATAAGGTGCAGACTGGCTGGATCACTCATTCCCAGCCGAGCCTCTAGGGTGAGTCCTAGGACCCAAGTGGATCTAATCCTTTCAGTAGGGAGACACACATGGTCAAGGCTGAGCCTCAGGCTGGCATCAAAACTTTATGCTGCTGTAGGGAAATGTCAAAGGGTGCAGAAGTATCTAGAAAATGAGGTTCGTGTAGGCAGTGGCATCAGGGAAAGATTGCAAACTTCCTCCAATGCAAGATTTCCATGAGAACCCACACTGCAGCCTCTCCACGCTTTGGTGGGGACTGAATGGCCCCATCACTAACTATGGATTCAGGACTTTTTCATCAGAAATAGATTTTCACATAAGGAAAGAATTGAGCAGTAGTGGCTTGTAGATTGGTGCATGCTCAATTGAGCACATGGTGGCCTAGGTACCTGGCGATATACTCGGTAGCTCCAGAAGCCCTTTTGTGCCCTGTGGAAGTGACATGGTTTATTCGGTGCCTCCACTGTCATCTCTAGAGTGTGCCCTGGGCGCTCTGACAACCTGAGAAAACCATCTAGTCTTCATTCTTATCAGTAGGCCCTACCTTTCTTGCTGGAGCTCCAGGATGGCAAGTGATATTCTGGTCCTTGCAAACTCAAATTTGTGGTCTTCTGATGGGAATATTTTTCTCTTTCAAATTCAGAAGTCTTAAGTAGTTATCCATGTTGCAACATTTGCAAAATAACCACTTATTTCCTTAGTAAAGCACTACCTGCTGGGTCAGGAGCTACCCAGCTCTCACCTCCAACTGTCCTGAATCTCTCCACAGCTGTGACATGCTCCCCTTACCCGGAGACAGGCTATGGATCTATCCTGTCCTTCCTGAGTTTGTAGGACTCTAAGAAATTGGTCAGGAAAACTGATCCATGGAGCAGGAAATAGAACAGGAAGACCATCCCCGGAGACCCCCCAGTTATGGGTTGGGGTACCCATCACACAGAGAAAATATATAGATCTGTTCTGTTATCAAAAGGGGGCCAGGTCATGGCTGTGGGGAGGGTTGCCCAAAGAAGGAAGCAACATGCCCCTCACATAGATGTATTGTTTGAATATAGCATGTGACATCGGTCTGGGAGTTTGGTACTTGGCCTGGCCCAGGCTAGCTGGGGAGCCAGTCTGTTGATTAAATGATGAAAGACCTCTGTGGAAATCAGTCTTGTGACCCTTGACTCTTCTGTTCTTATTCATGGGATGACTTGCTGTCAAATACTATAATTCTGCAGATATGAGTGGGTATGAAGAGTGAATGAAAGCCTGACGTTCATCAACATAAATTTGTTCATTTCTGTGCTTTCCACCGTCCCAGGGAAGGAGAATTTACAGTGGAGGTCCTTGCCTTCAATAATGTCAGTGCCTCCACTCTAAGACAGCAACTTTTCATCGTGTGCGAGCCCTGCCAGCCACCCCTGGTGAAGAACATGGGGCCTGGGAAAGTCCAGGTAGGCTCGGAGTCTGGGAAATCCTCCACCAGCCTCTTTTCAGCCTCCCTCTGAGTTGGGACCACTGTTTGGAGTGGTGAGAGTTTGGGGCATGAAGCGAGGCTTTGTCCAGTTTATCCTACTGCAATTTACACAAAGGAGTGCCTATAAGGGCTTCAGAGCGGGTGACCTGGGTCCTCAGGGGAGGGAGGGCTACCCCAGCCTGGACAGGAGGAGACAGTGTCATTTCTGGGGTCTGGTGTGTGAATAAGTTCTTTATTCGCCTGCATTACTCTGGCATTCAGCACAGCTCACTTTAAGGAGCTCTTTTCTTTTCTTTTTTTTCTTTTCTTTTCTTTTCTTTTCCTTTCCTTTCCTTTCTTTTTTTGGATTATGCTAAGAACTGTAGCATTTTCAGGAGAATGAAACATTTGAATATATGTAACACCAAAATGAAAGGACATGATCGGTTATCTGTTGAACACCTATTCTGGGTTAGAAAAAATAGGGTTGGTTTTTATTTCTTTCATTCCTTTGAGGCCTGTGATTCAGAGCAAATTTTCCTTTTCAGGGCAGAGGTGCTCAAATGACACATGGGAATTAAAATCCGTGACTAAGCTGCATTTGCTAAACTGCTTTCTGTGGCATCTGACCCCAAGAGGTCAGCCCGCAGAGGGTGCTGGTGGAGATCAGCATGCAGAGACCAAGTGCCCGGGGCAATCCGGAAAGGGTCCCGGCCCCCACACAGGCAATACCCCTGCCCACCTTTAGACCAGCGAGCACCCACGCTGTTGGGCAGGTCTGCGTGCTGGGGGAACGCGTTCTCTGGGTGTGAGATTTGGACCCAAATAGCAAAGGGACTAAAGCAAAAGGCACAGCAGGAAAAAGCACAGACCCTAGGCAGGAGGACTCTGGCTCCCGTCCTGACTCTGCTGTTAGGACATGGGACAGAGTGGTTTTCTTGAGTTTTTTATCTGTAAAACATTGTTATTTTTATTTTCTTATCTGTAAAACACAGAAAATAAGATTGATAATTTCATTTTTTCTTTTCTTTTTTTTTTTTTTTTTTTTTGAGACTCTGTTGCCCAGGCTGGAGTGCAGTGGCATGATCTTGGCTCACTATAACCTCTGCCTCCTGGCTTTAAGCGATTCTCCTGCCTCAGCCTCCCAAGTAGCAGGGATTACAGGTGTGCACCACCATGCGTAGCTAATTTTTTTAGTAGAAATGGGGTTTTGCCATATTGGCCAGGCTAGCTGGTCTTTAACTCCTGGCCTCAATTGATCCACCTGCCTTGGCCTCCCAGAGTTCTGGGATTATGGACCTGAAGGACCCTGCCCGGTCATTTTTTCTTTATTTTACGTGTTTTCTAAAAGTATAAAGAAAAAAATGAAATCATCTCAAATCCAGGCAGTAGGTGATAGCCACTTTTGTCTAATTATTTATTTTCAGTATTTTTCTAAGGCTTTTTATATGTGGTATGTGTGTTTGTCACAAACCTGGGTTGCAGTGTGAGCATTTTCTTTTGTTATTAAGCAGCCTTTTGATTACATAATTTTAATGATGTCTTACTGTTAAATCATACATAAAGATTATACATCACTATATAATGTCCTCTGATTGAACAACTGTTGTTGCCAGTTTTCTTTTTATTTATTTATTTATTTATTTTTGAGACTGAGTTTCACTCTTGTTGCCCAGGCTGAAGTGCAATGGCATGATCTCGGCTCACTGCAGTCTCCACCCCCTGGGTTCAAGCTATTCTTCTGCCTCAGCCTCCCAAGTAGCTGGGATTACAGGCGCTCACCACCACACCCAGCTAATTTTGTATTTTTAGTAGAGATGGGGTTTCACCATGTTGGTCAGGCTGGTCTTGAACTCCTGACCTCAGGTGATCTGCCCACCTTGGCCTCCCAATGTGCGATGAGCCACCATGCCTGGCCAAGTTTCCGGTTTTCTATCACTACAAATAACTTGGCAATTACACTGTCTGTACATTGTTCTGCAAGTGTATGGCCTTTTCACAGGAATAATTACTACAAGTTATAGAACTGAAGAACACAATGCCTTTCCCAGAATCTTGACAAGCCTAGAGATGTTTTTGTAGCAGCTCACATGTGTCCGCTCTGAGGGACCAACTCTCACTCTCACTAGGCATTTCATATTTTTTAATGTTTATTATCATGAATGAGCTAAAAATTGGCATCCTAGTATTAAAATTTGCTGTAACCCATATAAATCTGGGCAGTTTTGTGACAAATCTTAGAATGATATCATATTCAGAATAGAAACAATAAAAAGTAATTGGAAAGTAATTTTAATTATAACTAAAGTCACCTAAAGAATGTCAAAAGTAAACTTTCATTTATAATGAGCACCAAGATTTCTTAAAATCCCATTTCTCAGCTGCCTCCAGGTTTTTCCCTTTCCGATTTTTTTTTTTTTTGGGATGGAGTCTCGCTCTGTTGCCTAGGAGGGAGTGCAGTGGTGCAATCTGGGCTCACTGCAAGCTCCGCCTCCCGGGTTCACACCATTCTCCTGCCTCAGCCTCCAGAGTAGCTGGGACTACAGGCGTCCGCCACCACACCTGGCTAATTTTTTGTATTTTTAGTAAAAACAGGGTTTCACCGTGTTAGCCAGGATGGTCTTGATCTCCTGACCTCGTGATCCGCCCACCTTGGCCTCCCAAAGTGCTGGGATTACAGGCTTGCGTCACCGTGCCTGGCCTTCCCTTTCCAATTTTTAGGGAACCTTCAGGAAAAAAAAAATCCCTCTGGGGGAGACCCTGCACCCAGCATCTGCAGGGTGGAGGCGCTCTGGCCAGGCAGAGACTCTATCCTGAGGCCCCCTAGCCTGGCTTGCTCCTCCATGCTTGAGGTGGCATCTGGCTCCAGCCCAAAGTAGGGGGTGTGGAGGGGCTTCAGAAAGACAGAGTGGCTGGGAGGAGTAAGGGGTGTGGATGGGTAGACACTAATATTCCCCCCCATATCCTCATCCTCATTGGCTTATTAAAGTGAGCAAATATGCTTTTTGTATATGTATCAGCTACTATTAACATTTAAAATTCTTTGTTATGGAAATTTTAAAGCATAAATAACAGTAGAAAGAATAGTGCAACAAACCCATCACTTTAAAAGACTACCAGGGTCATACCAGAAGGTTGCCAGAGCCAGGCCAAGGAGAGTGCCCCAGGCCCCTGATGGGCTACTTGGAGCATCTAAAAAGTAACATCTACAATTGAATGAATAATGCTAATATTTTAAAAATAATTATGCTGAAAGAGAAAGAGAAGCTTCTGCTGTTCCCACCAAGCAGGCAGACACAAGTAACATATTGGTCACCTTTGGAAGTAACTAGTGCCCCAGCTTCTTACTCTGAATGTTGGTAATTAAGGGAAAGAATTAAGCATTTATTCTTATTTTCCTGACCAAACTATAGTTTAGGAAACCTCATAGTTCTAGTTGATAAGAAAATTTTTTTCTCCTCTCTCCTTTTTTTTTTTTAGCAAAAGAACTTTTGTGCATCTCAAATCAAACAATTGCACAAGGGTATGTTTTGGAGACAATAAGGGAAATTTTATTATAAACTAGGTTTAAATTATACTAAGAACTTATTGTTAATTTTTAAGGTGAGATAGTAGTGTTGTGTTGATGTAGGAAAATTCCCTTAGTTTTTAGAGATGTATATTTAGTATTTAGGGATTAAATGTCATGATTTCTGAGAATGACTTAAGAATATTTCAGTGAAGAAAAAAATAGGGAAAGCAAACATCTGTTGTGTATACTGCAAATGATTTTCTTATTATATTCATTGATTTAAAAAATTTATATATACACATAGGTGCCAAAACCCAGAAGCATAACATTTATATTTTTGACGTTTGGAAGCTTAAATTTTTTATGTAATCAAATATCAGATATCTTTGCTATTTTTCCATTAATTTTATGCATAGGAAGTTTTTTCTCATGAGTATATAAATATTTACTTATTATTTTAGTTGGTTTTTTTTTAACCTTTTATTTTTGTCTATAAAATAGATGTAGTGTTTATTCTGGTGTTGTCTAAAGCCCAGACCTAAGAATACCATTCTGTCACTATGCAAACAAATAATGGGAGATCTACAGTTAAGACTAAGTTTCTAGTAATTTACCAGTACATTAGATGTGATGGACATTTTAATGAGACATCTTCTCTTCTTGATACTTAGATATGGAGGTCTCAGCCTGTGAGGCTGGGAGTGACGTTTGAAGCTGCAGTCTTCTGTGATATTTCCCAAGGTCTTTCTTACACCTGGAACTTGATGGACTCTGAAGGGCTCCCTGTCTCCCTCCCTGCTGCTGTGGACACTCACAGACAGACCCTCATCCTCCCGAGCCACACCTTGGAGTATGGGAACTACACTGCCCTTGCCAAGGTCAGCTGGCTGACTTACTGCTCTACTGGCCCAATGAAACCCATGCTTCTCATCGCCCTGGAGCAAGAGCTCAGCATTTGGAATTCAACACCTGTTCGATCCAGGAAAAGGGAGGTTGTTTAAAAAAAAAAAAATCTGCATTGGATTTTAAGAGAAATGTTTAATTCCCCCAAAGAGAACAAATTATGTTCAAATGCAGTCAAAGCAATTGATGAAAAGCTCCTTCCAATGTGTATAACAAAACCTTCCTGTGTACCTAATTTGAATAAGCCCTGTGCTGGTGCCGGGATGTCAGGAGAATGTGTGGCCCTGCCATTTAGGGGCCAATCACCCAGAAAGGAAAGGAGACGACAGTCAGAGGGCAGGGCATCCAAGAGGCACTCACGGTGACTGCCTGGCACTTTGATTCTCAGCATGTGCTTGGTGCATTTTGGCTGGAAAAAGTGGTGAAAATATGCGAGTTAAAAGAGGGAGAGGTCATTTTTAAAAGAGTAGGCTTCAAGAAACAGGGTGCTGAAAAGAGAATCTGTCCACAGACATAGAAAGGGATTGGGAGGGGCAACAGCTTGGCAAAGGCTAGAAGAAGACCAGGGATAATGAGCAGAACCTGGTGGGAGATTCTGGGAACAAATTGCACAGTGGGCAGGCCAGGCTGCGGGAACCTGATCAGGGACCCTCAGAATATCTGCAGCGAAGGAGCTTTGTTCTTTTAAGCTGTGGGGCACGCAGTCCTATTGAGCACAGTTCCATCTGGTGCCTTGTGTGGCTTGCCACAAAGCTCCTCGGCACCCAAACTGCCCTGACCTTGCCTGAGGAAGCAAATCCTCCCAATCTGTGCTGGGATGTCACAGCGATGGCAAATGCTGGAGTTGCCAGAAGCTTCCTCTCAGTGTCTGTACTTATCTCATCGCGAAATAGGCAGGTAACGATGGGCCAAGTGACAACAGGCTGCAGACCAGGCTTAGCATAGCATTACTTCAGATGCAGGTTGTAGGAAAAAGCAGAGCTTTCCCAGCAGGCTGTATACTCTTCTTTAGAAATGTTGATTGGGAACGAGTAGGAAACAGACTGAAGGATGGGATGTTGGGAGAGTGTTAGTGAAGGTGAGAAGTCATTAGAGGCTGAAGCAGGGGGCAGCTGGGGAATAGAGAGCAGAGCAGGGTCAATGTCAGGGGACCTCGGGGTGGTGGGGAGCATCTGACCTGATGGGTGGCTAATTGTAAGAAGCCAAGGGGAAATGCAAAGGAAAATCTGTAATACTGAACGAGTGGAGGAGGGTGAGGCTGCTCTTCATTTTCCTAATGAAAACAGCACTATTTGTACCTGGCTGTGTGCTGGGGGGAGGGATTTGGAGATAAATAAGGTCTTTGCACACTTGTGTGAACAACCTAGTAGGGGAGGTAGATAGAGCCTGTAAACTAAAAATAAAATCCTAAGTCCCCCCCAAACAACTAAACAAATCCCCTCTTGGCCAAGGGGACCCAGAAAATACTTAAAAAATGGAGTTCCTGGCCATAATGGGACTCAAGGTCAGATATGCCTCATTACGCCCCCTCCCTTTCACAGTTTAGACACAACAACTGACCAACATTAATGTTAAAATAGTGATTATAAGACTGACAGAACGGACTCCTTTTTTTTTTTTTTTTTTTTTTTTTGAGACAGGGTCTCACTCTGTTGCCCAGGCTGGAGTGCAGTGGCTGCAATCTCGGCTCACTGCAACCTCTCCCTCCTGGGCTCAAGTGATCCTTCTGCCTCAGCCTCCTGAGTAGCTGGGACTACATGTGCATACCACCATGCCTGGCTAATTTTTTGTAGAGACAGGGTTTCACCCTGTTGCACAGGCTGCTCTCGAACTCCTGGGCTCAAGCAATTTGCCTGCCTCAGCCTCCCAAAGTGCTGGGATTATAGGCGTGAGCCATCACGCCTGGCCAGGACATACTCTTTATGACAATAAGATACCAAATTATAAACAAGACCTAAGGCCAGGCAAGAGTGAAATCACACAGTCCTACAATTAAAAAATAAGCTGTTCTCATTGCCACAGGATTTTTCTCCCCTTTTCTCTATCAACTAAACAAACACTAGCCTTAAAATAAACAGTATTAAAACAATTACAACTCTACAACCACCAAACATCAACTAATTAACCCCCCATTCCTCAAGCCTTAACTATGACTTTAATTAAACAAAAAACTAATTTCTATAAATTTTTCCTAATAAAAAACACCAACCGTAAACTAATTCTGCCCAGTTTGACTACGCATTTAAGTGCCTTCATGTCCCTACTTTACCTTTTAACATAAAAGACCTAATTATAATACATTGCAATATTGTCTCCACCCAAAAGTAAACATAAAGCACATATATATGTTTACTTATTACACAAAAACACAATCCTCTTCCATAGATATCCATAACTCCTATATCCTGTGAATATGTGATAATGCATTCAACTGAAATTCCTCTTACCCCTCCCTCCCTCCTCCAAATACTTACTTTCAATTTCTTAGCCAGAGACTACACTTCCTGCTTACAGATTATAATCCCTTTCTTAAAAAATAAAACTCTGCTTTCTAAATATATAAACTACGTAATTTTTAAATTAAACCCAGCAAGCCATAGAAGATGTGTCCAGCCTATGGGACAGGCCAGGTAATGGGAGCTCCGAAGGAGGTTTGGCTATGAGCTGGGAGCCACTTCTGTAGTCTTCAGTGTCTTCACAGGGGGTCTGTGTCTTTCTCTAGGTCTTGGAGACCTTCTGACAGATAAGGTAACTTCTGCTGTCTCTGACCTCACAGTCAGAGCCTCAGGTTTCCTTTGCTCCTGAACAGCCCTGCATCTTCCCCAAGCAGCTTCCTGCTTGGTGCCTCCTCCAGCCTTTGTATATACTTGGAATATTCTCAGCAGCTCCTTGGAGCTGGAGAGGCTGAGCAAACAGAGGTTGAAGGTGGAAATGAGAGTTCTAATCCTACAGCTGTTCCGTTGTCTTTGGTCCTACTCAGGAGACTGATCAGCAGGGAACTGTGTGCATCTGAAGAAAATCTAGAGTGATCAAGGCTGAGACCCAGTGAAAGAATAGCAAGTATTAGACTGTATTTTTTCAAATTGCGTCAGTTTTTTTTTTTTTTTGACAGGGTCTCACTCTGTTGCCCAGGCTGGAGTGTAGTGGTGTGATCTCAGCTCACTGCAACCTCCCCCTCTGGGCTACTGGGTTCAAGCGATTCTTGTGCCTCTGCCTCCCATGTAGCTGGGATTACAGGCACATGCCACCACGCTCAGCTAATTTTTGTATTTTTAGTAGAGATGAGGTTTCACCGTGTTGCCCAGGCTGGTCTCAAACTCCTGAGTGCAAGCAGTCCACCCACCTCAGCCTCCCAAAGTGCTGGGATTACAGGCATGAACCACCGCGCCTGGCCGCATCAAACTTGTAAAAGAACAATATGAATGTTTTATTTATAACATGTTCTGCTATTCCTGGGTTTAAAAGTATTTGTCTTAAATTTCATTTACATTTCCTAAAGTCCATGATATGTTTGGGGGTTAGAAAGAAGCAGCTCTAAGATAGGTGAAGGAAGTTGCACAAAAGCCAGGAGCCTGAACAATTCACTGTGGAGGGAGGAGGTTTGAAAACTATAAAATGTGCACACATGGAAAGTCTCTATTGTGTTCACAAGCTAGGAAATGCCCAAATTTGTACATTAACACAAGCTTGGATAGGAAGATGTCCATGGTCTCGTGGACTCCAGTCACAGCTCTCATGTCGTACAGTAGAGTGGTTATTTTGACTACCAAGACTGTTTTAGTTGGAGCCAGGGATGCGTTGAGACTCGTCGGCTTCCTTTCTAATTTTCAGACTAGTGTGTTTCTCCAGTGAGTCCCTGCCTTGTCCCTGCATGACATCCCCTGTCCTTCCTTGCCCCTGCAGGTTCAGATTGAAGGCAGTGTGGTGTACAGCAACTACTGTGTGGGCCTGGAGGTGCGAGCCCAGGCCCCTGTCAGTGTGATCTCCGAGGGCACACACCTATTCTTCTCCAGGACCACCTCATCCCCCATTGTCCTCAGAGGGACCCAGTCCTTCGACCCTGACGACCCTGGGGCGACTCTCAGGTGAGCACCACCCCCACACAGAGCTGCGCAGCTACTCAGACCGCGCATTCTGCAAATGCAGGCTCTGGAACGTTGGAGGCTATTAATAGTTTTAAATTTTAAGCACATCAACTTTCGTTAAGTTTAACTGCTTTATTTAGGAACAAAATATAAGGGAATTGAGGAAAAGAGTGGAAGTAAAATGTGAGTCGCTTTTTAAGGTGGTGTTTAAAGAGTGATCTGTTTTGGAACATGAGGCTTGAGTGTCACCATTGTTAAATTCTTGGTTAGTGAGATGCCGTGGTGTGTGGAAGGCTTGGTTTCCACGGGTTGCTCATCTCCAGGTAGATGGGTCTCTTGTTGCTGGAGGCTGCCCCCAGTTCAGCCCTTGGTCCTCTTCTCCATCCACACCGCTTCCCGCCTGTGGGCTCAGCCAGGGTCCTGATGTGGATCCATCCATGATCCATGTGCAACAGCCTCAGACAGGAATTCTCTGTTTAGACCATTCTCCGGACTCTGGGCTGTGAGTCCCGGCGTCCCTACAGCGCCCCCTCTGGACACCCTCGAGACATCTCAGCCACACACCTGCCTTCTGTACCCGTGGAAGGACCTTTCCAGTTGCTCAGGCCAAAATCTTCTTTCTCTTTTTTTTTTTTTTTTTTTTTTTTTGAGATAGGGTCTCACTCTGTCACCCAGACTGGAGTGCAGTGGCTCGATCTCAGCTCACTGCAAACTCCGCCTCCCGGATTCAAGCAATTCTTCTGCCTCAGCCTCCTGAGTAGCTGAGACTACAGATGCGCGCCACCATGCCTGGCTATTTTTTGTATTTTTAGTAGAGATGGGTTTCACCATGTTGGCCAGGCTAGTTTTAAACTCCTGACCTGAAGTGATCTGCCTGCCTTGGCGTCCCAAAGTGCTGGGATTTCAGGCGTGAGCCATCAGGCCCAGCCACAGGCCAAAATCTTTACCAGCATCTTTTACTTTTTCTTTTTCTTCCTTTCTTTTTTTTTGGCCCTCCCTTAAACATCAGTTCCACACCACCTCCCCTACCCCCGGTACATTGTGGTTTGAGCTGCCAGGGTCTTGGGCTCATCTCCGTAAGATCTCCTGGCCAGTCTCCACACCTCCATCCTCCCCTGCAGCCCTGTCTCCAAGGCAGGGATAGGTTCTTTTACTAGTATTATTGGTTTTTATTCTTTTTGATTTAGGGGATATGAGTGCAGTTTTGTTACATGGATATATTAGTGGTGTTAAAGTCTGGACTGTTAATGTAACCATTCCCTGAATGCTGTACATTGTACCCATTAGGTAATTTCTCATCCCTCACCCACCTCCCAACCTCCCTCCTTTTGGAGACAGATTCTTTTAAAACAGTCAGAAGACTTTACTTCACAGTTTGACCCTCCAGCACCCCCTTTTTACTCAAGAGTAAAAGCCAACGTCCTCACAGTGCCAGTGAGGATGATGTGACCTCTCCCAACCCATTGCAGCTTCAGCTGTCCCTTCCTGCCTCCACAGCTCACTGTGCAGCCCGTTTGGCCTTCCTGCCCCTCCTTGGACTTACCCAGCTTGCATCTCTCTCAGCTCTTTACAGCAAGGGTTCCTTCTGCAGCTCATCACTCAGTTCACCAAACATCTGCCATCACCGCCTTCACTCATTGCTCAAATATCACCTTCCCAGTGGGGCCCCCACTGAGACTCCAAAATGACAGATCCTACCCTGATTTGATGGCATCTTTCTTCACAGTAGTCACCCTTGACATCGAGCCTTTGCTCACTTACTATGGTCACTGCTCTGGAGGGCAGGGCTCTTATTTGATATATCCCCCATGCCTGGAATGTAGTAGCTAGTCAGGGAATATTTATTTATAAAGCAATAGATGAGTTGCGTTGTTTTCCCAACCCCTGTGATCACACATATTTGCTGTATTCCAGGTGTGGAATTTGCTGTTTCTTGAGTTGAGAGGAGGCAAAAGGCTGCTTGGACTCCCCAATTTGATTCATGCACATGCTCTGGGAAAGCCCTTAGCCATCTGCAGACTTCCCTGCACCCAACCTAAGGAGACAGAGGCTGTGTCTTACTCATCTTCACATCCGCATGCCCTAGCACCTGCACAGTGCCCAAAAACAAGAGCTCCATGTGTGGCTGCTGAAATGAGCTGAATTTGTTCCCTGGGAGTATAGAATATTCCAGCTAAACCCCAGGGGCAGTTGCTCTGCACAGCCTGTGAGCTGGAGGCAGTGCTCCTGCTGAGCAGGGTAGTTCCTGAGCCATCACAGTACCTCTTTATGCAGGCTCTGGAAACAGAAAGGTCTAGAATGAGGTGCCTGCACACCAGACAGAGAAATGCTCTTTAAAAGATCAATATCAGTTCACATTTAGGTGACACCTTTGAAAAGGGCTTATGGCTGCGGGATGGGGCCAGGCCTTCCTAGCCACAAACATTTCCATAGCAGCATTTCCTCCCTGCTGGAACTATATGTTTGAGTGTGCATCCCTGCTAGAGCAAGACTGGCTCAAGGTTGGGGAAGACATCTTCCTGCTTGACCTGGACGGAGCAGCCATGTTTATCTTGTTGGGTGTGGCAATTGTTATATTGCAGAAAGACTGTGAGACTGGGAGGAGAGATGCCTGAAGTCCATCTCACAGACCCCTCACTAGCTGTGCTACAGGGAAACACTCTGAGGCCTCCCAAATACATTTTCTTCCTAAAACTGGGCTCACATAGCATTCTTGTCTGTCACATGGAGCTGTCATGATGATGGGGTGCAGTGTTTGGGACATACTTGAGGGCAGCACAGCTGTGTGACTTGGGAAGTGGCAGTCATGTGAGCAGAGGAGGTCGCTGTGCGCAGAGAAGGGTTAGGAAGCCTGGTGGGGCTGGAAACAAGGCTGTCTGGAGTCAGGCCTCAGTGAGTCGGGAGGGGTGGCCTGAGCCCACCCCAGGTGGTGGTGCTGCTGCACTTTTGCAACCTCCCACTTCAGTTACAGGAGAAAATGTGGGAAGCAATATCTCTTCCCAGCACGTGTCCCCTGTGGTCCCCCTCACCTGGGGAAAACCCGTGCAGTGACACAGGGTAGTCCCTGACTCTGCCTGATGCTCCCCTCAGCCACTCCGATGACTTCTCCAACAGGTATCACTGGGAATGCGCCACCGCTGGCTCCCCAGCACATCCCTGCTTCGACTCCTCCACTGCACACCAACTGGATGCCGCGGCTCCCACTGTTTCCTTTGAGGCACAATGGCTCAGTGACAGCTATGATCAGTTCCTTGTGATGCTGAGGGTCTCCAGTGGTGGCCGGAACTCTTCTGAGACCCGGGTGTTCCTGTCCCCCTACCCTGACTCGGCGTTCAGGTACCTGACCCTGTATTCAGCACAGCTCAGCTCACCGGTGTTTGTTCCCACCTGGTGCTAGCATCCGTGAAAGGAATCTGCTGTGCACAGCAAGCAGTTTGGAGTTTGGCCATGCAGGATTCTCACTGCAAAGGAGGAGGAGAAGACTGTTCAGAAAGCGGCTGGGGAAGCAGTCCCCGCTCTCGGGCTGATGTCTGGGCAGCATCTGACAGCCAAGCACACTAGCTAAAGCTGGCACAGCCGGGGGTTCCAAGTGGAACCTCATCGGGAACCCTCCCATCACAGCACCTGCCTGAAAGATCGGGGACTCTCCTGGGGCTTGGGACTGAAGCCAGGAGGCAAAGCCATCAAGTTCCCAGCCAGGGGTTTCAGGGCCATTGCCCAGGCCTTCCAAGCATCACAGGATGGAGGGGACAGCAGTGTGGGCCCAGTTGTGAGGTCTGAGACTATGAAAGATGCAGAGGCAAAGAAGTGATGTGCCCCAAACCCAGAACCCCTGTAGCGCTGAGGCCAGAACAGCGCCAGTGGGTGTAGTGCAGCCCCCGGACACCAAACACAGGATACCAGGACCGAGCCAAGTGCAGGAAGGGTGTGAGTTGCAGCTGTTTCCCAGCCTCCTCCTCTAAGGGGGTTGGGTCATTATGTAAGTGAGCATCGGGATGGAGCAGGAGCCCAGGCCCACCTGCTTTGGACACTCTCCCATCGGGGCTGCAAGCTGGCACCCACCCAGGAAGCAGTGCTGGGACTGACCCTCTGCCCATAGCCCTATATGTCACCTGGAAGGCCCTGGGCAGATCGAACTGCTTCCATCATGGATGGTAGGGGCAAGGGGGCTGGGCAGTTACTATGGTCCTGTTTGTGGGCTGGGTGGTTTGGGAAGGCTTCCTGGAGGAGGAAGCAAATCTGCTGTCCTCAGAGATCAGAAAGACTGCTTTGAAGGTCATTCCCTGGACTGGAATTCAGGGTTTCAAGATTAGAGCCATGAAAATAAGGCTGAGTGGATAAGAGTGGGCCATGCCATGGTGAGCCCCAAGGTCATACAGCACTGCCCAGGGAGCCCCACAGGCCCCGACTACTGACTGTTATTTGAGGCTCTGGATATGTACTAAAAGTGAAGAAATGCCAGGTACAAGGCTACAACAATTGGGGCACAATTTAAATCATTAATCATTAAATTTAACAAACTAAATACTTCTATTCCAAAAATATAATGTACTATATACCTCTGCTACTCATGAGATAATTACAGAATTTATTTTAAAATAGTCTTTCAATATGTGCCAAAGCTATCAGGTGAACATCTTTTGATCCTGTCAGGAAGGTCCAGGCCTATGTGGATGATGTCCCCAGGAGGTCTGGGGCTGGAGGGACCTCTCTTTGCCCATGTCCGTCTGCACCCCCATCACCCCACTGTGCACCCACACAGATGCACCCTTTCACACACACACACAGCCTGGGCCCAGTGCCAGGCGAGGACGCTGTGTGGCCTCTCCCACCATGGCTCCTCAGCCCTGTGCTGGGAGTCGAGTGCTTAGGCCTTGGTCTGAGACGTGGGCCGTCAGGTGCAGAGTATAGGATGTTTGCATGGGAGACACCAGGTACCACACACACCCCAGAGTATCTACCGACCTGGCCTTTTAAACCCTCCCTAAGTCCCACAGGAAATAAATCTGTTAAATCCCAAACCACCCCCGAGATATTATGAAAAACCATAAAAGTGCACTCTGGAAAGTGCTGGGTCAGCAAAGAGACTAGAGGGCTTGACAGAAGGCAGCCATGGAATGCAGGCCCAAGGGAGGTGGGCGCCGGGCTGTGGGCATGGGATGTGTGAACTGCCCATGACCCACAACCCTGCACAGGGAAGAGGCGGGGCCGAGGCAGTGGAGACATCTTTCTTTGTGAGCATCTGAGGCTGTGTGGGAATCACAAAGGTGGACGGCCACGGGGAAAGTTTGGGAGGGGATGGGTTTGCAGCTGGTAGAAGCAAGCCCTGAGGCAAGGCAGCGAAGAGGGATCACGTGGTGGCAACTGCTCTAGTGTGGAGAGCTGGGCCAGAGCCCAGGCTTGGAAACAGAGGGACCTTGACCAGGCCCAGCTCTGCCCTCACCGCTGTGTGACTCGGAAAAGCTACACAGCCTCTCTGAACTCTGTAGGGTGGCAGTGTCCTTGCCTCACTGGATCTCACAGTGTTAGAGCAGATCACGTGAGTGTCGAGCTTGGCACAGTGTTGGCCACTCCATATGTGCCATCATATGTGCTGTGACATTGCTATTGAAGTCCCTTAATAAAGATCCAAAGTAGGGTGATTTAAACATGCCTAACATGAATTAATGTGACCAAAGAACCCTCACATTATTTTCCTAAGATCTCAAGCCAATTTATATATTTCAGATTCGTCCACATCTCCTGGGTCAGCTTTAAAGACACCTTCGTCAACTGGAATGACGAACTCTCTCTTCAAGCTATGTGTGAGGACTGCAGTGAAATACCGAATCTGTCTTATTCCTGGGATCTCTTTTTAGTCAATGCAACAGAAAAGAATAGGATAGAAGGTAAAAAGGATTAATAGCTTTATTTTGTTTTCTGAGGGAAAAACTCAGGGTTATTGTGAGATTGCTAAAATGTTGCAAAATACATTTGGTATGACCCAGTGTGTCTGATCTGCCTGGTGAACGGTCCGTCGTGCTTCCCCAGCCCCTCTTGCCTCTACAGTCCGTGTGAACACTTGTGAGGCACCAGCAGAAGAGGTGACACACTCAAGGGCTGCTTCTGACCTCAGTGTGATATGGAAGGCTGCGCCCAACACCTGTGTAGGCAGTTTTATTGAGCTAAAGCCACAGTTCAGAAGGACCTGCGATGTGACACACTGCCCAGAGGGCTGTGTCCGTCACCACCTCGCCTGTCTTTTGGGCCAGCTGCACAGTGAGGAATGAGCAGAGGAACCAGGGCGGAAGGTTCCAATCCTTGCTCCCACACTACCAGCTGGTGGCTTTAAGCAATTCTAAGATTTAATTTTCTTTGGTGAAAGATGAGGATCCTACTATTTCACAGAGTGGTATCAGGGCTAAGTAAAATGTGTTGCAGCGTGCTGGGCACTGGTGTCAGGACACTGGGTGCTGCAGGACACGAAGGTTTGAACCAGGAGCGAGACTGATTTCTCACGTGGCACTATTTGTGATCAGAGAGGTGGCTCTGAATGGCAAACAGAGGAGCTTTATTTCTGAGCTGGAGAGCCAGCTCCTACAACAGAGCTGGTGCCAAGCCCCCGCTGACCTTCACATTTCTTGAAGATCCCCTCCATGAGGCCATTCAAAGCTTCCACAAGTAGAGCTTTGGGTACAGCTGGCCTCAGCGGCCACAGATACATGAAGACATAGAGGGTGATTGTGCCCTTCTTGGCAAGAGAGGCATTCCAAATTCTTTTAGGTAAATTTAACTTTTCTGAATCAGAGCCCATGCTGAATAGATTAGAGGAACTTGCAGTGGAAACACATACAGTGGTTAGACTTTCAGCAAAGTAAATCATGGCCCCTAGATATGTCTCAAAGAATTGGGCTCTCCCATGGTTGCAAGTAAAAGCTTGCTTTATTGAGAGGCCATTTATATGCTCATGGTATTTTTTTCTTTGCTATTCATCCTTTATCATAAATTCTAACAGCAGTTTTGAAAACTGTTATACTAGATACTTGCTGTATTATTCCCTTCTTGCACTGCTATAAAGGAATACCTGAGGCTGGGTAATTTATAAAGAAAAGTGGTTTATTTTGGCTTATGGTTCTGCAGACTGTACAGGAAGCATGGTGCTAGCATCTGCTCTGATGAGGCCTCAGGAAACTTTTACTCATGGTGGAGGGCAAAAGGGAGCTGACATATTACATGGTGAGAGAAGGAGTGAGGCGGCAGGGCAGTTGCCACGCTCCTTTAAATAACCAGACTTCCCACGAACTCAGAGCAAGAACTCACTCATTACAGCGAGGAGGGCACTAAGTCATTGGTGAGGGATCCACCCCCATGATCTAAACACCTCCCACCAGGCTCCCCCTCCAACACTGGGGATTATATTTCAACATGAGACTTAGAGGGGCAAAACATCCAAACCATATCACTTACTGGCGGGTAGGGGAGTGAGGATTAAGAGAAACCCCATACATCCCAAGTTTTTTCTAGAATACCCATGAATAAGTCATGCCTGGGAGTGCATAGGATTCAGCAGATCCCTCCCCCCCGACTTGGAAGAGCAAACGTCAGGTGCAATCGCTGTGAATCCTGCCTTCTACTTCCATACATGTGCTTCTTGCTGTTGGCCAACATGCCAACACAGAACACGCCAACACCACACTCTCTGCCCTGTATCTCTTAAGTGTAGGTTTTCAAATTCACAACAGATTTGTTTATAATATAGCATCCTTACATAGTCTGTAGACTTTTTAAGCAAATATTTTATATTTTTGCTGCAAAATTCTAACACTGCCAAACGTTTGCTTAAGTTCCCTTCTGCAGAGTAGTGGGGCTGCTTGGCTCGCTGGGACTCGGTGCCATTTCAGAGTCATCACAGTTAAACCTGCTGCCCACTGAGCCTGGCACTGCAGATCCTGATGCAACGACCACACCATTCTCACGGGAACCTTCACCCGTGACCCTTGGCCAACCTGCCACTTCAGCTCCAAGGGGAACCCCCACAGAGCCCATGACTGGAGTCTACTGGATTCCTCCTGCGGGGGACTCTGCAGTCCTGGGGGAGGCTCCAGAGGAAGGTTCACTAGACCTAGAGCCAGGGCCACAGAGCAAGGGATCCCTGATGACTGGCCGCTCTGAGAGAAGTCAGCCCACCCACAGCCCTGACCCTCACCTCTCTGGTAAGTGCCACTGTTCCTGCATGTCATCCCTCTTGTCTAGGCACCAAAGTTACCTTTGGAAGCAGTGAATCTGGTGGGTAAGGTGTGAGATCACATCAACATGGGCCTTTAAATCAGAAAGCGCCAGGTTCACACCCACCACTTGCTGGTTGTGCAATAGTCATCGAGTTTCGGATTCCTCATCTCTGAACTGGGAAAATGACAAACCCATGGCAGGTTCTGAGGCTGCAGTGAGGTCCCGTGTGTGCAGTGTCTGTGCTACAGTAGTTGTTTACTCCACACCGGCTTCCTAATCCTTCTCCCCTGCCCTGGGATCAATTGCTTCACTTTATCATTGGGTTTCAGGGGGATGGAAACCATTCTGGTACTTAAAAAATGGAGAGAAAAGGTAATAATGAGAAAAGCTCTGACCTGGCATCTGTCTCTCTGTCACTGTCCTCAGCTGCTTACTGATTTTGCTGCTTACTCTTGGGCTATGGTGGTCTCATGCTCTGCATGCTCTTGTCAATTCAGCTGTGCTCCAGGCCTCCCAGACTTGGCTGGCTGGCTGGAGGGACCGCTGTGAGCTCCTCTGCCTCTGGGAAAGGAGGGCTGAGGGGACAGGAGGCGACATTTGCAGCAGGGCATTCTTGTGTCCATTTCTCTCCTTCTAAAAGAAAAGAGTGAGACATTTTCTCTAAAAGAACAGTAAAAGACTCGCTTGAAGAGAGGATAGGATGCTGGGTGTGGTGGCAGAGACCCATATGTGAGCCTTGGTCTCAACTTACTTGCTGGGTTATTCTTAGAAACCACACACCTATTGGAGCTCCCTCTCCTCCTCCTGGGGCCCCGGGGCAATGAAACCTGCCTTGCCCAGCTGTCATGAGTGAGGGAAGACACCACCACTGAGGGTATTTTGTAATCCACAGAGCAATGTATGGAGTCTAGAAATACACCAAGGACAATGTGACCCATCAGGGGAGCTGCTGTTAATTTCAGGGGATTCTGTGATTTTAAAGGAAACATTATGATTTTGTCCTTTCTTATAGATTTTGAAGCCTATTACAGTGACATTCAAGAAGCAATACCATCGGGAGGAAGACAGCCAGGTGACTGTGCTTCTATGCCTGCTGCCTCTCTCCACTCAGCTCTCCTCCACAGCCTTTCTGCAATCTGGATTTCCCACCTGTTCCCTTACACAGCCACTGAGAGCTCCACAGAATCACAGGGAAAAGTTGAACTCTTACATGGCACGGTCTGAACCAAACCTTTATTTCTAGCTCCCCTCTTTCTGCCCTTCTCTCACCCTATGCTCCAAAATCCCAACAGTAGCCCCAGGCCCAAGGATGAGCATCCCAGCTCTTCCATGCCTTGGTCATGGAGTGTCGTCTGCCAAAAATGCCTTCCTCCACGTCCTTCCTAAGTTATCTGCTCAGCGAGCCTCCTCCTTCAGGTCTGGCTCCATTTCTCTCTGGGAAGTCTTCCTCAGGCTTGTCTTGTAAGGACCACCACTCCCCCCGCCTTCCCCCCAACCCCCAAAACACACACACACACACCAGCTCAGTATTTATTCCCTCCTCTGGGAAGCAGGTGGCACCTGGCACTTAGTGGCTCTTTCTGTGTCTGTGTCTTCTGCTCTGAGCTCTTCCAGGAAAGCTTCCATGGCCAGCTTATGCTATGTTCCCAGATGGATCACGGTCCCTGGCACATTGGCACTCAGTAAACACATTGTAGAATGAATTGATGATCAGCGAATGACTTATTCATCTATCGAATGAACAGATGTTTGATCAGCGAGTGACTGATTTATCTGTCTAGTGAAGAGATGGATGTCTAGTGAATGATTTATCTGTCAAATGAGTAGGTAAATGACTTATTTGATGAATGAATCGATAAATGGCTGATGAGTGAATGATTTATCTATCGAGGGAATAATGGATGATGAATGAATGATTTATTCCTCTGATTTGAGGCAGTGTTTCCTTCAACAGTCCTCCTCAGCTGCTTCCAACTGCACGGCTTCTCCAGCCCTTCCCATGTTCCTTCCTGTGTGTCGTGCTCTTCTTGGATGAGATGGTCAGTCAGGTGCAGCCACAGAGGAGAGAAAAACAAAGAAAATACTCCCAGGTCCTAGAGACAAGAGGCATGGCAGGCCACACAAGGCCACATGGGGAAGCTGCAGGGAGGTCAGGAGACAGCAGACAGGAGCAAGGGGAGCCCTTAAGCCAAGGTTTTTTTTGGGTTTTCCACGGCAAAGAAAGGCAAGGCTAAGGCAGGGCTGGATGAATAGTTTAGAATCAGTTAGTTTAATTTCAGCAGATCCTAGGCCTAAGGGTGGTCTCTAGTTGCCCAGGATGATTTGTTGGGGGTGGTTCTGGATTGGTCAGTTTGCAAATCAAAGACACATTGCAGGCTGGGCCTTTTGTAATCTCTAAGAGTTGGCTAGCCCCAGCCCCAAGAGAAGCACTGTCTCCTTAGCCAGAACGCTTTTGTTTCATTTTGTTCTTCAGTATATCAAAACATCATCATACAGAACATTTAAAAGTCTTTACAGTACACACGCAGATCTGTTGTAGAGGCTCACATTCGTACTCACAGTAGGTGCTTAATCAATACAACTGAATGAAGAAAGATCTGCCTTTGTATTGCATTTATAAAATTATTCCTCCTTACAACATTTGTGTTTTATTACTATATCTTGCTTCAGTGACCTTGGTTTCAAGTCTTAAAGGAGCCTCCTTAGCCTAAGTGAAGTGCAGCGACTCCTTCTTGCCTAGACCATGCAGGAGCCCTTCCTTTGCCCTCGCTGCTTCTCTTCTTGCTGCCTGCAGTCATCTCATCACATGACAGGCAGAGGACTCTTCACCACAAACCAGGCTGTTGTTACTCTCCTGACAGGTCCCTCCAGTGGCTTCCTAGGGCACTCAGGACAAAAGCCCGTGGCTGTGCACCCAGCATGATGTGACCCTGGCAATGCCTCCAGCCACATTTTTCCTCCTCCTGCCCTCCCTCCCTCCCTCCCACCCTCCAACCACTAGGGCAGATCATTCCCACAGCATTTTGGTTTTACTCAACCTGGAAACTCCTTCCTTCAGATGCTTGAAGGGCTCCTTCTAGTCTTAGTCTTCAGAGAGGACCTCCCTGACCTCCATCTCAGAAGGACTTCCTTTCCACACCACTCTCTCTTCCTCTGCATACCCCGCTTTTCTTTCCTTCATTACCTGAGTTTATATTATTTATTTATGTGTTTTCTCATTTATTTTTTGGACTGCCTCACTATTAACTCCAGATAGCAAGGACACCATTGATCTGGTTCACGCTGTGTCTCCTATTTCTAGAGTAGTACCTGGACTTAGTAGACCTTAATAAATCTTGCAGAAGGAAGGAAGGAAGATAGGAAGGGAGGGAGGGAGGGAGGGAGGGAAGATGCCTTTGGACCGCTAATTACATGTTAACAAAGTACATGTCTTGAATATGTTTGGCTGCTGAAGACATTATATTAGATAGGCGGTATCCAGCAATAGTACAAATAGTTATTAATATCAGCATTGAATCACTAATGCTTTAAGATCATCATGACTTTTTTTCTTTAACATCTATTGGCTTGGTTTATCTTCCTAGCTAAGGACACCAGCTTTCCAGGATCAGGACCTAGCTTGAGTGCCGAGGAGAGCCCTGGAGATGGGGATAACCTGGTGGACCCCTCCCTGTCTGCAGGCAGAGCCGAGCCTGTCCTCATGATTGACTGGCCCAAGGCCCTGCTGGGTCGAGCAGTTTTCCAAGGCTATTCATCCTCAGGTATGAATGTCCTCTTTGTACCCTCCAATTTGCAGTGTTTCTGAAGCTTTTAGATATCAGCCCTCAATTTCTTCTGAACTTTTCGTTTTACTAGATAAGTATTTAGAATTGTGGTACCTTTTCTACTTGTGCTTGTTCTTCTATGGACTATGGCCTGAGACTCTTCTAACAAAAGTAAAGTTAGCGTCTGTTGCTACCAGGAGATCCATGTGTGTAGACCAAAGCGGAAGAGGGGTGCTGCCAAGTGCTGCACGTTCTGTGCTCCCAGACACCTTGGTGCGCACCTTTTCTGTGACAGCCTTTTGTAGGGTGGTCAGGGATTTACATGAATTGGTCAAAATGAAGCTGCTCCTGAAGAGCGATTGAATTTCTAATGGAATTTCCCAGCCCAGACATGGTGCTTTTGCTCAATTTGTTGTATTTCCCCCTTTCGTGTTAATACATGTGATTGTGCCATCCTTACAGACCTCTTGGGGAGGATCTGGATTTCACACTATTTTTAGATAATTTTCCCTTCACCCTTTCCTTGAAGCATTTTGAGAAGTACTATTGTAAGATTGTAATTTTAGAAACTGTCCATGTTTAGATCATCAATCTTGTATTTCCGATCTCTCCTTTTTTCAGGGTAAGTAGTGAGAGGTCAGCCTCTCTCTGCTAAGGAAGTAATCCAGTCACCACGGTCAGCAGTTACACCCAGGTTAAAAATTGTCCATAACCAGTATTCTGCAGACTTAAAAATAGCTTCAAAATTCCTTAATCATACTTTATAGTATGATTTATAAAATTGCCAAATTAAACATGAACATAATTATAAACATATAAAATAAGATCCTAACAGAATTCTCTTGTTGCTTGGGACATTAGTGTCATTTCTGAGCCAGGGATGGATGGACCATCCTCAGTAATGCTTCTGTTGGGCAGGACAGGCTGTTTATAGAAGGCAGTAACCAGCAACCTTTCCAAGCAGGAGTGGCATGTTTCACTAGTATCTATGTTAATTTCACCCCTGGGGGAAGAGTGGAACTCATTTCCAAGGACTCTGTGTGACCTCTGTCCTTGAGACCACTGACTGTCATTTCCATGCAGCCATGTCTTTTCTGCAGGTATTACAGAACAGACAGTGACAATCAAGCCATACTCTCTGAGCAGTGGAGAGACGTACGTCCTGCAAGTGTCTGTGGGTATGTTACATTGTCAGTTGCATTTATCAGAGGATGAGGAGTCCTGCTGCGTCTCTGTGAGTTTACTCTTCCTAAGGAATGGGGTGCAGGTCTACATCAGCGTAAAGGCTAAGCAGTTGCCTTTTTAAAAAATTACATATATATAGGGCTGGGCACAGTGGCTCACGCTTGTAATCCCAGCACTTTGGGAGGCCGAGGCAGGCAGATCACGAGGTCAGGAGATCGAGACCATCCTGGCTAACACGGTGAAACCCCATCTCTACTAAAAAATACAAAAAATTTGCCGGGCATGGTGGCGGGTGCCTGTAATCCCAGCTATTCGAGAGGCCGAGGCAGGAGAATGGCGTGAACCCAGGAGGTGGAGCTTGCAGTGAGCCAAGATCGCGCCACTGAACTCCAGCCTGGGCGACAGAGCAAGACTGTCTCAAAAAAAAAAAAAAAAATATATATATATATATATATGTATATATATATATATATCTTATTTATGCTAGACAACTGCACAAGTTGATTCCTTTCCTGCAAATCTGTCCGTAATCTCTCTCTCTCTCTCTCTCTCTATTTAAACCCTAGAAAGGTGTTATTGCTTGTTTTGTGCCACTGATGTTCATTGAAATTCACCCACAGGCCTCGCCTTACCCTTGCTCTGCATTCCTTCTTGCGTTTCCATGCCTATCTCAATCTGAGATCATCGTTTTGCAGAACTTCTAGACATTTTCCCCCATTTCTAGAGGTTTTCATTCCATATGACAAGCACAGTGGGCTTAATTTTTTTTTTTATTTTTTATTTTTTTGTTGAGACGGAGTCCCTCTGTTGCCCAGGCTAGAGTGCAGTGGCCCGATCTTGGCTCACCGCAAGCTCTGCCTCCCAGGTTCACGCCATTCTCCTGCCTCAGCCTCCCGAATAGCTGGGACTACAGCTGCCTGCCACCACGCCCAGCTAATTTTTTGTATTTTTAGTAGAGATGGGGTTTCACCATGTTAGCCAGGATGGTCTCGATCTCCTGACCTTGTGATCTGCCCGTCTCAGCCTCCCAAAGTGCTGGGATTACAGGCGTGAGCCACCGTGCCTGGCCTTTTTTTTTTTTTTTTTTTGAGACAAAGTCTTGCTCTGTTGCCCAGGCTGGAGTGCAGAGGCACGGTCTCAGCTCACTGCAACCTCCACCTCCCAGGTTCAAGTGATTCTCCTGCCTCAGCCTCCCGAGTAACTGGGATTACAGCTGCCTGCCACCACGCCCGGCTAATTTTTTGTATTTTTAGTAGAGTGGGGGTTTCACCATGTTGGCCAGGCTGGTCTCGAACTCATGACCTCAAGTGAGCGATCCACCTGCCTTGGCCTCCACAAGTGCTGAGATTGCAGTCATAAGCCACCGCACCCAGCCAACAATTTTTATCTACAGATAGGTTTGGTTCAACATCCACAGTTTTGCATTAATTAAAACCTATCAGGAATTTGCAAACTTGCATTCTCTGTGAACTCTATTGTCATACAAGTGGGAAACCCGAGGTTCACTTTCTCCTGAGAACTGGCTGGGCTGGGCTCAATGAGATCCCTGAGGGTCATCTTGATTCTCACAGTTTCTATAAACATCTGCCTGCCCCTTCCACGTTTAGCATTTAACAACTAGCCCTGGGTCCCTGCTTTGGATACAAGACGGGCAGCGTTTGCTTTTGTTTCAACAAATACCTTTTGCCTTTGGCTGTACCTCTTTCTTTTGCCTCTGAAATTTGCCCAAGTGACAAGTCTAAAGACAGTTCTCTTAGCTGGGCCATATTCCTTAATGGTGCAGGAGACACATGAGAGTCTCTCCATGGCCCACCAGCCTGGTCAGTGTCCTTGGCTGGCTGCCAGGTGGTGCACTCAGGCTCCAGGTCTCCTGTCAGCCTTCTCTCCCGCAGCCTTGCACACCCTCGCTGACTGCTGCCCTCCCTTCCCGTGCTCTTCAGATAACACCAGGCCCCCTCGTGACTCTAAGTCTTTCCCTGTGGTTATTTTGGCTGGAATGCCCATTCTTTTCCCCACATCCCTTCCTAAGCCCAGTATAAGACTGATACCCCAAGACTCCTCACTCAAATGTGTCTTCTTTTGTGGAGATTCCCCTGGTCAGCCAGGCAGGATTCATCATCCTTTTCTCCTGGGTTTTACTTTTGTTATGAGATCTGTCTTCCATGGTTAATGTGACTGTTAAATAAGATAATACAGGAACAGTGTCTAGCAGGGCACCTGGTGTGTAGCAGAGGCTCAATAGATGGTACCTGCTGTTACGATGAGGATGATGATCATCAAGATTTTAAACCATTTGACATGTAAATTTCATTTCTATAATCCATCTCAAGACAAATACATTAAACATTTAAAAACTATATGTATGAGAATAATCATTATGGGGTGATCAATAATAACAGAAAATGGAAAATAAGCAAAATGTTTAATCATTGGGGATAATAATTGTGCGTATTAGGGTATATCTGTTCCATGTAATCTTATGCTGCTATTTACAACAATGATTTTGGATGCTCTATGTCAACATGGAAAATAGTTATGATATTAATATAGTTAATAAAACAAAATATAAAATTGTATTGGTGCTATACATTCAACGAAGCTGTACGTACGTGTGTATGTGGCTAAGGTTTTGAGAGAATCCAGGAGAATGGAGAAAGTTTGCTCTGCTGGGTAATGGGTCTGTTAGCATCATCTCTCCCTCAGGCTTCGGTTTCTGTCTGGGTGGTTGCCATGTGACTCCCAGGTAGGGAGACACTTCTGTCTCCCCAGGGCCTAGGATAGTACCTGCCCCACCCAGTGAGTGTTTGTTATATTAATGAACATATAGGCAGTGGTTCTCAAACCCCAGAACTTCAGAATCCCCTAAGGGTATGTGAAAACTATCACTGAGTCTCAGTTTCTGAGTCAGCAGGTCTAGGGTGGGGCTCCAGAATCTTCATTTCTGACAAATTCCCAGGTTAGTCCGATGCTGCTGGTCTGGGGACCCTACTTTGAGAACCCCTGCTATAAGGTTTATCTATAAAAACTTATTCCTATGCTGCTGTAATTCTCCATCATGGGTGAAACCGCTGCTTCATCTTTCTCTTTAGCTTCGAAGCATGGCTTACTGGGTAAAGCTCAGCTGTACTTGACAGTCAACCCGGCTCCTCGGGACATGGCCTGTCAGGTGCAGCCCCACCATGGTCTGGAAGCACACACCGTCTTCAGTGTCTTCTGCATGTCTGGAAAACCGGTACGTGGACAACCCCATGTCTGTCCTGAGAGACCCCCGACAGTGGCATCTGGCAGTCACAGCAGTCACGGGTGCTGTAGGAATGGACAGCAATGTCCTTCCCACCTGTGAAGGATTTCAGCCTGCCGTTGAATGTTGGAAAGTTGGTTAGGCATGAATGGGCTTCCCCACACACTAATGAGAGGAGTGCAAAGTGGCCCCCTGGTTGAGAAGGTTCAGAATTTCACAAAGAGACAAGGGCCTGCTCACCAGGAGTCGTCTGCCCTGCAGCCTGGTTAGAACAGGGGCCTCCGTTAATGCTGCCCCCAAGAAAAAGGCAGGCACGTGACCCAAAGTGAGGAGAGGAGCCTGGCCCTTTCCCTCCCCAGGCACATTTCTAACACGGACTTACCCTCACCCTTTCTCTGGGCCATGGAGAAGACCATTGTGATTTTGTTGCTCAGGGTCTTGTGAGGGTGAAATGAGAGGATGGATTTAAAAAGATGAATGCAAACCAGCCTGGCCAACATGGTGAAACCCCATCTCTACTAAAAATACAAAAATTAGCTGGGTGTGGTGGTAGGTGCCTGTAATCCCAGCTACTTGGGAGGCTGAGGCAGGAGAATTGCTTGAACCCAGGAGGCGGAGGTTGCAGTGAGCCGAGATCGCGCCATTGCACAGCAGCCTGGGAGACAGTGTGAGACTTATCTCAAAAAAAAATTTAAAAAAAGATGAATGCCTCAGGTGATGGGCAGGCAGGACAGGAGCCTGTGATATTGTGACCCTGGCACTGCCCTCTCCATCCTCTCAGCCAGGACACTGACCTCCCTGCCCTTCTGCCTGACCCCTTCTGTAGGAAGCCCCACCCTTGTCCTCCAGAGGTCCCAGACCATGGCCTTCCCTTGAGGCACCCCGACCCCTCCCTCCTGCTCCTCCTGCTGTGTGATGCCCAGCAGTGTGGAAGCTGAGGGGCAGCTGGGGCCCTTCACCCTGAGGGGGCTGTGACAGTCTGATTTGTGACTGTGGGGAGGTTCCAGGACAAGGAGAGGACACAGACACTGGTGGGGAATCTCAGTGTTGTTCGAGGAGCCCTTTGGGCTTGGTGAATGGAGAGCCCTGCAGGGCCCAGGGCTCTGGGCAGCTGGGAGTGCTGCTTACCTGTCACTTACCCTCTTCCTGGCTGTAAAGAATGTCCTTGGTACAATGAAGGCTCAGCTGTGTGTGTATGTATTGTGATATCATTCACAGTGTGTTCATTTATACTATTTTTGCTCCCTTGGACTGGATCATAGGACTTCCATTATGAATTTAGTTACCAGATAGGAAACACCTCCAAACACACTTTGTACCATGGGAGAGACACCCAGTATTATTTTGTGTTGCCAGCTGGTGAGCACTTGGACAATTACAAAGGTAAGCTATGGTGCCAGTTGGAGTCACTAGCTGTGCCAACCTACAGTTCTAAACCTTTTTTCCTGGTTTTCAAAAACTAAACTGTGTCTAGAAAATAAAATCACCTTGATCAGTTTAATGCTTTTCAGTTTAGGTTTATTATCTACCTTTTAGTGCAGAAAGAACATTAGTAATATCAATAAATTAAATCAGTTTTTTATATCTTAAATTTTAACTGAAATACACTGTAAATGATAAAATGCCAGAGAATGTTTTTTCATATATAAATTAAATATTTAAAATCAGGACATTTCTTACTTACTAATGAAATATGTCATATCTGGTGAATCTTGCATTTATTATAGATGAAACCAAATCAAGGTATCCCCCTAAGGAACAAAATGTGGGGTAAATGAATGTGAGTTAGCATGTTAGTAACATAACCTCAAAACAAAATGAATCCCACAGTGTTTACAACTTTCTGCTCTGACCCTGTTCCTGAGGTTGTGGTTACTTCTAAACCAGTCCCTTGGAACTGGCTTCAACTGAGCATAAGAGACATGCAGCCATTTAGGAAGGTATCTTGACATGTGCAAACCCAGGCTGGTTAAATAAAAATCTTGGGGGTTGGTGACTTTTTAAGTTTCTGTTTTATTTTTTAAATGCCTGGAAGATTCTGATGTGCAGGGAAGGTTGAGAGTCACTGATCTAGAAGTTTCTTTAATTTGGACTGGTAAGATTATTAGAGCCTGAAGTCTGAACTAGTTCATTCACTTGATTTATTTAAGTTTCACCTCTCCTTTAAGCCAAGCTGAAGTTCCTTCTTCTTCATGAAACTTTGCCTGTCACCTTCAGTTAGAAACACTTGTACCTTCTTCTAGATACAAATCAATTATATTGAGCAAAACTTCTGAGCAGGGCATTTTGAGATCTTCATAATCATGCTCTGCTTTGTATCACAGTGACTTTGTACTCCGTTTGATCTTGAGTTTTCTTGAAGTCAAGCTGCGTACGGGGTTATGTGAGACTTAGGCTGGGCAAATGTTCCAATAGAAGGACCTTGGGCCAGGGCCTCAGCTCTGTGTTGGAAGTAAAGATTTCTTAACATAAATTTACAGACCAAATTTCAGGTCACAGTCCCAGAGCAGTGTCAGGGTTAGTGATGTTACTCAAATCATTCACAACCACAATTTGTTTGTAATTGTCACTATCAGTACAGCCAATTCCTATGAATACCTGAACTCAAGATTTGTAAGGGGGCGAACATAAGCAAAATAAATACAATATAGTAAATACTTAATACATACCTTTTCTTGTCCCATCTTTTGCATGAGTGAGTGTGGCGCAGACTCAGCTTGTCAAAATAAGTGGAGTCTTGCCTAAAAACTGCTCCTTTGGGATTTTCTATATCCGTGCATAGGACCAACCTTATCTGTTAAGGGTATTTGTTAAAATTGCTGCCTCCAGAGCCCACCTAGTATCCACTGACTCAGGATTGTGGGGAGAAGATGGAGCACGGAATTTGCTTGTAGACGAGATGCCTGGCGCTTGGGCTGCAAGTGTCCATAGACCACATCTTGAGAAGTGTCAACCTCCAAAATTAAGTCCCCAATCCTTGGCACTGAGTTTCAGGTTGAAAATGTTGTTATAAAGATACATAGGGCACACCTGGGCGTCGATCTTTCTATGTGGTTCCTATGACGGTGCCTGTGGCCCTTAGCATCTGGCCATCACCTGCACTCTGAGCCTGATCTGCAGGTCCCCTCACCACAGCCCTGCACCCCTGTTACATGAAGGAATTCCTGGGTCCCCCAAATAGGTCTTATGTCTTTTAAAAAGTCCCCTCTGTCAGAATTCTTCACCTTTTTTCTAGGCCTGTTAAATTTCTATATATCATGTAGGAACTGGTCAAACTATAACCCCAAGCCTTGACAGTCCATTGCCGAGTTTGTATTTCACTCCCTGGGCTCCCTGTGGCTCGGAGCCTGGCCCCTTTGTCAGCACTTGTCACAGTTTTAGTCATCCAGAAGATGCTGTCTGTGTGTGAAGAAGCATCTCTGTAACCCACATGTCCAAGATGACCCTCTTCTGACATGTTCCCTCACAGTCATGGTTTCCACTGAAATCACAGATGGCAAAGGCTCCAAGGTCCAGCCGTGCACTGTGGTGGTGACTGTGCTGCCCCGCTACCATGGAAATGACTGTCTGGGCGAGGACCTGTGAGTAACACAATGCCACACAGACATCCTAGCCATTATTTGTATTTCTTCCAGAGTTGGCTCTCCCCCAAGTTGTTAACAAGCGTCAAAAACATGTCAGGAACTCATCTTCTTAAGATGGAGCAAATAAAAAAGTCCGGGTGCTATCACTGCAATCCTGCTAACTCATATTTGCATGGCATTCTTGCAGGTGCTTCAGAGCCTATAAAGCTACTTTCTTCTCCTTCTTTTTTTTTTTTTTTTTTTTTTGAGACAGAGTCTCCGCCTGTCACCCAGGCTGGAGAGTGCAGTGGCACAATCTCGGCTCACTTGCAACCTCCACCTCCCGGGTTCAAGTGATTCTCCTGCCTCAGCCTCCTGAGTAGCTGGGATTACAGGTGTGCGCCACCAAGCCTGACTAATTTTTGTATTTTTAGTAGAGATGGGGTTTCACCATGTTGGTCAGGCTGGTCTCGAACTCCTGACTTCGTGATCCACCCGCCTCGGTCTCCCAAAATGCTGGGATTACAGGTGTGAGCCACCGCGCCCAGCCTCACTTTCTTCTTTTTTAAAAACAGTTTTTAAAGATATCATTTACATTCCACATGTTCATCCATTTAAAGTATGCAACTCCTTGGTTTTAATAATTTATTGAATTATACAGCCTTCACCATAAGCTAGTTTTAGACAATTTTTCATCATCCCGTGAAAACCTTGACTTATTAGCAGTCACTCCCTTTACCCACCACCCAGCTTCCTCCCACCGGCCCCGGACAACCACAAATCTATTTAATATCTACAGGTTTGCTGATTCTGAAAATTTCATATAAATGAGATAATATAACATATGATCTTAAGTAACTGTCTTTTCACTGAGCATGTGAATGTTTTTGAGTTTCATCTATGTAGCAAAATATATTAGTACTTCATTCTTTTTTGTTGCTGAATAATATTTTATTGTATGAACATATCATATTTTATTTATTCATTAATTAGTTGATGGATGTGTGGGTTGTTTTCACTTTTTGGCTATAATGAATCACACTGCTATGAACATTTATGTGCAAGTTTTTGTGTGAGTGTGTGGTTTCATTTTCCTTGGGTAGGTAACTAGGAATGGAAACAGTGTCCTATGGTAACTACCAAACTATTTTCCGTAGTGGCTGCACCATTTTGTATTCCCACTAACGAGGTATGAGAGTTCTGGTTTCTTGATATCCTAACCAACACTGGTTATTGTCTTTTTGTTCACAGCTGTTCTAGTTAGTATGAAGTGGTATCCCATTAAGGTTTGGACTTGCGTTTCTCTAATAATTGATGAGGTTGAGCATCTTTTCATATGCTTTGTATATCTTCCTTGAAGAAATGTCTGCTTAGTACTTTACCCATTTTTATGTAGGTTATCTGTATTTTTATAATGGATAACCTAATTAAAACGTTTGTTTCTTGATTCTCAATTCTATTCCATTAGTCTGAATGTCTCTTCTCATACCAGTACTATGCTGCCTTGATTATTATAGTTTAGTAGTAAATTTTGAAACTGAAAAACCTGAGCCCACTAACTTTGTTCTTTTTAGAAGGTTGGGTCTTTCAGGTCTCTCATATTTCCATATGAGTTTTAGAATCAGCCTGTCGATTTCTGCAAAAACAAAGCAGCACAGGCATGGGACAATGGCTTTGGTGCCGGCCAGCCTCTCCAGCCTTGCTCTGGCTGGGGCAGACTGGGGCTCCAGACTCCTGCTGCAGGGGGTAGAAAAACAAAACAAAACAAAAGCTAACTGGGATTTTCATAGGGATTTGTCAAGTCTGTACATCAGTTTGGGGAGTATCTTGTATCCTATAACCCTGCTGAACATGTTTGTTAGTATTAATAGTTTTTTACCGAATTCCTTGAGATTTTCTCTATATAAGATCATGTCATCTGTCACTAGAGATAGCTTTGCTTCTTTCTTTCTAATCTGGATGCCTTCCATTTCTATTTCTTGCCTAATTCTCTTGACTAGAACCTCCATTCAACGCTGAACAGAAGTGGCAAGCGTGGAAATCCTGGTCTTCTTCTCAGTTTTAAGGAGGAAGCATTCAGTCTTTCACCACTTCATATTAATATTAGCTAGAGGTCGTTCACAGACAACCGTTATCAGATTGAGGATGTTCTCTTCTATTCCTAGTTTGTTGTGTGTGTATTTCATTATAAAAACGTATTGGATTTTGTTAAATGCTTTTCCTAGGTCTATGGAGACAATTATATGTTTTTTGTCCCTTAGTCCATTAATTTGTTACGTTTTGGATGTTTGTGTCCTCTCTAAAATTCCTGTTCAAACTATCCCCAGTGCAACAGTAGTTAAGAGGTGGTGTCTGTAGGAGGTGATTAGGCCATAAGGGTTCTGCTCTCATAAATGAAATTAGTCACCTTATAAAATGGCTGGAGGGAACTAGATAGGCCCTCTTTGGTCGTTCTGTCCCTTCTGTCATGTGAGGTCACAGCCTTCTTCCCCTCTGGAGGAGGCAGCAACAGGTGCCACCTTGGAAGCAGAGAGCAGCCTCACCAGACACTGAGCCTATTAGTGTCTTGATCTTAGACTTCCCAGACTCCAAAACTGTGAAAATAAATTTCTGTTCTTTATATATTACCCAGTCTCAGGTATTTTATTATAATAGCACAAACTAAGATACAAGTTATATAAAATTGATTGATTTTCAGATGTTGAATCACTCTTACAGTCTGGGAATAAATTCCATTTGGTCATGATGTATACATCTTTTTCTGTGTGCTGGATTTGATTTCTAGTACTTTTCTGAGGATTTTTGTGTCCATGTTCATAAGAGGTATTGGCCTGTAGTTTTCTTTCTTTTCCTGTGTTGTCTTTGTCTGGTTTTGGTATCAGAATAATACTGGCCCCAATCAATTTGGAAGTATTCCTTTTTTTTTTTTTTTCTTTTTTTTTTTGAGACAAGGTTTCCATCTGTTGTCTAGGTTGGAGTACAGTGGCATGATCATGGCTCACTGCAGCCTTGACCTCCTAGGCTCAAGCCATCCTTCCACCTCCGCCTCCCAAGTAGCTGGGATTATAGGCACATGCCACCATGCCTGGCTAATTTCATCATGTTGCCCAGGCTGGTCTCGAACTCCTGGGCTCAAGCAATCCTCCCACCTTGGCCTCCCAAAGTGCTGGGATAACAAGTGTGTGCCGCCACACCTAGCTTCCTTTGCATTCAAGTATTTGGAAGATTTTGTGAAGGATGGGTAGTGATTCTTCTATAAACATTTACCAGCAAAGTTATTTGGACCTGGCATTTTCTTTGTGGAAATTTTGAAATGACTGATTCAGTATCTTTACTATTCAGATTTCTGTTTCTTCTTGAGTCAGTTTCAGTAGTTTGTTTCTTTCTAGGAATTTTCCATTTCATCTACATTCTCTATTTTTTTTGGCATACAGTTTTGTATGGTGTTCTCCTATAATCCTTTTTATTTCTATATGGTCAGTAGAGATATCAATTTCATTCCTGATTTTAGTAATTTAAGTCATCTCTTTTTCCCTCTCTTATTTTTTGTCTGTCAGTCTAGCTAAAGATTTGTCATTTTGTTGATGTTTTCAAAAAACCAGCTTTTGGCTTCATTGATTTTTATTGTTGTGGTTGTTTTTCTATTCTCTATTTCATTCATTTCTACACTAATTTTTATTCTTTTTTTCCCCGCCTTGTACTTGCTCTGGTTTACTTTGCTCTTGTTTTTTTTTGTTGTTGTTGTTTCTTAAGGTGAAAAATTAGATTATTGATTCGTCATCTTCTTTATAGCCATTTATAGCTTTAAATTCCCTTCAAGCACTGATTTAGCTGCATCCAATGTGTTTTAGAATGTTGGTGTTTTCATTTATTAATCTCAAAGCATTTTGTAATTCTTGTTGCAATTTCTTCTTTGAACCATTGATTATAATATTTAGGAGTATGTTTTTTACTTTTTTACATATTTGTAATTTTCCAAATATCTTTTGTCATTGATTTCTAATTATTTAATTCCATCATGGTCAGAGGATATACTCTGTATAATAGCAGTAGTTTAAAATTTATTGAGTTTTGTTTGTGGCCTACTATATGGTGTATTCTAGAAAATGTCCCATGTGCACTTGAAAAGAATATGTATCTGATTTTGTTGGCTAAATGTTCAATGGTTATCTGTTAGGTCTAATTGATTTATATTATTGTTTGAGTCTTATGTATCCTTGTTGATTTTCTGCCTGGTGGTTCTATCCATTATTGACAGTATTATTATTTTGAGTTTTCTGTATCCCTTCAGTTCTGTCCATTATTGCTCATGTATATGGAACCTGTTGTTAGGTCCCTATATGTTTACAATTTTTTAACCTTCCTGGTGAATTTACCTACATTATCATTAGGAAATGTCCCTCTTTATTGCAACTATCTGTTTTTGTCTAATTTCTTTTTTGTCTGATATAAACATAACCACTCTACATGCCTTGCTGTTACTGTTTGCATGTCTCTTTCCATCCTTTTACTTACAACCTAATTTTATCCTTGAACCTAAAGTAGTCTCCAGTAGACAGCATATAGTTGAATCTTGGTTTTGTGTATAGTCTTACAATCTCTGCCTTTTGGTTGAATCATGTAATCTATTCACATTTAATATTATTATTGATGTGGTTGGATGGATTTATGTATGCCATTTTGCTTATTTTTTGCATGTCTCATTATTACTTTGCTCCTCTATTTCTTCTTTACTGCCTCCTTTTATGTTAAGTATTTTCTAGTATATCATTTTCACTCCTTTAATGATTATTATGTATTTTTAGATATTTTCTTAGTTGTTGCACTAAGGCTTACAATATACACCTTAACTTACTAGAAACTACTTCAAATTTATATTAATTTCAGCAAGATGTAGAAAATTTACTCCTCTATAGATCCATTTCCTCTTCCCTTTTTGTGTTATGATTGTTATGTATGTTACATCTATCAGTGTTACAAACCCAACAGTCCAATGTTGTAATTATTGTTTTATAAAATTTTCTGTCTTTTTATTTTTTCTTGAGACAGAGTCTTGCTCTGTTGCCCAGGCTGGAGTGCAGTGCCGTGATCTCGGCTCACTGCAACCTCCGCCTCCTGGGTTCAAGCGATTCTACTGCCTCAGCCTCTGAAGTAGCTGGTATTACAGGCATGTGCCACGACGCCTGGCTAATTTTGTATTTTTAGTAGAGATGGGATTTCTCCATGTTGGTCAGGCTGGTCTCGAACTCCCGACCTCAGGTGATCCGCCTGCCTCGGCCTCCCAAAGTGCTGGGATTACAGGCATGAGCCACCACGCCTGGCCAGTTTTCTGTCTTTCAAAGAAACTGGAGAAGAGAGCACAAATATATTTTTAGAAATTGCTTTTAATGTATGCTAATCTTATTTAGTATTTTTGTTTGTCTTCATATCTTCCTGTGGCTTTAAGTTACCATCTAGTGTCATTTCTTTATTCTTGTATAGTTTTATTTCCACCTCCCTTATTTGTGTTTTTTTTGTTGTTGTTTTTTGTTTTGTTTTGTTTTGCCTTGAGACAAGGTCTCACCCTGTCGCCCAGGCTGCAGTGCAATGGCACAATCTTGGCTCACTGCAACCTCAGCCCCCTGGATCCAAGCAATTCTCCTGCCTCAGCCTCCCAAGTAGCTGGGATTACAGGCACACACCGCCACGCCCAGCTAATTTTTTGTATTTTTAGTAGAGATGGGGTTTCACCATGTTGGCCAGGCTGGTCTTGAATTCTTGACCTCAGGTGATCCACATGCCTCAGCCTCCCAAAGTGCTGGGATTACAGGCATGAGCCACCACGCCTAGACTTTGTGTTCTTGTTACATTATATTTCTGTGTGTTATGGGCCCAACAGTACAGCTCTGTAGAAATGTCTTTATGCAATGGCTTTTTAAATAAGAAGAGAGAAAAAGATAATTCATGAACTTAATTGTTCAACATTTCTCTGAGTTGCCATTCATTTTCTTCCTACTTTTTTCTTCCTGTTATTTATAATCTCTATTACTCTGTCTTCAAGTTTCTAGATTCTTTCTTTTCTCAAATTTACTTTTGAACATTTCTTTTGTTATAATTATTATACATATAACTTCATAATTTCCATTTGGTTCTCTCTGTAACTTATAAATTTATAGCTTCTATCTGTTTATTGATAGTCTCTATTTGACTAAACATTGTTCTAACTTCCTTTGATTTTTAAAAATATGGTTTCCTTTCATTCTTTGAATCATGTTTATAATAGCTGTTTCAAAGTCCTTGCTAATTCCAACATCTGAGTCTCCTCATAGGCAGTTTCTATTGCCTGCTTATTTTTCTCATGTTTGGGTCACACTTAATGTTTCTTTGGATGTCTCATAATTTTTCATTGATAACTGGACATTTTAGATAATATATTGCAGCCACTCTGGGTATTGGCCTACCTCCTTTTCCTGGCTTGTTGTCGTTGTTTTTGTTTGTTTGGTCATTGGTTTATATGTTTATTAGTTTGGCAAGACGAATTCTGTAAAGTATATTTCCCCTCGTTGTGCAGCCAGTGATGTTTCTGCTCAGATTTATTTGTTCTTTTTATCTTTAACTTGGCTTCCTAGGGTCTTAGTCTCCATAAATCACTTATTGGTCAAGGGTGAACTTAAGCATCGTGTATAGAGCCCATGATGCATTTTCTAATCAATTAGAACATGATTTCTAATTAATTTACTTCTTGCAATGACCCACTGCGGTGTGTCCAGATGAAAATTTCTATTTTATACATTTGGAAACTGAGGATCATTTTTCTCTTAAACAATACTCTTGTGCTCATACAGCAAATAAATTGCAGAACAAGGGCTGAAACTGGCCTTTGACCTCATGTATAGGCCTCTTTTCACAATACTGTGTTATCTTTTCCAGTGCAAGTAAGTATGCTGTTTGTAAATAAGTAAATAAATGCGCAATTATTGAAACCCGGAGTCATAAACTCCGGCCAGCTGTAGCGTGGTGGTATCTCTGTCTGGCTCTGGAATACATTCCTTCATTTGCCATGATGCTTCTATATTAGTATCTGGTTTCTTGTGCCTTTTTTAGTTCTGATAAAAGGAGTTTTTGTAAAATTTTATATTATGACTTACAGTGTCTTTTTAGAGTTTCCGTTGCACAGACCAATTCTCCTTTGTATCATTCTCTTTCTACCCTGCCCTGTCCAAGAGGTATTTTTGCAACAAATCCCATCCCACTCTTGGTAGTCAGGGTGAAAAGTTTTGCCGTGTGTTGGAACAGTAATGATAACTCTTGTGTTTCCTTCAGGTATAATTCCAGCCTGAAAAACCTTTCTACCCTCCAGCTGATGGGGAGTTACACAGAAATCAGGAACTACATCACTGTGATCACCAGAATCCTGAGTCGTTTGTCTAAGGAGGACAAAACTGCCTCCTGCAACCAATGGTCACGAATACAGGATGCATTAATTTCTTCAGTATGCAGATTGGCTTTTGTAGATCAGGTATGGCTCAGAGGAGGGTGAGTTTAGTGTCTGTAAACCTTTATCAAGTGGCAGGGCTCATGACTGGCTGGCTCACTAGCAAGTGGTCATGCTTATGAAACACAGGCAAGAAATGAGACCAAGAGGGCCAGCCAGCTCAGCTCCCATACATGGCTGTGGTCTCTCTATTCAGCTCATATGTATCACAAATGAATGCTGCTGGTTTATAAAAGAGAGAATGACCAAGTCAATCGTTGTTACAGATAATTCTGCTGAAGTTTGTGTAAGTAAAACTTATGTGAAACAGTCTGATTTTATCTTGGAGAGTTAAGTTCATGATTTTGTGCAACTTCTGAAGAAATTACCATGTATTCAAATGTGACTGTACTTGCTCACAGCATTTATGCAACTGCTATCTTATAACTGTCAATAGAGAATATTCACATCTACAAAGAATATATCTTATTTCATTACAACTTTAAGATACTTCACTTGATGTAATTTTTTTCTCATTCTTCCTCTTTTTAAAAATGTTGCTTAGCTCTGGCTGGGCGCAGTGGCTCAAGCCTGTAATCCCAGCACTTTGGGAGGCCAAGGCAGGCAGATCACGAGGTCAGGAGATCGTGACCATCCTGGCTAACACAGTGAAACCCCGTCTCTGCTAAAAATACAAAAAAAAAAAAAAAATTAGCCAGGTGTGGTGGCAGGCGCGTGTAGTCCCAGCTACTCGGGAGGCTGAGGCAGTAGAATGGCATGAACCCGGGAGGCAGAGCTTGCAGTGAGCTGAGATCGCGCCACTGCACTCCAGCCTGGGCGACAAAGCGAGACTCCGTCTCAAAAAAATAAAATAAAATAAAATAAAATAAAATAATAAATAAATTGTTGCTTAGCTCTGCACCCTTATTTCATCAGCCCTCGTGTCAGTTCCCTGATGGAGTGTGCTGAGGATGTCTAGGGGGCACACAGGAGAGATGCTGGATTCCAAGGAAAACCAGAGACAACAGTAATGGTCTCTGTACAGAAGGTCTGGCCTCCAATTGGTCTTTTGGCCAAAAAGCAGGGAATCTGTACTATTTCTACATAGGCAAGCTGTAACTTTAACCCAAACAAGCTAATTTCCCTCTCCTTGCATTTTCTTTTTGTTTTATTGTTGTTTCTTCTGGTCAGGAAGAAATGATTGGTTCTGTTCTTATGTTGAGGGACCTCGTGAGCTTCTCTAATAAGGTAAGTGCAATTTTTTCCCAGAAATATTTTCCTATTTTATATAGTTTTGAGGGACATGATCAGTTCTTGAAAAATACACTGTCCAGAATCATAGTTTGACACTTAGATTAGAAATGTGATTTTCCCTTAAGAATTCATCTGAATAGCAAAGCCCATCTCAGAAATTTTGAATATAGAAATTTGGAATCTAGGCCAGGCACAGTGGCTCACACCTGTAATCTCAGCACTTTGGGAGGCCGAGGCGGGCGGATCCCGAAGTCAGGAGTTCGAGACCAGCCTGACCAACATGGTGAAACCCTGTCTCCACTAAAAATATAAAAATTAGCCGGGCATGGTGGCGCGCACCTGTAATCCCAGCTACTCAGGAGGAGTACTCTACTGAGACAGGAGAATCGCTTGAAGCCAGGAGGCGGAGGTTGCAGTGAGCCGAGATCGCGCCACTGCACTCCAGCCTGGGCAACAGAGTGAGACTCCATCAAAAAAACGAAAGGAAAGGAAAGGAAGGGAAGGGAAGGGAGGGGAGGGGAGGGAGGGAGGGGAAGGGAAGGGAAGGAGAGAGGGAGGAAGGAAGGAAGGAAGGAAAGAAAGAAAGAAAGAAAGAAAGAAAGAAAGAAAGAAAGAAAGAAAGAAAGAAAGAAAAGAAAGAAAAAGAAAAAGAAGGAAGAAAGGAAGAAATTTGGAATCCCAAAGTAGAAATGGATGAGAACACGTACTATCCATGCTATGAATAATTTTGGCAAGGGGCTTGTTCTTTATTGGTAACACATGGCATTGGGTTTTTCCTTCGTCACACCTTCTTTTCTTCTTGAGTCTCTGGCACACTTTCCTCCCCGTCAGCTGATGTTCCCCCTGCATTGCTGCTTGAGAGATGAGAAGAGCACGCATCATTCTCTCATCTACCTCCAGTCTGTGAATCTAACTATGGCCATGCTCTGTCACCACAGAAGGAATCTCCAGCCCCTGCATAGGCTTCTCCCTTTATTTGTGTGGAGCTCTCCTCCAGGCTCCTCTCATTGTCCCTCATCTCAATCTGAGTGACGGGTGCCCCAGTGTTGGACAACGCCTAGCCTGCATGGGTGCAGGCGGCACAGTCCTGCTCCTGCCCACCTTGCCTTCTCCAGAGTTTCTCTTTTCATTTTCCACTCTTTGCTGCTGCTTCCACTTCTTTCTTCTGAATGATCCTGCACATGCTTAGAATCTCACTTATTTTAAAAAAAAATCCCTCTAGTGAAATCAAACCTGCTTCCAGCTTCCACCTAACTTTTCATGTTCCTCTTCACAGCAGAGCATTTAAAAAGTGAGTTCTGAGCCTGTTATGGGCTATACTTGCTGCCTCTTGTTTGTGTGTGTGTTTTTTTAAGAGACAAGGTCTCACTGTGTGGCTCAGCCTGCCTCAAACTCCTGGACTCAAGCCATCCTCCCACCTCGGCCTTCTGAGTAGCTGGGACCACAGATGCACGTCACCACACCTGGCTTCTCGTGCATTTTAGACCATCAAACTTTGGCTTCCATCTCCATCCACACTGCCGCTGCTCCTGCCAAAGTCACAGCAGATCTCTATCTGGCCAAATCCACTGGACACCTTCTGCTCCCCATTCTCTCCCTGCCGGGGACCTTCTGTGGGGCTCAATCTGCTTTGGGGGACACGCTCTTCTCTAGGCTTCACGACATGATTTCTTGGTTGGCCTTGTTGACTGACCCCTGTTGGCTCTTCCCATCTACAGTTACGTGGTCAGTATCTCAGAGCTTTGTCTTGGGCCTCCTAGATTCTCTGTCCACACCTCCTCCCTGTGTGATCTCATCCACTCCTTCCACTTTACATCCATCTGATAGGGACTCTGCAACCCACACCTCCAACCCAAAGCTGACTCAAGCTCCCCAGACACGCACGTATAACTACACGCTCTCATTTCCACACGGGCCGAAACTGCACAGACCCAGCATGGCAGAGTGGGCTCCTCCCCCAACCCCTTCCAACCCCGTGTTCCTCCTACTTTCTTCAGCCCAGGACAGGGCAGCACCGTCCATGCAGAATCCCATGTTAAAGCCCAGGTGTCACCGGAGTCCTTTCTTCCCCTCATCCATTCACTTATAAAGAAGTCCCATCTGTTCTTCCTCAAACACGTAGCTAGAATCTTCCTACCTCTCCTGCCTCTACTGCGCTTCACCCAAATCCAAGCAAATGTCATTTCTCATCCAGGTTGGCAGTTTCTCTCACTGTCCTGTCCTCTCTGCCTCCTCTCAGGCCACCTTAGAAAACAGGCTACACACAGCAGTCAAGTCATTGTAAAAGCCTGAGTCAGTGAGTGCCACTCTCCTGCTCAGCACTCCCCGTGGCTTCTCCTTGCGTGTGGAATAGAAGCTAAACATCTTATGCACCTGCAGTGTCTGGCTCCTTCTTTCCTTCTGTCCTCCTTTCCTGGCTTTTCTCCCGCTTCCTAACCATCCTCCAGGGGTACTGCCTTGATCCTTTTCCCGCTGTGCCCTCCCCTTGGCTTTTCAAATAGCTGGCCCTTCATTGACTCAGCACAAATGCTACTTACTTTCTTAGAGACATTGTCCTAGACCCACCATCTGAAGGTAATTATTATTATCCTCTCTTCCTGTTATGGGCTATCCCCTTCAATATTTTCACAACAGCAACTATCTCATTTATTTCTTTAATGCTGCTCTTCCCCCACTGGAATGTCGACTCCATGATACCAGGGATCTTCCTCTTCACCACAGAAATACCATAGGTGTAACGCATGGCAGGCGCTCAAGAGAGATGGGCAATGGATACAGGAACGGGGGCTGGATGGCCCTGTCCTCCTACCATCCCTCCTGCCTGAGTCTCCCCTCCTCATCTCAGGCTGCTCCACTCCAACAACCTCCAGTCTAGGTGGGAGGGCATCATCATTCACCTCTCTTCTGATGATCTGTCTTTATAAGCAACACACCTGGTCATGCCATCTGTTTGTTCAGAGTACTTGATGGCTTTCTAGTAGTTTGAGGACACAATCCAATTGCTCTTTTTTTTTTCAGACAGAGTCTCACTCTGTCGCCCAAGCTGGAGTGTAGTGGCACAATCTTGGCTCACTGAAACCTCTGCCTTCCGGGTTCAAGTGATTCTCCTGTCTCAGCGTCCCTAGTAGCTGGGATTACAGGTGCACGCCACCATACCTGGCCAATTTTTGTATTTTTAATAGAGACAGGGTTTCACCTTGTTGGTCAGGCTGGTCTCGAACTCCTGACCTCAGGTGATCCACCTGCCTCAGCCTCCCAAAGTGCTGGGATTACAGATGTGAGCCACCACGCCTGGCCCAATTGTTTTTTTTTTTTTTTTTTTTTTTTTTGAGACAGAGTCTTGCTCTGTCGCCCAGGCTGGAGTGTAGTGGGGCAAGCTTGGCTCACTGCAAGCTCTGTCTCCCAGGTTCACGCCATTCTCCTGCCTCAGCCTCCCCAGCAGCTGAGACTACAGGCGCACACCACCATGCCCGGCTAATTTTTGTGTTTTTAGTAGAGACGGGATTTCACTGTGTTAGCCAGGATGGTCTCGATCTCCTGACCTTGTGATCCGCCCGCCTTGGCCTCCCAAAGTGCTGGGATTACAGGCGTGAGCCACCGTACCCAGTCCCAATTGTTCTTTGTATCATACGAGGACTTCACCCATTTCCACTTGACTCTCTGCACCTCATTGTGCACACAACCCAACGTAGGCATCTTCCCTGTGTAGGCATTCGGGATGCCCCTTATGTCCTTGAAATGGTATGTTTTCCCATAACTGGAGCAGGTTACTTCTTCCCCTGGAAAAATATTACTTTCTCCTCAAGGGTAGATTCAAATGCCACCTTCTCCGTGAAATCTTCACAAAGGTCTGAAGGCAGAGTTCATTTTGTTCGAGACAAATTTGTACGTGACTTTGTTTTTAGCACTTCAACACCTTTGATTTGTAATTTCTTTTTGTGCATCTGTCTTCCAACTTTAGACTACTCAGCCTCTTAAGATACAAACTGTATTAGTTAAAATAATGTTAGCTGCTGTAACAGATAACCCTGAAATCCCAGAAGCTGAATACAACAGATATTTTTTCTTCATTCACACACATTCCGTAGCAGGTGTTCAGTGGGTGTCTCCCTCGTGGTGACTCAGGGACTCTGGCCCCGTCCATCTTGTGCCCCAATACCTCCACTCTGTGGCTTCCTAAGTCAGGGGAATAGCACATGGAGAAGGTATGCTGCCTGTCGGTCATGTGGCGCTGCAGGTGCACACCTCGCTGCACTCACCTTCCCCTGGTGAGCATCACATGGGCTCACCTGGACTCGAGGGACCTGGGAAATGGAATTACTTCCCATCGATGACCCTACATGAGGCTCCAGAGCATGAATCTGGTAGAGATCAAATCATTCCTGCCATTGTCCCTCTTGTGCATCTCTGAACCCCAGGGTCTGCCACAGTTCTTAGTTCAGAGTGGGAAATAAAAATGAACATGATTGTCCTCTTAAAGTGACCATTCTGATATTTTTGGTCAAAAAAGTGGGCATTGTGAAAGTGGGCATAATATATTCTTTAAAGCACTTGTTTAATTTTAAAGATTATTCTTTCATTTAAGTCCTAATATCCATGGTAAGCTACCTCATGTAAAGGGCCTTCAATAGTAGTTTAAACGCATTTCCAAATTAGTTTAATCTTATTGTGGTGGAAGAACTAGATTTTAAAAGGTATATCTAAGCCATTAGATATCATTGTGGTTAAATAAGCCTGGCCAATAGAAAACAGAATCTCAGTTTCATTTCATGGACACACATTTATTTAGCAATTGCTAGGAGCTGCTAAGGTACAAAGAAGAAAAAGATTAGTCTGTGTCTTTTAAGCATTGATGAATGAAGTTGCAAACAGATACATTTCAATAAATATGCTTAGTCCTACGATCAGAAGAATGACAAAATTCTGCATAAACACAAGCAGTGATGCAGCTGACTTTGTCTCGTAGACATTTGAGGTTGGTTTTAAAAGATACGTAGTAAAGACTCGTAGTTTTGTTAGATGTGATCATGGCATTGTGGGCATATTTTTAGAAAGAATCCTCATCTATCAGCACTACACACTAAAGTGTTCATGGATAAAAATAATACCTGAGATTTGCTTTTTGCTTCTAAATATTTTTTTAAAGTTAAGTAGAGAATAGAAGAAAAAATATTCCAGTGAATAATTGTTAAAGTTGGGTGATAGACGTATTATACTACCATACTATTCTTTCTACTTTGTGTAGGTTTGAAAGGGGACTACATTAACAGTTCAGAAAAATAGGCTGGGTGTGGTGGCTCACACCTGTACTCCCAGCACTTTGGGAAGCCGAGGCGGGTGGATCATGAGGTCTGGAGTTCAAGATCAGCCTGGCCAAGATGGTGAAACCCCGTTTCTACTAAAAATACAAAAAAATATTAGCTGGGCATGGTGGTGGGTGCCTGTGATCCCAGCTACTCGGGAGGCTGAGGCAGAGAATTGCTTAAACCCAGGAGGCGGAGGATGCAGTGAGCCAAGATTGTGCCACTGCACTCCAGCCTGGGCGATAGAGTCAAACTCCATCTCAAAAAAAAAAAAAAAAATGTATGTCTTTAGTCCCAGCACTTGGGAGGCTGAGGTGGGAGAATCATGTAAGCCCAGGAGTTCAAGTCTGCAGGGAGCTATGCTTGTGCCACTGCACTCCAGCCTGGGTGACAGAGTGAGACCCCATCTCTAAACAAAAAGAGAGAGAGAAAGAAAAAAAAAGGAAAAGAAACAGAGAGAGAGAAAAGCAGGATTGGATTCTGCCAGTCCAAATGAGGGTAAAGGTACTGCAGGTAGAGGAATCTGGAGGGCATCAAGAAAAAGCCTCGATTCTTTGGGTACAATAAGAGATTCAGCATGGCTTGAGAATAGAATGCACATAGGTAATGGGGAGGGAGAAGGCTGTGGGAGGAGGTGGGGGCCAATTTGTGAAGGGATTTGCAAAGTGGTCGTTGGGGTTTAAAACAAATAACATCTTAAAGCATAGAGACCATTTGTTTTCCTTTGGTCAAGAGGCCGAATATCAAAAAGCAGCTTGCTACTTAGGAAGCTGGCCAATAGTCACCTAGAGACCAAACCTGGACTTAAATCCAGTTCTCTTAGCCCGTAGTTCAGTCATTTTAATTCCTTATAATAATGAAAAAGGCAAGAATATATGCATCATATGCCATGAGGCACTTTATTTACATCTTTTCTGTTCATGCAGCTAAGCTTTATGAGTGCGGTTCTCATCCTCAAATACACCCGGGCACTCCTTGCTCAAGGCCAGGCATTTTATTTACATCTTTTCTGTTCATGCAGCTAGGCTTTATGAGTGCGGTTCTCATCCTCAAGTACACCCGGGCACTCCTTGCTCAAGGCCAGTTCTCGGGGCCATTTGTGATTGACAAAGGAGTGAGGCTTGAGCTCATCGGTCTCATATCCAGAGTCTGGGAAGTCTCTGAGCAAGAAAACTCGAAGGAGGAAGTCTATCGACATGAAGAAGGAATTACAGTCATCTCAGATTTATTGTTGGTAAGTCACACTTTTTCTCCATCCATAAAAATACTGTTTCCATATCCCAGGATGTTAACCTGTATTTGTAATTGCTTCTCAAAACCAAAAACAGAATCAGTTTCTGAAGTACTGTGTTCATTCTTCTGGGTGGCATTTTGGTATTTGGAGACTTTCATTTTGAATTTTAAGTATTTCATGGTAATATTATAATGTTTCCAGTGAAACCTTGCTTCTATTTTATCCTTTTTTTGTTTTGGTAGATTTTCATTTGGGATATTTGGGATGTTTGACTCAGAAACATTATTTCTCAGGATACCTTCTGTTTTTTTGAGGAATTATGTGAAGTAATGCAAATGATTTATTGCATGCAGCAATTTTAAAAGTAGCCCTGCTGATACATAACTTCTTAAAAAGGCCAAAGTTTATTTCATTTATTTCTGCTCTGGTAACTTTGGAAATTGTCTCCGAGACTTTTTTATTTTTACTTTATGAAATGGCCAGTGCTTTCAAGAAGCAGTAAGTGAATAGGCTTCTGGCGTTCCTCTTCTACCAATTTAGCATCCCTCTCCAGTCCTGCTGGCTTATTTAACGGATGGCTACTGTAACATTTGGGAAATTAGCAAGTAAATAGTCTATCTGAACCTACTAATAATCATCATCATTACTCACAAGTGTTTAAGAACATTTGTTGCCTACTTACCCAGCGCTGAGCCCTAAGACCTGCGCTCTTGCTTCCTGCCATCCAATCTAACTTGAGATGGGCTTTTTAACTACTTTTCCCCTCTCTCCTAGTCTGGATTCAAGACAGTTTGTGCATTTGTGTTATAAACATCCCACTCCCTATGCTCTATGTTTCAGGGTTGTCTCTCTTTGAACCATGTTAGCACTGGGCAGATGGAGTTCCGGACCCTTCTTCATTACAACCTTCAGAGCTCTGTCCAGAGCCTGGGATCTGTCCAGGTGCATTTACCTGGTGACCTTGCTGGGCACAGTCCTGCTGGGGCGGAGACACAGAGCCCATGCTACATTAGCCAGCTCATACTCTTCAAGAAGAACCCATATCCAGGGAGCCAAGCTCCTGGGCAGGTACAAGCTGACAGATGACCTGCCACTTCTAATGACCATTTCAAATTTGCAGTAATTGGGCTTAAATGACAAAAAGAGAAACTAGGTTGGCATATTTGCACCTGTTTTTTGCATGTTTGCACCCTCTCAGTGCCAAGAGGGATCACTTAGAACACGTTGCTGACTCTACTCCTCTTAGAAGATTAGCTTCTCCAGAAAACTCCTGGCAAAACTAGATGTCACTTGTATCTGGGACACTGGGCCCATTCACTGTTTCCTTGAGGCCTTCTAATCCATTGTCAGAGAACAGAAGGCTCTAGGGGGTTGCAGCATGTGATGCAGTGATTATGCAAGCATTCTGGCCAATCGTGTCTTTAGAACGATGAAGATATGGGTCTAACATCAAATGCGGAGTATACCTGAATGACGCTTAAGAAGGGGCTGCTGAGGACATGGCAGTGCTTACCCCCCATCCTCCCTGCTCACCAGAGAGGCACTGCTGGGCTGAACCTGCAGGGTGGCCCCTGGCTCCCTGAGAGGTCAGGAGGAACAGGGGACCACAGTGAAAGGGGGATGTGAGGATGGGGAAGTCAGGGAGGATTGTCCCAGCCACTTGGCAGTTTTGTAGACATTCACTCGGAAGCTTTGTGAATGACCCCAGGGTCACCATGAGTGAGTTTGGAAGGGCAGAGAGCAAGGATTCTCTATTTCTGTAGCCCCCGACCCCAGTCTGGCTCAAGTACGTGGCTCATTTGGTGACCCATCAAATGTCTGATGGATGTATGGACAAATTAGGTACATCTTATTTTGGTCAAAAAATGCTCATCTTTTACAGCATTTGCTTTTTTAAATGGAAATGGAAATGGCTAATCAGCATAGGAAAATAATTCAAACTAACAATCAATAAAAAACACAAATTAAAATGATTTTTTTACCTTACAAAAGTGCAATTACTTAAAAACACTTACTGCTTGTGGAGATGCAGTGAGTAAACCAGGGTGCTCGGCAGTGTGACATTTTGGAAAGCACTTTGTCAACTAGGCATCCAGCAACAACCTGGCCTACACTGTTACACTTGTAAGAATCTACACTAGGAAAATGAGAAAAGATTTGTTCAGAACAAGATGTCTTGTCGTATTTATTTGCTCAAAACAATATTATTATAACTCAAATAGAAATGTACCTAAATGTTCAGCATAGGGATAGAGTTCATATATAGCTAATTGTTATTATGTCAATCAGGGAATTTTAGTAATTTGGGAAGACTGCAAAAATATAGACAACTGAGGCCGGGCACAGTGGGTCACGCCTGTAATCCCAGCAGTTTGGGAGGCCGAGGCGAGTGGATCACCTAAGGTCAGGAGTTCCAGACCAACCTGACCAACATGGTGAAACACCCGTCTCTACTAAAAATACAAAAATTAGCCGAGTGTGGTGGCACGTGCCTGTAGTCCCAGCTACTCGGGAGGCTGAGGCAGGAGAATCGCTTGAACCTGGGAGGCAGAGGTTGCAGTGAGCTGAGATCACACCACTGCACTCCAGCCTGGGCGACAGAGCAAGACTCTGTGTCAAAAAAATATATAGATATACATATAGACAACTAAATTGTCTGCCAAATATGTACTCTATTACATAGCAAAATTTGATACTCAACATCCTGAAATATGATTTCTATGAGCAATGGGACTATAGAATAGCTATTCTTCACTCTTGCATATACTTTTCTTTTTTTTTTTTTTTTTTTTTTTTTGAGACGGAGTCTCGCTCTGTCGCCCAGGCTGGAGTGCAGTGGCGGGATCTCGGCTCACTGCAAGCTCCGCCTCCCGGGTTCACGCCATTCTCCTGCCTCAGCCTCCCAAGTAGCTGGGACTACAGGCGCCCGCCACTACGCCCGGCTAATTTTTTGTATTTTTAGTAGAGACGGGGTTTCACCGTTATAGCCGGGATGGTCTCGATCTCCTGACCTCGTGATCCGCCCGCCTCGGCCTCCCAAAGTGCTGGGATTACAGGCGTGAGCCACCGCGCCCGGCCCCACTCTTGCATATACTTTTCTATACCTTCCTGATTATCTACAATGAGCAGATATTTCTTTTGCATTAGCTTTTAAAATAAAAAATACTTCAAAATACTTTAGAAATTATTAATTTTAATAAGAATGATGCAAATGAAGCATAATATTCACTCCAATCCTGCCATCCTGACTAGTAAAACTGGTTTATTTTTGTATGCTAGCTTCTAATATCAGGCATATAATTTTATGTAAGTGTAATAGCAGCACCACGATACTTTGGTTTGCTGCTTTTCTCACTTAAGTCCATTGCTTGCTGTCATTTGCTCTGAGATGGTCTTTGTTCCCCAAGATTGGTGGAGTTGTGGGCCTCAACCTCTATACCTGCTCCAGCAGAAGACCCATCAACAGGCAATGGCTAAGGAAACCCGTGATGGTCGAGTTTGGGGAGGAGGATGGCCTGGTAAGGAGAGCCTTTCTCAGTATCTCTACTTCATTTAGGCTGTGCTGGCTGATTTTTAATGTGTTTATTTTACCAAAGGCAAATTTTGCTTAACTTGTTTTCTTTGTGATGACAGGATAATAGGAGAAATAAAACGACATTTGTATTACTTCGGGATAAAGTGAATCTCCATCAGTTCACTGAGCTTTCCGAAAACCCCCAGGAATCTCTACAGATAGAAATTGAATTTTCCAAACCTGTTACAAGGGCATTTCCCGTCATGTTGCTAGTAAGGTGTGTTGATGGTGACAGCTACAATGAGATTGGAGTAAGACATATTGTCCTTAAGAATGTTTTGTGACAAAAAATCAGTGAATTAAATTGTGTTTTTAAAGCAATAATGAGGCTCATTGTTTAAAGAAATTGTTATCTATTCTGCTGTTTGGATGCTAAGCTTCCTGACTTTGGTTTTTGAGTTTGAATTCCTGCCTGTTAACATTATTAGAGTGAGAAGCATTATAATTATTAGTGATAATGCATACAGTCTCATTTAGAAATCTAATTCTTTCAGTATAGGTCTGAGCAAGATTTTTTTTTATTTTTCCAAAAGGAGAAAATGTGTTTAAATTTATATATCTAAGGAAACTTCATAAAATAATTATTTTTCTCAGGAATGTTGAGTTCATGAGATTTGTATAGGCCCCAGTTAATAAATAAATTACCTGGGAAGGTAATTGACTATTGGGAAGGTAAGTGACTATTGAAAAGATTCTTTGAAATTCTACAGCAAATGTGCTAATGGAAACCACCAGTCTGCAGAGTTCGTTGGAGGTCTGGATGGGCAGGGCCTTGATCACCTTCCTTCTCGGAGTCCCCGTGTGTTTAGTCTATGTGGCAAAGATGCTCACTGTTCTACTGCTCCTGGTTGGTTAGGTGGGCATCTCAACTAGATTAAAGGGTTCTCGTGAGCAAGGCTGTATCTTACACAGGCGCTGTCCACACAGCCCTTAGCACGCAGTTTAATCTCTGCTTATTGGCCTGACTCTCATTCTGCCAAATGAGCTAAGCATTCGATGTCTAAAAGTGGCTGTCTGCTTAGAGTTTGGATTTTAATTTAATTCTTTAAGTCACATGCAGAAAAGGTAAATCAGTTCTGAGGAATTTCTGAGTCTAACTACTAAGACTACTACTTAGTCTAGTTTTGTGCTTGCTATCTTTTATCTGCAAACAGGTTACGGTAAAGAGTTAACACAAACATGCAAACATACGTGTGGGTGCTGCAGTGCCCCTCCCTAACCACGTGTAGCCAGTGCTGTTTGTCTTATTCCTACAGACTGTGCTGGCCATTCTTGTACTTGTTTGCTACTGAAGTGTTTGTTTGGTTTTTGGTGTTTTTTTTTTTTTTTTTTGGTTTGTTTGTTTGTTTGTTTTTGAGACAGAGTTTCATTCTTGTTGCCCAGGTTGGAGTGCAATGGTGTGATCTCCGCTCACTGCAACCTCTGCCTCCCGGGTTCAAGTGATTCTCCTGCCTCAGCCTCCCGAGTAGTTGGGATTACAAGTGCGCATCACCACGCCCAGCTGATTTTGTATTTTTAAGTAGAGATGGGGTTTCACCATGTTGGTCAGGCTGGTCTCAAACTCCCAACCTCAGGTGGTCCGCCCATCTCGGCCTCCCAAAGTGCTGGGATTACAGGTGTGAGCCACCGTGCCTGGCCAAAGTGTTTGTTTTTAATGAGATGCAGGGTGAAAGTGTTATGTAGGAGTTTTTACTAAGAGACCAGGTGGTGTTGTGGAATTAAGCACATTGACCCTTTTTAGTCCCAGGCTACCTCCTTGCAGTGACAAGGATGTTTTGCACAAATTGAGTAAACTCTTGATAGAAATTTGACTAAAACCTTTGAGAGAGAAGAAAAAAATGAGAAATCCCTATTTTGTTTTTATCTCCTAGATTCTCTGAGAAACCTACTCCCTCTGATTTTCTTGTGAAGCAGATCTACTTCTGGGATGAGTCAATTGTGCAGATTTATATACCTGCTGCTTCTCAGAAAGGTCAGTGAACAGGGCGCCTTATTTTCCCTTTCTGTTTACATGATTAAAACATCCCCTATAACCTTTGTATGTATAGTGGTGTTTTTCTTTATTCATGACAAAAACATCAGAATCCTTTCTCTGCTTGCTTATAAACAAACTGCTCCACTATAGATCCCACACATGGAAACTGCCCCATGATGAGCGCCATCCTTGTGATGCAGTGGCTGGTGCTGCTCACTGCCCTACCCATCTCTTCCCAGGTGGTCTCTGGCGCCTCCTCCTGATCCTTAGGGCTCTGCTTGTGCTCAGGCTAAGTCTTTGCCTGAAGCACCCTCCTGCCTTGCTTCCCTCAAACTAACCTCTGCTGAGCTTCCCTGACCTCAGAGTTGACCCAGGACTTCTGAGACGTCTCTGTGTCTCACGTATCAATAGGGCACAGGACCCCCTCTGAAGCAGTGTGGGGGCAGAGTGTGAAGTTTGGGGCTCACCCCTTCTCCGTGGTCTGCCCCTGGTGGCTTAGGATTCTGAGCCTCAGTAACCCCTTCCCCAAAAAAGCAAGAAACTGGAGCTCAGTGGGCTGAAGTGGCACCCACAGGCAACTCACCAGACACGCGCCTTACACTGACTTCCACAGGCCCTGGCCCTGGAGAGGAGCTGGCTTCTGACTGTCAGTGAGTGCGCCAGACCCATTGTCTCTACATGTTTACTGGGATATAGTTATTTTCTTCTGAGAACCAGTATTTGTTTCTTTTAAAAATGAATCAAACTGTATTGCTCATCAAATTCAAATTCTCAATGGTATTTTTTAATGTTGCATTTCATGTGTTCTTTTTCACAGTTTTTATTGTAATTTCAAGCTGATAGAAAATTAGAAAAATACGCACAACATATACCCATATCCTTTTCCTTGAGATTCACCATTTGTTGATTTCTGCCACATTTGCCTTATCTGCATGTGTACAGGTGTGCACATGTGGGTGGGGGATGTTTTTGAGGGAGAGGACAAGCCGTTAGAGAGAAAGTTGCAGGCCCCATGACATACCACCCCTGAATACTTAAACATCTCATGAAAACAAGGGCATTCCCTACAAAACTCAGTACATTATCATAAGGAAAAGAAATCAACATTAATTCAAGAATATCTATTCTGTTATCCACATTTAAATTTTTAAAATCCCCCCAAATGCCTTCTATAGCTCTTTATATTTTTTAATCAGAAGTAGGTCAAAGTTCATGAATGCATTTTGTTGCTGTGTTTTTATATAGTCCCTTTAAAAATCTACAACACCCTCCCAATTTTTGCCTTTTTTTCAGACTTTTTTTTATGAGCTTAGGTTAGTTATTTTCTGCATGTTGTACATTCAGGAAATTGCCTGACTGTTTCCTCATGATTAAATTCAGTTCACAGATGATTGGCAGCATATTCCATAGGCGATGGTGCTAAGTTTGGTAATTTGCTTGGGGAAAGAACCTCCAATCTCTCCATTTTCCCCTTTGTGAGATGATACTTTTGAGACCACCTTAGTATCTTCTTGCCTTACAAACTGTCACCCCATGATTTTAAGGATCCATGGGTGATATAGGTACATAGAAGGCTACAAAACGGTGATTTGCTAATTCCACCATGAATTAGCTGGCATTCTTCAGTAAAGAAGAGCTTCAGTCTCTCTCTGTCTTACTCTTGCTCTCTTGTCTCTATGGTGCATGGTGTTTCTTAAAAATTCAATGTGTTAAAAAAAAAATTCAATGTGTTTAGTTCACCTCCATTATTTTACTTTTTGATGCACAAATTATTCCAGTGGGAGCTCCTCCAAGATGCTTCCTGAGGTTTTCTTGACATGACATCACAATCCTCAAGTGCTTCTTTACTTTCTGGGACACCAGCGTGTCCTGGCTTATCCTGTGTTTGGCCAGCCCTTCCTTGGAACCGGCCATGTCCTCAATGAGGCTTGGCTCATTGATGGGAAATGACATTAGAACACAAGAACTGCGCATCACATTTGCTCATTGCTATTGGGGCGTCACTGATTTAACGTCTGTGTGTGTGTGTGTATGTGTGTGTAAAATGAGTTAATCACAATGCCTTAATTCAAATCCAACACCCAGGGTTCCTTATTACTTTCTCCCATTGTGTGTTCAGATCCCCATTCTCCTACAGTGAGAATTCCAGTTGCCAAAATATGAGAACTTGAGAGCCAGTTTCCAAAGAGCAAAATTCACTTTGCTCTATCCTACAGTATACACCAAATCGTTTTAGAATTAAAGCACCTGTACCCCTAACAATCACAAACCTACCAGATAAAGTTCAATATTTCTTTCTAGATTTTTTGTTTAGTTTTGACTTTACATTCTTACATGATATATTACAGTAAGAGCACATAGTCAAAAGTTAGTTGAATTAATTATTTTCTCTGTGGGTTTTTGCTATACGTTTTATATACAGCTAGGTTCACTTTTTTGCATGTACTTAATGCTAAGCCTTACTTTTATCCTTTTTTTTTTTTTTTTTTTTGAGACAGAGTCTTGCTCTTGTTGCCCAGGCTGGAGTGCAATGGTGTGATCTCGGCTCACTGCAACCTCTGCCTCCTGGGTTCAAGCGATTCTCCTGCCTCAGCCTTGTGGGTAGCTGAGATTACAGGCATGCACCACCAGACCCAGCTAATTTTTGTATTTTTAGTAGGGACAGGGTTTCACCATGTTGGTCAGGCTGGCCTTGAACTCCTGACCTCGGGTCATCCATCCTCCTTGGCGTCCCAAAGTGCTGGGATTACAGGCGTGAGCCACGGCGCCCGTCCCCATTTTTTAACATTAATTTATGTTTTGAATTTGTGAGACATTTTTATTGTTCAGATGTCTAAAGCACATTTAAAGATGTATGTATTCAGAGCTAAATCTTTCAACAGCCTTATTCTTATACCTTGTTATCACCTAGTCCTTATAGGTAATTGTTTTCATTTGTTTCCTTTATTTTATTTTATTTCAGTAGTTTTTGGGGAACAGGTGGTTTTTGGTTACATGAATAAGTTCCTTAGTGGTGATTTGTGAGATTTTGGTGCACCCATCACCCGAGCAGTATACCCTGCACCCTATGTGTAGTCTTTTATCTCTCACCCCCTCATCCTTACCCCTAAGTCCCCAAAGTCCTATTATGTCATTCTTATGCCTTTTCATCCTGATAGCTTATCTCCCACTTATAAGTGAGAACATAAAATATTTGGTTTTCCATTCCTGAGTTACTTCACTTAGAATAATGGTCTCCAACTCCATCCAGGTTGCTGCAAATGCCATTATTTTGTTCCTTCTTATGGCTGAGTAGTATTCCATGGTGCATACATACCATATTTTCTTTATCCACTCGTAGGTTGATGGGCATTTAGGTTGGTTCTGTTGTACTAGTTTACATTCCCACAGGCAGTGTAAAAGTATTCCCTTTTCACCACATACACAACCAAAATCTATTATTTTTTGACTTTTAAAAATTATGGCCATTTTTGCAGGAGTAAGATGGTATCTCATTGTGGTTTTAATTTGCATTTCCCTATTACTTAGTGGTGTTGAGTATTTTTTAGCCATTTACATATCTTCTTTTGAGAATTGTCTGTTCAGGTCCTTGCCCACTTTTTGATGGGGTTATTTGTTTTTTCTTGCGATTTGTTTGAGTTCCTTATGAATTCTGGATACCAGTCCTTTGTCAGATGCATAGTTTGCAAATTTTTTCTCCTACTCTGTTGCTTGTCTGCTTACTCTGCTGATTATTTCTTTTGCTTTGAAGGAGCTTTTTGGTTTAACTAGGTCCTATCTATTTATTTTTGTTTTCATTGCATTTGCTTTTGGGTCTTGGTCATGAATTATTTGCCTAAGCCAATGTCTAGAAGAGTTTTTCTGATGTTATCTTTTAGAATTTTTACAGCTTCAAGTCTTAGATTTAAGTCTTTGATCCAGCTCGAGTTGATTTTTTACATAAAATGAGAGATGAGGATCCAGTTTTATTCTTCTACACGTGGCTAGCCAATTATCCCAGCACCATTTGTTGAATAGGGTGTCCTTTCCTCACTTTATGTTTTTGTTTGCTTTGTCAAAAATCAATTGGCTTTAGGTATTTGGCCTTATTTTTGGGTTCTGCATTCTGTTCCATTGGTCTACATGCCTATTTCTATGCCAGTAGCATGCTGTGTTGGTAACTATAGCCTCGTTGTATAGTTTGAAGTCTGGTAATGTGATGCCTCCAGATTTGTTCCTTTTGCTTAGTATTGCTTTGGCTATGTGATTCCATATGAATTTTAGGATTGTTTTGTCTAGTTCTGTGAAGAACAATGATTATAATTTTTTTTTTCTTTTGAGACTGGAGTTTCACTCTTGTTGCCCAGGCTGGAGTCCAATGGCACGATCTTGGCTCACCACAACCTTCACCTCCTGGGTTCAAGTGATTCTCCTGCCTCAGCCTCCTGAGTAGCTGGGATTACAGGCATGCGCCACCACACCCGGCTAATTTTGTATTTTTAGTAGAGACAGAGTTTCTCCATGTTGGTCAGGCTGGTCTCGAACTCCCGACCTCAGGTGGTCCACCTCAGCCTCCCAAAGTGCTGGGATTACAGGCGTGAGCCACTGCGCCCAGCCTCGATGATTATAATTTTATGGGAATTGTTTTCCTGATGTTTCTTTTTGGGAAAATAAGCCCATGCATACCCACATTATTTCCCCTTATTTCTTACACTCATTTGCATTGTGCTTTTCTTACTTAAATTACATATTTAGAAATCACTCCGTATGTATTTATTCATCGATATCTTTTTTTTTTAACTGCTATGTGCTTCTCCATTGTATAGATGGACCGTAGTTTATTCAGCCAGTCTCCTATGTATTCACATGGAAGACTTGTGCATATACTGTATTACATGTAGGGGGAGGAGTGTATCTTCAAGTTTAATTCCTAGATAGGCTGTTCCTGGGTCGGATGGTAAATGCCTATGTGGTTTTGGTAAGTATTGTCACGTTTACCTCCAGCAGTGTCTGAAGCTGCCTGTTTTCCCACGTCTTTGCCAAAAGGATGTATTTTCAAGCTATTGAGTTTTGCCAGTCTTATAATTGAGAAATGTTCATTTTAATATGCATTTTATATGAATTAAGTTGGGTATTTTTTCATATATTTAAAGCCATTATCCACTTTTTTTCTGTGAATTGTTCATATATGCCCACTTTTGTATTGAGTTTGTTTTTTCTTGATGTTTAAGAGCTCTTTATATGTTAGGGCTATTTTTAAAATAGTAATTTATCCACCATTTCTTGTAAGACTCTTAGATTTTGAACCATCGTTCAAAATTTATTTCTTATGTCCAGATTATAAAAGAAGTCATTCATGTGTTCCTCAGTACTTGTGCAGTTTGTTTTTGTTTTTTCTTTCATATTTAGATATCTGATTTGCTAATGTTTATTATTATTTTTTATAGCATGAGGTGCCCATATTTTTACAAAGGGCTAATGTCTAGTTGTCCCAACACCACTTATTAAAAAGTCTTGGGCAATTTTTAAATAAGTAGAATGTTAAATACTTCTGCTTCTAAATATAAAAAGTAGGCTAAACATAAAAAAAAAATGATAGGCTAAAACTCCATGGGTCATTGTGCTGTCCTTACCAGAATGGGTTTAGACCCTGGGTATACTGAAATTTCGCAGGCTGGCTGACAAACTGGCGAGGAGCAGGAAGTGGGCTTGAATGGCAGCTAAAGAAACTGACTCAACCCTCTTCCATCCCCACTAAGGTCAGGGGGTGTGGCCTGTTCAGGGTGTCAGGGGGCACTTGGAACATACGGGATGCTAGAAACACTGTTTTTCTTCCCAATTCTCTACCATTCCTCAATTCGTATCTGCATCCAGGAGCTTTGACTGGGTGGATTTAATCCAAATTTAAATGCTTCGGGGACAGGAAATGGCTAGAATTTGATGCTGTCTTTCAGTTCTTGCTCATCTGTAGTCCTTGTCCCCACCTATCTGCCTACTCTGTCTGCGTTTGAAATGGAGAATGCCTTTCTGCAAACCTCAGGTTGTACTTTTTATTTATGTTTTCTCTTTTTAGATGCCAGTGTAGGCTATTTATCCTTATTGGATGCTGACTATGACAGAAAACCTCCAAACAGATATTTAGCTAAGGCAGTGAACTATACAGTACATTTCCAGTGGATCCGATGCCTGTTTTGGGACAAGAGAGAGTGGAAATCTGAACGTTTCTCTCCACAACCAGGGACTTCTCCTGAAAAAGTGAACTGCAGGTATAGACACATTTGAGAAAGAATCTGAGATTTTTAGTAAATGACTGCCTTGTCTTCTGCATTTGGCCCAACCCCTAGAGCCTTTCCTGAACCTTGTCCATAAGAAGCTGGAGCTCTCTTGGTTTGTACAACTCTCCAGCCTGTGTCAGTTCTCTCATAGCCAGTTCGTGTGTCAGCCTTGGTTCTCCCACTCTATGGGCTCCCAAGGAGCAAGGGCTGCTTTATAGACTGTCCTCGTATTCCTCCTTCCCGTACCGACTGTCATGGAGGAGGTGTTTAGTAAGTGTCTGTTGAAGACATGAGTCGGTGGATGAGTGATAGATGAACCTGTCAGTTTTCTTATCATAGAAGTGCTGACATCCTTTGAGTACGCAGTTTGTAGTCAGGCAGGTGGGACCCTCAGCTCTCACCATGCCCCCATGTTGCCCTGAGAGTCCCTCATCTTCAGAGGACCCTCCACAGCCTGGTGGTGAAGGTGTGCTTTCTGAGGCAAGAAAAGTCTCTGCGCAAACATGAACAGCCTCCTCAGGAATTTCTGGGCATATGAGTCATGTCACTAAATTAGAAATTGTTTGTCATCTAGCTGACAGACTAACAATTCTATAAGAGGCTCAGATCATTCTTTTTTGTTGCCCTTACCTTTTCATTAGGATAAACAATTATTAGTCATATTTAGAAGCAGAAATAGTCATTTCCTTTTAAAAAACAAATAAGCCATAAGACATTATATTTTGTGATTTCCTGCTAGGAGGCAAATATATCCAGATCATACCGTAGCAGTGCAATTCATAGCCATTTATTGATTTTCTTATGTTACACTCTTAAATTTTTCTAATGCCATTGCTAGGAGCACATCCAAACTTACTGGTAATGGCCCAATATTTTGCTTCCATATTAAATTATTGATAAATGCATTAATGCAATCATTCATTCTCCATTACGTAACTACTCTCTGCTAGGCACTTTTTTATGAGCCAAGGGTACAAAAATGAATAACAGGCCAGGCGTGGTGGCTCATGCCTGTAATCTCAGCTCTTTGGGAGGCTGAGACAGGTGGATCACTTGAGGTTAGGAGTTTGAGACCAGCCTGGCCAACATAGCGAAACCCCATCTCTACTAAAAATACAAAATTAGATGGGCACACACCTGCAATCCCAGTTACTTGGGAGGCTGAGGCACAAGAATCGCTTGAACCTGGGAGGCAGAGGTTGCAGTGAGCTGAAATCACGCCACTGCATTCCAGCCTGGGCAGCAGAACAAGACTCCATCTCAAAAACAAACAAACAAAAAATTTAAAATAAATCAATAACACCTAGGACCTGCTCACAAGATAATGAGGGTGAGATAGACTTTATTTTTAAAAAAGGAGACAGTGTTTACAGTGATTGTCAGGGTAGGATATTTGTAATGCCAGGAACTGGTGCTTAGGCAGAGGAGTTGGCCAGAGCTTGACCAGCAGCACAGCTAGGCTGTGACTGGGACCCGAGAGCCTCAGGCTGCAGCCATGCTGTGGAGGGCTGTCATGAAGACCGCCATATGCTGTGGAGTCTTGCATCTCAGGACAGCCTCCATGGGAGCCATGTGCCCCAACACGCAGATGTGAAGAACTCTGGCACATCAGAAGTGTCCCTCATTTCTAACTTAGGTGTCAGGTGAATCTTTTAAACTGGGTCTTAGTCATAAAGTTATCATTATTGCACTCTTTCTTCCTTTTCTCATTCCTTTAACCAACATGCCATTACACTGTCAACAGCTGCTCTCTCCACACATTCTGTATCCTCATCCGCATTTCCCTCCTAGCTACCATCGCCTCGCGGCATTCGCTCTCCTAAGGAGAAAGCTGAAGGCCAGTTTTGAAGTGAGTGACATTTCCAAGCTACAGAGGTAAGTTCCATTTCCTACATAAAGACTTCATAGACTTTATTTGTTTTACTGTTCACTCAGGATGCCCACATATAATTCCGGGGGTGCTTGAAATCCATGTTACTTACTATCATTGCATTTTTGAAATGTGCATATTAGTAGATAATTATCTTTAAATATTATATAGTTGAATATATACTTATATATCTTGTCTCTCTATACTTGAATTCACTGATGAGAGATTTGTAAACACAAGAAAGTCAACATACTTTTCATACTTTTAAGTTTAGTTTTAGTTCAGTGTGAATTTGGTCAATTATTATTGATAGGGTTGATATCTACAGTGACAATAATACCTAAAGAGCCTGTCCTGGTTTATGTTTATTGTCACAGCCTAATTATTAATAGCTCCCTCTTTCTCTCTCTGGAGTATCCCATTTTAGATAATAGATTTAAAATGTACACTATTTTTATAGCCACTTTTATATGAAATGGTTATATTTAGACTCTGAGATATGAGTAAAGTGAATGTAAGCTGATATGGACAGGAACCTTCCCTGTCTTATTCATCAGTGTCACCCTACATTTAATACAATGCTTAGAGTAAATATTTGCTGAATGAATATCTAGGGCAGAGTCTGCATTTTCTGGGGTGTTGAGTGTTAAATTTTTTTCTCCTTATATTCATATAGTAAGAAACTCTACCTTACTTTATTATTTCATCAATCGTATTACTTTATAGACTAGTTGGTGGACCAGATAATTAGTAAATAAGATATGAATTGCTAATGCAACAGATGTTGGGTGCAGAACAGGTCACTGGCCATTCAGTGATCAGGGCTCAGAAGACAGCAGCCTCAACCATGGTGTCTGCGGCATTGATACCACTGGGGCTGGGGCAAACCATGGGGGAAGCAGCCCTGGAAGATGTCCAGAGAGAGGCAACACCTGAAGTTCTACAGGGGCTATCTGGCCAGAATCCGAAAGGTTTCAGAGTATTGTCCAGGTGGAAGGATGTGAGCACCCTGCAGAGCTCGTGGGGCAGAGCTCTGAACAGGCTCTATCTTGGTGGGAAAAAAGAGGGCAGGTGAGAAACCAAGAGCAGAGCCCAATCCTCAGATTAAATCAAAGAGCAGAATGCTAGGGGATGGGGCGGGCAACATCCCCGTGTGACATAGACCCTGGTGCCCACCCTCTGAGATCCCATCACAAATCTGTAAGACTCCAGTTAGGTTAGAGTCCCTGCACAGCAGCTTGATATGAATGTCATTCTACGGAACTGTGGGCATTCAGTGATCTCACCCCAGCCAGTGTTGGTGCCTGGGAACAGGTAGGTAGAGGCTACAGGTAGGGAACAAGCAGCACCATCCACAGGGGCGGTGGGAGGCACAGGCAGGGTCTCCAAAACATTGCCAATGCCTCCTAGCCTTGTTCTGCTAGCAGGAGAGGGAGAGAGGGAGGAACATAATGGCACCTGCATGTTTCAAGAATTTTGTATATTTGTATTGCTTAATCTTTACAATAGCAGCGAGACTGGCATTCTTAGCCATAGTTCACAATGAAAGTTCCTCAGACCCAGCATGGCACAGCCACCTAGCACAGAGGCTGGTCCATTACAAGGTTTCTTTGGTTCTGGAGTCCATGCTTGTGGGGTGCTGCTCACTGGACCACAGGCCAGCTCCCTGCCTTCAAAGCCCTTCTAACTCAGCTTCCAGCAAGTGTAAAAATGTATCAGTGAAGCCCAGCAGGGACTTTTGTGTGTAAGGGGCTAGGGGTGGCAATCAGTCTTTTCCTATATGTCTATTTTCATGAGCAATTTTCTTTATATCTCTCCTTTTGTTTATAGCCACCCAGAAAACTTGCTTCCCAGTATTTTTATTATGGGTTCTGTGATTCTTTATGGATTTTTGGTCGCTAAAAGTAGACAAGTAGATCATCATGAAAAAAAGAAAGCTGGTTACATCTTTCTGCAAGAAGCTTCCCTGCCGGGCCATCAGCTATATGCGGTCGTCATTGACACTGGCTTCCGAGCTCCGGCCAGGTTGACCTCAAAGGTAGCTCGAGCATCTGGGGGTACTCTTTGATGGTGTCTAAGCAGTGTCAACATCAGAAGTGAGGATTTGGTGATTTGGCTGCCCCGTCTGTCACCTGTCACAGCAGCCTCATCTCATTGCTGAGGCAAAGCTTGCCCGCCCTTTCCACTGCCCTCCCTTGGCCTGCACATCTGTCAGGGTGAAGAGCAGACCCCTTCACCTTCTGCAGCTGCTCCAATCCCTTCTCCTTCTGTCTCCACTGTGGAAAGCAGCCCGGGGAGATATGTTCTGTCTCTGAGTGGATCTTTGAGACTCTGAGAATGAGTTGTACTCTTCTGAGCTTGGGGCTGAAGACAACAGTCCCAGAGAAGCTGGTGGAGGATGAAGATGGGGTGGGAAGAAGGATGCGGTGGAGGAGGAGGAAATAGTCTAGCACTGGGCCCAGTGGAGCAGGGGTGCCGCGGTGAGCTGTGGAGGTGAGGTCTGCAGGGGCAGAAATTGAGCCCGGCAGAGCCATGTGCAATTCGAAGTGCGTGTGACACAAATCCCTCAGAGAGGGAGACTCCCTCTGCCCTTGGAACTCACGCTTCCATTTCCCGAGGGAACCATGGTTACTTTATGGAAGCAATAGGATTGGGGTGTGGATGAGAAAGAGTTAGATGGGAGGATGAATAAGATGGGGTGCCACAGTGCAGTAGGATAGATGGGGACACAACACATTTTTAAAGCTTATGTGGTCCTTACTCACCATAAGCCCTTCGTCTACCAACTGTATATTTAAATTGTCTTTCAGATAAACATACATGTATATATTCACAAGCAATGCATACACATAGGAATGTTCTTAACCTAACAAAGGAAGATTTAGTGGTGAAGCTTTAGATGATTTCTAAGGGATGTCTGCTGTCAGCACTGCTATTTATCATTGTACTAGAAATCCTGGTTAAAAACAATAAAGCAAGAAATAAAACAGGAATATAAGTTTCCAAAAGGGAGAAAGAGATGGTTCTTCGTACAGGATGAGGTTGTCTACATAGCAAATGAAGAAGCATCTTCACTCTAATGATTAGCACTAATAACATTAAAGAAACTTGCTGAATTTGTGATTAAGAAAAAATCATCAAAATAATCTCTATAAAACAGCAATAACTATTTATAACATGGAGTTGAAAACAAGAACCTCTTTGTCACAGTAAAAAATGGTGGGGTGCCTAGAAGTGAATTCATCAAACCCCACATACAAGACCATCATGAAGGAACTATCCCTGATATGCATAAGAGATCCAAATAAAGAGCTATGTTCATGGATGAGAAAGCCGATTTTCCTTTGTCATTTCTCCCAAATTAATCTATAACATTAATAATAATAGTGTGAATGAAATTCTATTAATATACCCCCTTTACAAATGAAAACCTAAGGCATAATGAGGTTAAATCCAATTAAATCTATTCATAATTCCAGGACAGTGTTTTGTGGAACTTGGAAAACTGATCCTAAAATTCAGGTAGAAAAGAATACAAGAGAATTACAAGACCAGTCATGCCAACTCTCAAGAGAAGAACAAGGCAGGGGCCTCCCAACTCGATATCCAGGCTTATTTTGAAACTGTAGCACCTGAGATCGTGTCATGACCTCGGGAGAGGTACTGAGGAGGGATTTCTAGGGAAGACTAGAGGTCTTACAAACCACAGGAAAGGGTGCACTGTTTCAAAAAATATTTTGGAACAATAGCTGCCCTTGTAGAAAAAGGTACTATTAAATCTTTACATCATACACACAAAAAATGAACTCCAGAACATTAGAGACAGAAAGGTGAAAACACAAAGTTTAGAAACTAGTCAAAGAAAATATACACTTTCGAGTAAGGAAGGATTTCAGAAACAGAAATATCTTTCTTAAATGAAAATTTGATAAGTGACATTACATCAGAATTGTTCATTTCTGTGTGACAGAAGATACCAGTGAGAACGACAAGCCCAGCCAGATTGTCATGTGCCTCCCCAGGGTGTGCCCACAGGTGCATGGGTACCCTACTCTGCGTCCAGGCTCCTCTGGCATCTCCCTGCCAAACCACAGGGAGGAAAATGGTGTGCCCACCGTGGTGTTCTCCCGCCCTCATGAGAAAACAAATGCCCTCCCGAATCCTAGTTGGGATCTGGCTTTTCTAGATCAAATAGGTGAGGAAATGGCCAATTCTACCAGGCTCCACTTCGAGGCTCTCCTCTGGCTCTCCAGGGAAGCCTGGGACTGGACGTGCCCACTCATCCCCTGGCTCTAGGCTGTGGCACTCCACCGTGCAGATGGTTTTGAGGAAGGGTGGGACGCTGGGAGAAAGTGCGAGGAAGCCCTGCCCAGCATTGCATGGTGTCTGCTGTGAAATAGCCTGAGTTCCCACCCCTGTTCTTTGTTTTGAGGTGTACATTGTTTTATGTGGCGACAATGGACTGTCAGAAACCAAGGAGCTCTCCTGTCCAGAGAAGCCCCTGTTTGAAAGGAATTCCAGACACACCTTTATCCTGAGGTATTCCAAAATATTTCACTGCTAGATTTGGGAAAGAGAGGCCAATCAGAATTGGTGTAACCTTATCACAAATACAAAACAGTAGAATACATAACATTGGTCTCTAATAGTGAGCATCGATTTATATACAAACAATTTTATGATGTATTTTTAGTTTATTATTCTGAGTAGATTAAACAATAGGTTTATGCGAGGCAAGGAAGGAAGGAGGGTGGGGAAAGAAGACTTACTGATTTTACATACTAGTAAAGTTCATAATCAGTGTTTTCTATGACACTAAACCTTCTGACCTTAATTAGGTTTGTCCCCAGTTTGTGACACATGGTGTCACAAAGATGGTGGGGTTGGAGAAAGAGTGAATTTAACAAGATAGGATGCAAGCACCTGGCGTCTTAGAAAATATGAAAGGACTGAGCTAAATTATTTTTTCTCCTGGTAAATTTCATGTATGATATTTATAGGTTTGGAGTATTATGTCTTCATTAAGAGAGAAAAGGTTAACTTTAGACTAATCCACACCAGAGACAAATACATGAACGAGATTTGTGTAACTTTGGTTTGGGAAAGCTGGTGGATATTGAAGGCCTGAGTGCAGGGTCACTGTGCTCGGTGGGATTTCCCATCCTCTGGCCGGGTTCCAGGGGGCTTCACATGTCACTCTGCATGTCAGTCACCTTTGACATGTCCCATCCACCCTCTGTGGGCCATCAGTGCCTTGAGGGTGAGCATTGGGGCTGATGGGATGCCAGGACCACACTGTCACCCACCCGGCTGAGATGCTGCTGTGTGTGCCTCCAGCGCTCCTGCCCAACTGGGCCTGCTGAGGAAGATCCGCCTCTGGCACGACAGCCGTGGGCCTTCCCCAGGCTGGTTCATCAGCCACGTGATGGTGAAGGAGCTGCACACGGGACAGGGCTGGTTCTTCCCTGCCCAGTGCTGGCTGTCTGCCGGCAGGCATGATGGTCGCGTGGAGCGGGAGCTCACCTGTCTGCAAGGGGGACTCGGCTTCCGGAAGGTAGGCTCCCTCCAGGTGGCCTCTCGTGGCGCACCTGGCTGACCGGCAGAGCATGGCACCTGTCTCTGCTTCGCTTGCCACAGTTGTGTCTTTGAACTCTTCTAAAGTGTATTCCTCTTTTCTTAGTTAATTACCACGATATCAAAATATTAAATGATACATTCATTGAGTGGCCATCCAAGCATGGATTAATTACCCTTCACAATTATTAATTATTGTAGTAATGCTTCTCTGTAATTGTAATAGCATTGCTGGAATTTATGGTTGCTGGTGGTCTGTGATGTCCAGAGCCCTGTAATTAAAGACTTTTCAGTGCCCTATGTGTGTCCCAAACAACCTAGATAACTATCAATAGAGTAATTACAGATGTGGTATAGATGTGGTCAGGTCCAGGATGGCAGGAGATAGCCAGAGTGACAGAATAACAGATAACCTCACAAACTAACCATGGAAGTCGTGATTTTTGCATGTCCTTTCCGTCTTTCCCTATATACAAACACATTTCATACAATTGTGATGATAATGTCATGCATTTTGCACTTTCTTTCTTTTTTTTTTTTTTTTTTTTTGAGATGGAGTCTCACTCTACTGCCAGGCTGGAGTGCAGTGGCACGATCTCGACTCACTGCAACCTCTGCCTCCCGGGTTCAAGTGATTCTCCTGCCTCAGCCTCCCGAGTAGCTGGGACTACAGGCACACGCCACCATGCCCGGCTAATTTTTGTATTTTTAGTAGAGATGGGGTTTCACCATGTTGGCCAGATTGGTCTTGATCTCTTGATCTTGTGATCCTCCTGCCTCGGACTCCCAAAGTGCTGGGATTACAGGCATGAGCCAACACACCTAGCTGCATTTTGCACTTTCTTATTCAACATTTTAGAGTAGGTCTCTTCATGAATTTTTAAAACATCATTTCAGGGCTATATAGTGGCCCACTGTGCATGACCATTTGCTGAAGACCTGTTGGGCATTTATAACTTTCTTTCATTTATTATGGTAATGACAACATTGTGGGAACTTTCATGTGTGACTCTGTGTCCCTGATGAGTACTTCCTGAAGCTGGGTCTCAAACAGTGGTAAAAGCCCAGTGAACTCAGACAGTCCCCAGTGTCGCCGGACCTTGCCAGGCCACTGGGCTTTCTTTCCAACCCGCCCTGTTGCCACCTGCGTTGATGAGAGGCCCAGGCTCAAGGCCTTGGCATTTTCAGGCCTGACATATTGCTAAGCTAGTAAGAAACATGATCACAAAGGATTTGAAACAAGTTTTCAATCAGCCACAGCATGTGGAAATTCTTCAACATCTAAAACTGAAGGTCCATTCAACTGGGGCTTCCTCTTAGACGACTGTTTCCATGTGAGAATGACTGTTTGGCTGAGGAACCATAGTTAACAACGGGAGACATACGTTGCTTATCCTCCAGCTGTTGTGCTTGAGAGCTTTTTGTGAGAAATGTAGGCTTATTAATTTAGTCACGTATGAGCACTTGTGTGTGCTGCGAATTGAGCGTTGCTTGTTGGCTAGTTTATTTACATAAAGAAGATATATTCTCATTCTGTTAGTACGATTTTTCTGGCATTCGCTTCTGTGCTCTGCTCATATTCCATAAGAGCAGTTCTGTATATACTTTTGTTTTTTCTAGAACAATATTGAGCCCCACGCATTATTTAAATTGAATTGGAACTTAAAATTTAGTGCAATTCCTAAACAACGTATCTCCCACTGTGTGCCAGACACTGTGGGCTACTGAGGACAGAGGTGGAGGTGACTCAGCCCCACTCTCAGTGTACTCAAAGCCCAGTTGAAATTAACTATGTTGCCAGGGAAAGTTCTGAGAGTGGAGGGGTTTTTGAAAGTCTCTTAGGAATATGAAGGAGAACCAAGGAGAGACTGATCAGAAGCTCTGGAGAGAAGGTCTCCTGAGGCTGGGAGTGAAGGCATTTGAGACCCATGCAGGTGAAGCTCGGAGAAGCATGTGCCAAAGCTCAGGAGGTGCCAGAGGAAGGCCAGGTGAGCCAGAGTCCAGCGTGATAGCAGTGTGGCTGTAGCAAGGGGGCTGCCAAGAAGGCTGAAGGAGGAGCAGCTTCAAGAGGCTTAGAATGAGGTACTGTTCACCTGCACCCACAGCCCACCTAGTACCCAGCTAACCAGCCAGGATAGCAGAGCCAGAGAGTGTGGGGAGTGCAGTGCTGTCTACCTGCACCACAGCCCACCTGGTACACAGCTAAGCAGCTAGGATGGAAGAACCAGAAAGCTCGTGGTCTCTGCTCAGAAGATCACTGCTTAACAGTACTTTGCTTTGCTGACAGAAATGCTCCATGTCAGGGAACACTTCTCCTGCTTTCCGTTTCAGCTTTTCTATTGCAAGTTCACAGAGTACCTGGAGGATTTCCATGTCTGGCTGTCGGTGTACAGCAGGCCCTCCTCCAGCCGCTACCTGCACACGCCGCGCCTCACCGTGTCCTTCTCCCTGCTGTGCGTCTACGCGTGTCTCACTGCCCTGGTTGCTGCTGGAGGGCAAGAGCAGGTGAGAGCCATCGCTTTTCCTTATAGCAGCTTCCAGATCCGACTACACTGTGGCCCCTTTTTGCCTAAGAAATCAACAAAGCTCACAGTTCTCCGAGAAAAGTTTAAACCAGGGGAAGCAAGCCTGGCTGCCTGGGGACCAGAGAAGGAACAGGAGGGCTCTGCCCGGTGTGGCACTGGGTGGCCCTGCACAGCTCTGACTCTGCTGGCTCGGTGGACAGCTGCTGTGTGGGAGCTCGTGCCCAGGCCCAGCAGCAGAACTTTTCCAGAGAGGCTGGCAGCCGGTTGTCTTTGAGAACACTCTTGAATTTTTTTTTAAGTTGGCAATTCATTTAGATTTTAAATAAATCCTCTGGACAAAAGAACGTAGAACCATTCTGATGGCCACATTTTCCCTCAAGATGCCAGTTTGCACTGGCAACTCTGGTCTGATTGTTCCTCATGAGATGTAGTAAATTACTTCCAAATCAGTGTCAGCAGTTAAAATGGAGACCCTCTCTTTCCTGAGGAAAAAACAACACAGCAGGACGTGGACTGAGGCAAAACTGACTTGTTTACTACGACAACATCATGGCCATTCATGCACCCAGCCCACCGGGTTCACCGCTGGGTCGTAGTGTGGCTGCAGAATGTGGTGACAAGGTCCGTTTCCGAGGTGGGGGTCAGCGACCCATCCATGGGACAGCCGGGCATAGTGGCTCCTTTATGACACCAGGTATCAGAGAGATCCAATAACAATTATGGATTGGTGGGATTAAAAAAATAACAGCGCACAGAATTTGTAAAAAGAGGATAAAGAAATATCATCAAGTAGCAGGAAGGGAACAGCTCCGTCCACCTGGAAATAGACCAGGGCCTGTGGTGAGGAAACCTACGGTCGGCCTCTTCTTTGAAGCCGACATGTTGTCTGATGTTGGACCACTAACCACTTTTCTCTGTTCATTGGTACCTTGTGGGTTGATGCCTTGCTGGATTGTAGCCATGATTCCATCCATGGAGCACATGCCTGGTAGAGAGTGGGTGCTCGGCAAGCATTTGTTCAATCCAAAACGATTTGTATAAGAAGAAACAAAATGATTTCTTGTGTTTTTTTCACTCCTGGGGTAGAAGAAGCCTTTGCTGGATTCCTTCTGCTTGTATCCATCATATCAGTTCTATATATAGTTCTATTTTTTTCTTAGAACGAATATTGAACATGAAGCATTATTTAAATTGAATTGTGGCCAGGCGCAGTAGCTCACGCCTGTAATCCCAGCACTTTGCGGGGCTGAGGTGGGCAGATCACCTGAGGTCAGGAGTTTGAGAGCAGCCTGGCCAACATGGTGAAACCATGTTTCTACTAAAAATACAAAAATTAGCTGGGCGTGGTGGTGCATGCCTGTAATCCCAGCTACTTGGAAGGCTGAGGCAGGAGAATCGCTTGAACCCGGGAGGCGGAGGTCGCAGTGAGCCAAGATCTTGCCACTGCACTCCAGGCTGGGCGACAGAGAAAGACTCCATCTCAATCAATCAATCAATCAATTGAATTGTAACTTAAAATTCATGATTCATGAAGAGAGCACTTTTATTAAATATAATGTATGTATTCACATTACATGTATTTGTAATTACACAATGACTGCGTTTTAAGCGGGACTCATATTGAGTTGATGTAATGGCTGCTGTTGCTTTGTTGCAGCCCCACTTGGACGTCAGCCCCACCCTTGGATCCTTCAGGGTGGGTCTCCTGTGTACCCTCCTGGCTTCTCCAGGGGCCCAGCTCTTGTCCCTGCTCTTCAGGCTCAGCAAGGTACCTGCGACTTGTCCTCATGGCCCTGTTCTCCTGAGCAGCCCCTTCATTGCTGGGGAACACGCTTGGCGAACCACCTCTTTCCTTCTGCAGGAAGCCCCGGGGTCTGCCCGAGTGGAGCCACACAGCCCACTTAGAGGAGGAGCACAGACCGAGGCACCCCATGGTAAATGTACATTAAAACTCTCAGAAACTCTCCGTGGGGCTGAGCCTTTTGCACCAATCTACTAAGTAGAAATTGTATCTTCTGTTTTCAATTTGCATTATGTTTATTATGAGTAACATTGAGCATCATTTAATGTGTGTAAAAGTCATTTTATTTTCTGTCATCTGTCCATTTTATTTGCCCACATTTATATGAACCTTATAAAATCCTTTTTTTTCTGAGGGACATCTAAATACTTTTCACCAGCTAAGTAAAGTAGGTCTTTGTCAGATGGATAGTGAATCCATTTTCTAGTTGCTAGTGCCATTTATTTTATTAATTAAACATTTTTCTCAAGCTGCCATGTTTCCTTAGGGCAGCCTCAAGTGGGTGTGAGGGTTGCCCAAGCCAACATCAGGACTGAAGCATCAACAAAAGTCCTCGTTCTAGCCTTATCCTCTCAGAAATACTCATTCTGGCTGAGTCAGGAAGGAAGAGTATTTGCTGAAGAAAGTAGTGTCCCCGCTAATCCTTAAACATATCCCTGTTTAAATGTATCACCCCAAAGCATCGTACATTGGATTTTTATTTTTTTGAATCAGGTCCTAATTCCTGGGGAAGGATACCAGACGCACAGGAGCCACGCAAGGTAAATCAATCATTATGCGCAGCAGCTAATCTTCTAGCATGAAATGCAAACAATTAGATTTCTCTGGCATCCTCCCTTGGCTATGGTCTGGCCATGGATGGGTCAGGCTCAAGGTGAGACGGACACAGGAAAAGATCAATGCAAGACCTGTTGTGCTGGCTGGGGGCCGTCCTCCCTAGAGGGAGGTCCCGTTTCCCAGGACACATGCCATGGCAACCCGGCTCTCCAGGTGGGTCAGAAAGAAGGGGTCTCAGCAGAGGCCTGAAACAGGAAGGAAGTGAAGCCCAGAAGAATTCAGAAAGCCCTGTGTGTCTACTCAGTAAATACCGGCAGGACCGTGGGAGAGACACTGTGGAGCAGCAAGGCTCGGGGTGATTGCTCAGTGAGCTTCTCCACCTCCTTGTGAGGAGGGTGCTCAGAGAAGCTGCCCCAGTGCTGGGAGCTCCGTTCCAGGTCTCAAAGAGGCCTGTGACACGGGGCAGTTGGAGGGCAGCTTCCAATGGCACAGCTGCGTTACCCCATTGCTATAGTGCTTTTCAGATCTGTGTGACTGCCCCTTTGCTTACGTGGGATTCTGCTTTGTGGGACCTGTGAGGGCACACATGGTGCCCTGTTTGCCAGGCTCTAACTCTCTGGCGGCAGCTCCACCACTCCTGTTCCTGAGGGTGGTACTCTCGATCCGCTGCTGGAAACACAGTGTGCCCCCCATACCCCAAACACCATGCCGGAGCTCTGCGCCCTCCCCACTTGGAGGCTTTGTTCAACCCGTTGCTCTTGGCTGGATTCCCCTCTGTGGCAGGGTCATGCCTCCCAGAGAACCAGGTGCAATCACCCTGACTGTGTGGAGCTGCTGTTAGGCCACCAACATTTCCCCAGGGGCACCCACCGTCCCCCAAGGGGTACAAAGGAGCCGGCTCCCAGGCTGCCTGTGCTTCCTCCCTCAGAAGTCTTTAGAGGCCTCAGCACCACACCCCGCCCATGCCAGGCCTGTCCTCTGAGAAGGCGGCAAGCCACACCACTGTTGAGCGTCACGTGTGAAGCCCTGTCTGTGGAGATATTAACCTTGGCATGACCTTGTCATTCTAGCAACCTGCATCAGCCATTCTCTCTGGGAGTGGCAGGGCCCAAAGGAAGGCGGCAAGTGACAATGGCACAGCTTGTCCAGCCCCTAAGCTGCAGGTTCATGGGGCTGACCACAGCAGGACTTCTCTGATGGGGAAAAGCCACTGCTGCCCTCCCCACACTCAAGGTAACTGTGGCTTGCAACCACAGCCCCCTTCCTGCCAGTCCAGCAGACCTGCAGCCATTGGGAGAGGCAGGGCAAGCAGAGTCACAATTGGGCCAAATGTCACTGAATACTCTAGTCTCATCTAAAAACCAGGCATGGGCCCACCCAAAACTGAGGCGTCCAGCTTTCCTCCAAAGTCTTGGTGCTTTCTGGCAGGTACTTAACGTAAGTTTGGTCAGATCTTTTTAAAAGCCAATAATACACTCATAACCTTTTTAAAGTATTCTGGAGTTTGAAGCTTTGCATGTTTTAATGCTAATGACAGTGAACGATAGTCCCAGCTTCCAATTATGCTGGAATCTCAGCAATGAGCTGGTAGAGGCAGGGATTACCCTAGAACAACCAGGGCTGTGCCCAGGGTGATTGAATCCTGCTGCAATCCTAGGAGGGTGGCCAAATGATGGCAAAGAGGAGACTGTGGTGGGCCTGGCCTGGCAGGGATGTGTGGCTTTGGGATCCTAGAGCCACATGGTACATGAGCAGATGGTTTTCTCGAGGCTCCAGCTCAGCCCAGGTCCTTGTGTGCTGGATTCAGGTGCTTGTTCACAGTGACTGGCAAGGCCTGTGCGTGCAGCTATGTTTGGTTGGGCCCAGGCTGCACAGCACCTTACACACAGTGGGGCACAAAAAAGATCCTTTCTGTGAGTGAACAAGCTTCAGGCAGGTGAGCCTTCAGCGTAGGCACAAGTATCAGCAGTAGATCAGAAGGGAAACTCATCCCAAGGACCGACGACCCTCCCAGACAAACTGGACACGTGGCCTGGGCTGGAAGGGAGCACTCAGGAGTGCAAGGCTGACACTGGCAGACCAGCCACCGATGAGGTTGTGGAGAAGGTGTGGCTTAGGACAACGCCACTGTCCCGGCCACAGCTCACATTCTTTGATTTATGTTCAGCCAGTGTCCCTCGGTTTGCCTAATACCAGCTTCCCAGCAAGAGCTTCTTAGTTGTTGAAAGGTGTTGTACTCGATTGCCCTAGGTTGACATGGCATCCTGCCTCTAAGAGCAGTTGCTAGAAAACGAGCTAAGACGGCTGCACCCAGAGGTATGAAGAGCTGTATGGGGCAACCTTCTGGTCCTGTATCTGGCCCTGGGGAAATCACACAGCAGAGAGGGAAGGTTGAAAACTGCAGGGGACCAGTCACAGCCCTGTCCCTTGTGGTGTGTGGGACTTGATCCAAATCAGGGCAGACCCTCAGATTCCAGGTCAGCCTGCTTAGTTGTTTGGGGTCTGAAATGGAAACTGACCTCTCTGCCTCTGATGTTGGGGACCCATAGGTCCCTATGCAGGTCAGAAGAGGAGATCCCCAAAAGCCTTCTGAGGGCACAGCAAGGCAGGAGTTGCTGCTCACCACCCCCATCCTGACCCCAGACCCTTAGGTGAGCACCAATGTCCCAGCTCAGCAGTCGGGCAGGAGTTCCCCTGTTCTCAGCCTGTGCGTTCTATTCAGGACCTCAAGGGATTGGAGGAGGCCTGTGGCTAGGAAGGCCCTCTGCTTCACTCAGTCTGCTGATTCAGATCTTAATGCCACCTGGAAACACCCCCAACCCCGAACACACTCAAAAATCACATTTAACCAAATGCCTGGGCACCCTACGACCCAGCCTAGTTGACACCTAAGATTCACCACCACACTCCGCGTGGATGGAGATGCCGAGGTCTCTTAAGCTGCCTTGTCTCTGTCCTACTCTTCCGCAGCACCCAGCAGTGGTTTGGAGGGACTAATGCCCCAGTGGTCAAGGGCCCTTCAGCCTTGGTGGAGCTCTGCAGTGTGGGCCATTTGTGGGACCGCTTCTTTGGCCTGCAGTTTGGGGACAGGATTTCTAGCCTACAGGTGAGCTGTAGAGTTTTTCAAACATCCTCAGGTCCTCAGATGGAAAGTCTCGCATTTGTAAACAAATCCCTGCATTTCTGGGAACTCATCAGATGCAGGCTCCAGATGTCACTATTGCTATTTTCTCCCTCATTTCTCCCTCCCATCTCCTGGGGTAAATAAAATCCTATGCAGATCCCAAAGGGTGGCTTGGCCTGGCCAGCTCTGCCATGGCAGCAGGCCTGGATGGGGTCCAGATATTAAACAAGAAGCTGCAGGACGCCCACCCAAGGAAGGAAGGAACCCAGCTGCAGAGCTCCTGAGAGGAGCAGGTTCCCAGCCAGGAACTCTGGCTAGAATATACTGTTCATGGTCTCCCATCATTTGAAAAAGCGTATGCCTTCGGGACAGGGATTATGATGCATGTGTCACAGATTCTGATCCTGTCACTCCGGCACATGGTACCTCTCTGGCTCCTGTACAGCTTGGACTCGCCATCGGAGACCCCAGGGTCACTCAGTGTGGTTCATAAACCACAAAGAGTAGCCTCAAAGCCAAGGCCCTTTCTTCCCGTCTCTCCCCTCTCCTCAACTGTAGATGTTGAATCACTCTGTGAGGATGGGCAGGTACTTAGACCTCTCTTGTGCCTCAGTTTGCTCATCTGTAAAATAGGAACATCAGAGAGCTTAATTCTTAGGGCTTGGGGAGGAGCAGCTGAAATATGAAAGCAGTCCTGTTAGCATCATGCCTGCCCCTGCGGAGCACCCGCCAGCATCCAGCTTTGTTGTTGTTGCTGCTATTATTATTATTATACCCCAACCCATTTTCCTCCCCCTTCCCCTCTCTGTGCTCTGTTTCATCTGCCTGTTGGGTTTTCCTTTCTCTTTCCCACTAGGCAGCTTCAGGGAGGTCGATGTCCTCTTGGCAGACAAGGGTTCCCCTCCGATGAGCAGAAAGACACTGCCCATGTCCAGCACCACCCCCACAGCAGGCTTCCTGCCACGGCGAGGCCATAGGCCCTCTCAGGCAGTGTCCCTGTGCTTAGGCAGCAATGACTGCTGGGTGGCCTGCTCCCTTAGAGGGGGCTGACCACTGCACTTTCCCTGGGGGCAGGTTTGGCCAGGAGCAATGTGTGCAGTGGCTGCACCTGCTGTCCCTCTCCGTGGTCTGCTGTATTTTCATCACCCAGCCACTTATGGTAAGAAACACCCTCCATGGTAGAAGTGCCTTCCATCAGCAGGGGACCTAGATGGGAAGGGGAAATAGAGGCTTCATTTTGGTTGTGTATGACTTTTCTTTATACCCTGATTTCAGCTGTGGTTGGAGAGAACCAGGAGCCAGGCTCTGTGCTAAGCTGCACATGGGCCTGTTCTTTAATCCTCATAAAAATCTTTGAGGAGGGTACCACTTTAACCCACGTTTTTTATTTGAGGAAATTGAACTCAGAGAATTTAGGTCTCTTGGGCGGGGCCATGCCTGGTGAGTAGTTGGGCTGGGAATCCAAGGCAGTGACTACTGGTGTCTTTAAAACTGGGAGATGGAGTCCTGTTCATGATTAGGGGACGGGAGGACAGCTCTGTGTGGAATGAACACAGACATAGGGCGGCTCTCTGCGCTGTCATGTTTTTCCTTCCAGGTATGCCTCATGGCCTTGGGTTTTGCTTGGAAAAGAAGAGCTGACAACCACTTTTTTACTGAGTCTTTATGTGAGGCTACCAGGGATCTGGACTCTGAATTGGCAGAACGTTCCTGGACTCGCCTCCCCTTCTCTTCAAGCTGCAGTATTCCTGACTGTGCAGGCGAGGTTGAAAAAGTAAAAAAAATTACCTATGCAGTGCAAATTGAGATTTAAAAAACTACTTTATATTCTATCATGCATATCTGAATGTAGGCTTTGAATTCAGATTGGGTTGCATCTTTGGAGACCCATGGGATGTCTTAATTTCTTATGCTTCTTTGCACATACCTGTATGATAGATGAACACATAGGACTTATTTTTTTTTAACTCCAATCCTAAAGAAGTTAGAGCATCAAGAAAATGAGCATATTTTAAAATACTGAAGCAAGTAAGAACTCTAATTCTTGGCCATGATTTTGGAGAACTTTTAGTCCATTTGCCCTTCAGTGAACCCACAGAAAATGTACTCCTCCCCATCCTTCCTCTCTCCCTGCCTTCATCCCTTTGTCCCTTCCTCCCTCCCTTTCTTCCTTCTTTTATTCAGTTTTGCCTGTTGTATGTGTAGCATTCTGTTGGGCAGTGTGAATGATATGAAGGAAGAGAGAGGTCTGCTGGCCACCGCAAAGACATTCACAGGCTCATTGACTAAGCACCTGAAATGCATGTGCAATTCTGTACTCTTGTAATAACCACAAGTCACTTACGACCAAGGACCCAATCCCAGTGCATTGAGAGTCAGACCCCGGTCTGGGCCTCTCCTCATCTCCACCCTCCTCCTCGCAAAGGATCCTAATAAACTCCATGTCTGAGGACCTGTCTGAGGCCTCTCAGCCCTGCCTAAAACCAAGGCTGCTGCTGCTGAAGATGGGTGGTGCACACAGGCTATGTACTAGTCATTATGCTGTTTTACATCTACACTGTATTTACATTTATCGGATCATTTGTTCCTTATAACACCTGATGAATTAGGCAGCATCCCTGCACCCCATTTAAAGATGAGGTGAAGCAATTAGACCCAGGCTACACTGCAGTAAAGGGGAGTCTGGGGCCCAAACCTGGCCCACCTTGCCCTTTCCTCCTGCACCCCCCGCCCTGCAGCACCTTAGCTCTTGAGAAGCAACGTTGCCCTTGTTCCCTCATACCTGTTGGATCTCAGCTTTCCTTTCTGCTTGGAAGGCTCTCCTTCCTCTTCTCCCCTCGTACAGCTGTGCCCTGCTGTGCTGCCAGTTTGTTCATTTTCTTTCTATCATCCCAACCTCAGAGGTGAGGCTCCTTCTGATGAATTCAGCCTGATCCTGAGGGCCAGGCTGGCATCTCCAAACCTATGCATGGCTCATTAGCATCTTAGAGTTGGGGTGCCCCCCTACACCCAAGCCTCCCCACGGATCTCTCCGCCACACGTGTTCCTTTCTCAGAACAGCACAACAGCTGAAGGGAGTAACTTAAGCCCCAACACTCTGCATGTGCAGCTTTATATTGTTCACATTCCTGCTGTCAAGTTCCTAGAAGCCCAGAGTCTCTAGGAGGAAGGACTGTCTCTGGTTCCTCAGATGTCCCCAGTGCCTGATCCAGTGAATGTGTGTTGAATGAATGAATACCTACAATGAGTTCACTTATCTGGCTACTGTTATGCCCTGTCACGAACAGAGTATGAAAGTAAAATTGATTTTTGAAAAAAGAAAAGAAAGGTCATTTCTTGCTAAGACTATACTTTAAAATGATTTTTTCATACCTTGAAAGTCTCTAAGAGAAAATACTGTGCCAGTGCCCAAGATAATTGCTGCTGTAATTTGACAGTAGTAGACATACCCCTCGTGTACAGCAGCTCTTTGTAATAGCCCAACTGCAATCCCTGCCAAAAAAACTTGCCTGGGACATGAGCAGATTTTTAAAAATGGGTCTACCCCCATCTCTGATCCCTTCCCCAACAACCTGGTCTATGTTATCCATACAAAGTACCTCTTTGTTCCCAAATGCCAGGCTGAAGGCACAGCACAGCAATGACACATTCCTTGGCTTGGCAGGAGCACCAGGGGCCTCTCTCCTTCCACCCACCAGCCCGCAGCTCACAGCACTCTTGTCCCTGACAGGTCTTGGCTGCCCGACAACAAGCTCGCCACCTGCGCTGGGCGCATCCACCATCCAAGGCCCAGCTGAGGGGCACCAGACAGAGGATGAGGAGAGAGAGTCGCACACGGGCTGCCCTGAGGTGGGTGGCGGCTTCTGTCGGGAGGGCTTGCTCCACTCCAGCTCCCTTCTCGGAGGGAGTACCCCACTGCCGCTGGTCCTCCTGGGAGATTGTTCTCCTGGAGGAGTGGGGAGTGGAGGTGGGGACCACCTTGCTGTCCCCAGAGCCATCCTTATTTATATAACAACCTGTGCTGCCCAGCAGATGGGAGGAATTCAGGGAAACAGAATTGAAGTCAGAAAACTCAGTTCCACAATTTGCCCATGTTGAGAAGTTGATTAAGAAAGCTTCCTCCTCTGGGCCTCAGCTTCATGAATCCAGCATGGATTCACACACACAATTGGATTTCATCCCACCCCATACGTGTGCTTAGCACATGGTCTGGGACTTCTGCTTCTCCAGCTGGGACACACAGGAATGTGGAAGCTGTAAGATAAATGCAACACCTCTTCTTAGGGCATGGATTTAGCCCAGTGACAGGTTATTTAAAAATAAGTTTAATATTCAGATATGCACAGCTGTGTTATGGTTCTCATAAAATATTTTGAATTCTTTTAGATAAAACACAAACCTTAAGAACTATCATGCTGTGGCAAAGCTCTCCAACTTCTACCTCCAACACATTTCTCTCAGTGGTACCATCCCCCTCCCATCATGGTGGTGCTGGATGGCAGCCACCACAAGGAGCCTTCTCTAAATGCTAGCTAAAATCCCTCTTCAAATTCGGAACATGAATTCGGTCTCCTACCAATCTTTCTCATGTAGTTTGTCAAGGACTTGGGAATTTCTGATAGTTTTTTAAAAAATAGCATGTCACAGAAGCACTTCCAACCATCTTCCTTAAAAAACAATCCCTTCATACAGTGTGGCACACCATTAGCTTCCCCTTAAATATTTTCATATCCCTTTCCAAGGAGAAGAGCTGCGGTTGTGTTAGGATGTCACATTTAAAGGAGAGTGGGAGAGGAATTCCAGGAAGATGGAGCAGTGGCCAAGTTTTTTAATCTTATCAAACCTCCTCATAAAAATAGAGTAATTAAGATAGCAAAAACAAAACCCATAGAAAACATGCACAACAAAATTAAATGAGATGGCCCCCACCACACACACCTCCAAAGGCACTCAGGTGGGGACCAACCAGAGAGTGCACCCACCCTATAGCTTAGCAGCTACGGAACATGGTGGCGGGAAGGATGGGGTACCTGATGTATCTGAGAATAGAACTCCAAGCTCCTGTAGGTGTTGTTCACTGGGAGTGTGGTGGGCGCATCTTGGAGGAGTTTGCAGAGTCAAGTTCACAGGTGAGTGCAAGGTCTGGAGGTCTGGAGCTGCTGGGCCAGCTCAGCCCTCAGAACTAACCAAACCCAGCTCTGCCAGGACGTAGCCCTCTGGGGTGGGGTGGCTGGGGGCGCTGCTGGGGGAAGCATCCAAACCAAGCAGAACAGGCCCAGAGAAAGCATTTAGGAAACAGGCAAAACTAGTAAAGTATTAGGTTATAAAATTAAAAGACAAAAACCAATATCATATTTATATACAAGCAAAAGTCAGAGATTTAATACAAGACCATATTCAACAAAGCAAATAATAAATACAACAAAATACACTTAGGCATAATCTTAAGTATAAGTTTCTCTAAGATTTCAGTGAGGAAAACTTCCCTATGACTTAAAATCCAGACACAAAAAGGGAAAATAAAAGTAAATTGGATTACATAAAACTTGAAGAAGAGAAAGAAATAACTCCTACGTAAAAAGAAACTATTTGTAAAATAAAATGGCAGTGACAAACTAGGAAAAAATACTTGTAACAAAGTTTTAATATTCTTTTTTTTTTTTTTTTGAGACAGAGTTTCGCTCTTGTTGCCCAGGCTGGAATGCAGTGGCTCAATCTCAACTCACTGCAACCCCCGCCTCTCAGGTTTAAGCGATTCTCCTGCCTCAGCCTCCCAAGTAGCTGAGATTGCAGGCATGTGCCACCATGCCCGGCTAATTTTTTGTATTTTTAGTAGAGACAGGGTTTCACCATGTAGGTCAGGCTGGTCTTGAACTCCTGACCTCAAGTGATCCACCCACCTCAACCTCCCAAAGTGCTGGGATTATAGGCATGAGCCACCACACCTGGCCTAAAGGACCAGCAACTCTTTAAAACAAAAAAAAAGTGGACTGGAAAAGTGAACAGAGAGTTCACAGAATAAAAGAAGTTCAAATGGCCCTTTCACTTACAGTAAGAGAATTGCAAATTAAACTGTGAAAATCCAAAAATGTGACCACATACTCTGTTAGTGAGGCTATGTCAAATAGAGCATTTCACACAGTGCTGGTGTAAATGCAAAATGGTACAGCCACTATGGGGGAAATTTGAAGTCTCTACACAATGATAGATTCATTTACGATTTATCCAGCATCCACACTTTTTACAATCACTCTTACAGACACAGTAAGTAAAACATGAACATACCCACACACAAACCAATTTATGTGGGACCTTTTGTAATGAGAATATCCTAGAAAGAACCCACACGTCTTGCTGGAGGGACAGGAACACAGTGTAGTAGTGTCCAGCTATGTAGAAGCATGAAGACTACCCCTCCAGGCTCCTAGGGAGAGGCCTGCAGGATTCGCTGCAGGAGGGAAGCCAGGTAGAGGAAAGCGGGTATGCTGTTCTGCCCACTGCTTAATGAAAGGGGACAAGAATATGCGTGCCTGTAGATCCGCTCACCCTAAATAAAACAAGGGAAAGGCAATCCAGGCACCTTTAGGAAATAATAATAGTTACTTATGGGGAGAGAAGGAATAAGATTTTTTTAAATCTGTGTTAAGGTTAAAAATTTGACCATATAAACCTAGTCTCTAAGGACGGAAAAGAACTAGGGGAAAAAACTCTAAAGCTGTTTTCACCAATCATATTGTTAGTGGAGCGTTAGTATCTTTATTTTCATTGTTGATTTATTGTGGGGTAAAGGAAATGAAGAATTCTGTTATTTTCTAATTCTGTCATTCCTGGTATCCTTTAAAAGTGGAATTCTTGATATGAGAGAAAGAAGGTACAGATTTGAGTTCAAGGAAGTCAAAACTCTGCAGTCCTGAATTTGAATTGAAAGTATAGGTATGGAATCATGTGGGTTTTTAAAAATATTTTCCTAGATTTTTCCAGCAAGAAAAGGCCTAGAAACAGCCCAGAAGCAACACACACTTTTAGCACCTAGATTTGGTCCACCAAAAAGAATTAGAAGTAACTGGGATTCCTGATTTGAAGTTGGTGATGGAAAATGTACAAGATGAACCTGGAATGTTTCTTAGGCAAGGGAGCAATTAATAACTGCTAGAGTCATTGTCAGAGGACCAAGAAGCCAGTTTGAAGAGGCTCACATTGGTCAAACATGGGATAATTTGACATCAAGATTAGAAACTACTGAATTGAAGTTCATGAAATCTATCTAAAGCCATGAGCTGGTAACAACACCCACAATGTAATTGATCAATGTTGGTGGACACTCAGAAACCAACTTTATAAAAGCCAGTGAAAGCCTGCCTTTCCTATACAGACCATACCCCTGGGAAACCACATAACAGGAGGGGGGATATTTCTCTTTAGAGAGGAATTCCAGCTAATGAATGGGGACCAGGTAATAGAATTAGAGCCTGACCATTTTTGCAGTTTTAATGAAGTAATGAATCTGGGCATTGCTCATTAACAGTGGTCAATATAAAAGAGAGAAGGAGAGAGAGAGAAACATCAGACATTATGTGTTTCCTCGTGGGAAAACACCATCATCTATGAGGCAACCTACCCAAAACAGTCCAATCTTAATCTGATGAAGTTATTTTGCCAACTTGTAGTTTACAGTAAGAGTATGTTGATATCACCCTGGAAAGCAAGACAGAAATCTATAGTACAAATAACCACTTGCTCAACAAATAAATCGCAAAGAAGCAAAAATAAATAAAGATGATACCTATGGACTGGAAGAGACACGAGGAGGAAAGTAATTAATGTAATTCACCATATTAATAGACTAAATAAGAAAAACCACATGCTCGTCTCAATAGAGGCAGAAAAAGCATTTGATAAAATTCAACATTAATTCATCCAAAAAAAAGAACCTCTCAGCAAACTAGGACTAGAAGTAGGAATAGAAAAGAGTTCCCTGAGCTAATAAAGGGTATCTATGAAAACTCGACACCTAACATCATACTTAATAGAGAGATATCGAATGTTTTTTAAGATATCAAACAAGGCAAAAATGTCCTCTCCGATCACACCTATTGAACATCACATTGGAAGTCCTAGCCAATGCAATAGGCAAGAGAAAGAAGTTAAAAACGTATTGATTTGAAAGGAAGAAATAAAACCATCTAATGGCAAATGACATAAATTTTCTTTGCAGAAAATCCCAAATAATTTACAAAAAAAAAAAGGGTTCTGGAACTAATAAGTGAATTTAGCAAGTTTGCAAGACACAAGTCAATATAAAAAAGTAAATTATATTCCTATATACCAGTAATGAACAATTGAAATTTAAAAAGGAATACTATTTACAACAGCACCAAATAAATGAAGTACATGGATGTAAGTCTAAGAAAACGTGTGCAGGATCTGTATGTTGAAAACCACAAAACACTGATGAAAGAAGTCAGGAAGATCTGAATAAATGGAGAGATAGACTGTGTGCATTGATTGGAGGACTCAGTAATGTTCAGAAGTCTATTCTTTCTAATTTGATCTGTAGTTTCAATGCAATACCACAGCTGTTTTTTTTTTTTTTTTTTTTTTTTTGAGACGGAGTCTCACTTTGTCACCCAGGCTGGAGCGCAATGGCGCGATCTCGGCTCACTGCAACCTCCGCCTCCCGAGTTTGAGCTGTTCTCCTGCCTCAGCCTCCCGAGTAACTGGGATTACAGGTGTCTGCCACCATGCCTGGCTCTTTTTTTTTTTTGTATTTTTAGTAGAGATGGGGTTTCACCGTGTTAGCCAGGATAGTCTCGATCTCCTGACCTCGTGATCCGCCTGCCTTGGCCTCCCAAAGTGCTGGGATTACAGGCGTGAGCTACTGCGCCCGGCAAAATACCACAAGCTTTTTTTTACAGATATTGACAAACTGATTCTAAAATTTATATGGAAAGCAAAGGAACTAGAATAGCCTAAACAATTCTGAAAACAATGAGCAAAGTCAGAGGACGCACACTATCTGAATTTAAGACATACTATACAGCTGCAGAAACCAAGGCAGCATGATATTTGGGGACAGATAGACACGCAAATCAATGGAACAGAATAGAGAACACAGGAATAGACTTACCCAAATATGCTCAACTGATTTTTTGGCAGAGAGAGAAAGATGATCCAATGGAAAAAGGATGATCTTTTAAAAATGGTGCTGGGGGCCGGGCATGGTGACTCATGCCTGTAATCCAAGCACTTTGGGAGGCCAAGGCAGGTGGATCACCTGATATCAAGAGTTTAAGACCAGCCTGCTCAACATGGTGAAACCTCATCTCTACTAAAAATACAAAAAATTAGCATGGCGTGGTGGTGGGTGCCTGTAATCCCTGCTACTCAGGAGGCTGAGGCAGGAGAATCGCTTGAACTGGGGACGGGGAGGTTGCAATGAGCTGAGATTGTGCCACTGCACTCCAGTCTAGGTAACAGAGCTAGATTGCCTCAAAAAAAAAAAAAGTGCTGGGAAAACTTGATATTGATATGCAAAATAAATAAATAAATAAACCCCAACACACATCTCACACTATTATACAAAAATTTTCTCCCAGGGATTTAAAAGCCGAGTTTCATTTAAAATCTTCTGGCCCGGCATGGTGACTCACGCTTGTAATCCCAGCACTTTGGGAGGCTGAGGCAGGTGGATCACCTGAGGTCAGGAGTTCTAGACCAGTCTGGCCAATATGGAGAAACCCCGTCTCCACTAAATATACAAAAGTTAGCCGAGCGTGGTGGCACGTGCCTGTAGTCCCAGCTACTCGGGAGGCTGAGACAGGAGAATCGCTTGAACCCAGGAGGCAGAGGTTGCAGTGAGCCAAGATTGTGCCACTGCACTCCAGCCTGGGTGACAGAGTGAGACTCCGTCTCAAAAATAATAATAATAATAATAAATCTTTTGCAAATTGAAGCACTCAGGTACCTACATACAGGGTCTGTATGGATGCTAACTTAAAAACTCTTCTTACAGAGACATTTCCATGGACATCCTCATGCTGCTTCTGCTTTTGTGTGTAATATATGGGAGATTTTCCCAAGATGAATACTCCCTCAATCAAGCTATCCGGAAAGAATTTACAAGGTAGGAGGTTTGGGTAACTCTTCCAGATCTGGGGCCATTGCACTATTCCATAGCCTGTGTGCACCTTCCCCATGTTTCACATCCCACATATGAAATACTGGAAAGATTGTCACCATTTCCCTGGTAGTAATAAAACCCCCTTCCATTCACAGACTTTGGACACGTTCTTAGCATCTCGTTTGGGGTAAATAGCAAAACAAGGATATTTGAAGGAATTTTAAGTTCTGTGCCAAAACAGGGTCTTGCAGTTTCTTTTTTGCTGGAGACCTCAGAGTTCTTCTATCAAAGCCTATGGTTGCAGTTCGTAATAACTGACACTCAATTTCTAACAGTTTTTTTTTTTCCTTTTTGAGACAGTTTTGCTCTTGTCACCCAGGCTGGAGTGCAATGGCGCCATCTCAGCTCACTGCAATCTCCACCTCCCAGGTTCAAGCGATTCTCCTGCCTCAGCCTCCCAAGTAGCTGGGATTACAGGCATGTGCCACCACGCTTGGCTAATTTTTTTGTATTTTTAGCAGAGATGGGGTTTCACCATGTTCGTCAGGCTGGTCTTGAACTCCTGACCTCAAGTGATCCACCCGCCTCGGCCTCCCAAAGTGCTGGGATTACAGGTGTGCGCCACTACGCCCGGCCTTCAGTTTCTAACACCTCTCAAGTTCTTGATCATTTCTCAAGCTGTTCATTTGCTTCTTCCTCCTTCTTTCTATAAGTAGTAGATGTTGATCATAGGTAAATCTAGCAGAACTGAAAAGTGTAAAGCAGAAAAATTTCCGTGATACCACCAGGCAAAGGCAAGCATGATAGCATTTTGTTGTGTCATATTTCTTTTCCATGTCTCAGTGCTTCTAAAATTGGGATGCATATTGTCATCAACAGGTGCATTTAATGTAGTCTTCTTTTTTTTGAGAGTTGTTCTTGAATCCATGGTTAGGCTTTATTTTCACCTGCCACAAACAGTCAGTCTGATAGTCCTTTCAAGGCAGTGTGGCTTTGAATTATAAAGTGCATGATATGAAATAATATTGGTTCTTTGCTATGATTTCAATGCTGGTAAATACAATAATTCAGTGTGTTCCAGGAGTTACCTTATTTACTCTGGTGAATATTTAAAGACACATTTATGCAGCAACTCTATCAGTGTGTTTGTTGCCTTTGACTAAGTAATTCAATTTGACGTAAATACTTTTTGGTTGGATTTTTTGGCAGAAGTGAGTGGCTGGAAAGTCAATTTAATCTTATCAATTATTTCAGAACATATTTATCTTTATTTTTGTGAGAGAGGGTTATTCATACGCAGCAAGATAATGGCTAATGGATATTGTCCCCTTTGTCAGTGTTGTGACCCACTCGTAAGGTAAGACCTGGAAGTCCCAGTGCTATGAGTCTGGGTGTTCTGTAGCTCAGTAATCCAAGTTGTTTTGTTTTTTTTTTTCTGCTGAGCATTGTAATAGTGAAATTAAGTGGAATTTTCTGCCTCCTCATTTGTGAAACCAGCAGTTATTTCCATCCATGACCAACTTTTCAGCTCTCCTATCCGTGCAAGTGCACAGCCTGTGCCAGTAGGTGGTGCTGTGTGCAAAACAAAGTGATAATTTGGGTCCTCAATGGAAATGGAAATCTAAACATGAAAAACCTCTGGCTTTTGCTAGTTTATTTTTCATCTCACATTTCACAAGTCAACATTATTTGACATATTTCTCATATGAATTGTTGCTTCTTGATATTCAAATCAGAAATATCGCAGCTGAGATAATGTTTGTGAGATCTCTCAGGTGCACATGAGATTGATGTGCTCACATTCACAACTCCTGGATTTACATAGACCTTATGTTTCCCATAGGGATGCAAAACCTCACTGCCTCTGGGTGCTCTGGCCACCAGGCAGGGATATTCAAGTATCCTGGTTGGTAATGGAATGTTTAAAGTGGACCCTCTCCGTCTCACCCCCTAGCCCCCAATACCTAATCCTGAAACATCAACAACAACTTAGGGTTTGGCATTTACTAGCATTCCAGATAGAGAAGCTAAATAAGCCCAGGAGTGGAAATGGATGAAACAGAGTTCCGAGACTGGGCCCCCAACTCATGTTTGGTTGCCAGGTGACTCTGGCAAGTGCTCGGACTTAGCATCTTCATCTATAAAGGGAGGGAACTGGACTACTGAGTAGTCATTGCGTTCTTGGATTTTGCCATATTTAAGTTGTATTTGAAGTGTTTCTGAACTTATGAAAGACTTCATGAAGTTCCAAAAAAAAATAATAAAACAAAAAATAAACCAGCAAATAAAGCACCAATCAATGAAGCAAGCGTTCTATCCAAGTGCCATAAAAGTAAAATAACAGCTGATTTTATCTTTTGCATTGTTTAGCCAGCTTTGTGGGCTTATTTTATATAATTGCGGTAACTAATACAGACAGGGCCAGAATACTCCTGGCTCATTTGGTTCACTACCTGCACTTTGGGTGTGCCAGGAGTGAGGTGTGAGATGTCTGCAGTCTGGCCATTGGGCCTTTTGGCTTTGGGTTATTTTCAGGGCTTTTTAACTTAGTTTCTTAATGTTATTCCAATAGGGAAGCAAGTGTCAAGAAGTGATACCATTTCCCCGAAAGTGGTGCAAACTCAACATGGCTATAATGTCTATACTTTATTCTTTAAAAACACAGAAAATGGATCATATTAGTTGCTATAAATGTACAATGTTTGTCGTCAAATCATCTTGCTTCCCACAGCAGATGCTCAACACTTTCCTCTGTTGAAAATTCACCTCCAGCCATCCTTTGCCTCTTTCCTACCCTCCCGCCCTTTTCACTGCATCTCTGTGCCCCCTGGCTCATTCTTCCTTTCCTTTGGCGTGAATATTTGCAGAGATGTATCTGCTCACCTTATGCCTCCCATCTCTGTCTCCATCTGTGTTCTCCTTTCCTGATGCCTCTCTGTTGCTTCATTCCACCCTCTGGGTGCTCTGGCAGGCCTCCAATTTGCTCTGCATTTGATAGTTTGACAAAACTTGTAGAGAAGTCCAGAGTTAAGAACCAGCACCCAATAAAAGACCTGCAAAGATTAAGTTCTAAAGATGTATAAACCAATGAAGATCAAATACTTGAAAGGATAAGAGATCATTTCTTCGTAAGAAAAAAGAAATAAAACCAGTCAGATAAATTAATTCACTAGACTTTTACTCATACATGCTATGGAAATTTTTTTTTTGAGACAGAGCCTTGCTCTGTTGCCCAGGCTGGAGTGCAGTGACGCGATCTCGGCTCACTGCAGCCTCTGCCTCCCGGGTTCAAGGAATTCTCCTGCCTCAGCCCCCCAAGTAGCTGAGACTACAGGCGCCCATCACCATGTCTGGCTAATTTTAGTGTTTTTAGTAAAGACGGGGGTTTAGCCATATTGGCCAGGCTGGTCTCAAATTCCTGGCCTCAAGTGATCTACTCACCTCGGCCTTCCAAAGTGCTAGGATTATAGGCCTGAGCCACCGTGCCCAGCCATATGGAAATTTTCGAACACATTTATAGTATATACAGATTATTGGTTGAGGCTACTGCATCTCTTTATTACTCTATACACTAGTGACATTTATTTGTCTTTGATTTTTTTAATATTGTCCAATTATTGTCATGACTATCAGGTTTTTAAAAACTTTTTCTAAATTATCTGCAAAATCTGCTCTGAATCAACAGTGGAGTGTCCGTTCTACACCTTACCTGTAAACATAGTCTTTGTGGTGTGCTGGAAACAGTTAATAACTGGAGAACAAAAGCACTGATTTATAGCATCTGCCAGCCAATTTCCGTGGTGTAAATCCTCCCACCATGGTTTTTTTGTTTGTTTGTTTGTTTGTTTTAGATGAAGTCTCACTCTGTCACTGAGGCTGGAGTGCAGTGGCATGATCTTTACTCACTGCAACCTCTGCCTCCTGGGTTCAAGCGATTCTCCTGCTTCCTGAGTAGCTGGGATTACAGGCGCGTACCATCACGCCCAGCTAATTTTTTGTATTTTTAGTAGAGACAGGGTCTCATCATTTTGGCTAGGCTGGTCTCAAACTCCTGACCTCAGATGATATGCCTGCCTCAGCCTCCCAAAGTTCTGGGATTACAGGCATGAGCCACCACGCCCGGAACCACCATGGTCTTTCACACCACCAATGTGACATCACTGAACATGGAGTTGGGAGGAGTTGTGCAAAATTGGCTCTCACAGTAAGAGTCGGCTCCAGGCCTGCTGTCTACAGCCCAACTTTGCTCTCAAGCCTCGTTTACCAAAGCCATGGCCATCATCTGAATGATTCATAGTGTGTTCATTCTTTGGAGTAGTCTGGATCTGGTGCTGGACCAGGCATTCAACTGTGTGTACTTGGGTGACTTTCTAACTTCTTCTCACCTTATGACAAAATTCCTTTTCCTGAGAACTATTTTGGTCTCCCCTTTTTGTGGAGAGAAACCTGGATGAAACAGCCACATCAGAGCCATTTCTGTTTGCTGAGGGCATGTTGATGAGCACCCCATCCTTTCCATTCTTCAGTGACTCTTCATGGGAAGCTATGTATGAGAAAGTTTTTTAGAGTTAGGTGAGAGGTACTTTGCTTTCTCGTAGGAACACTTGATTTTATCCTTTTGCCTCTGGCTGTAGCTCAGAGCCAAATGGACACCCTGCTGCTGCCATGCACAGCCTTGGCCTGTGCATGTGGCTTTATAGCAGTGTCTGAGCAAACTAAAAATGATAAATTTCATTCATTTGATGTTATTTCAGTGCTCCCTTAAATCAGTTCCTTGGTGGAAAAATGAAGCATATCTATAAACATAATGAAGAAGTTAATTGGAAAGAAAACAGACTAGTGTTTGTGCCAACACTGCACTTCATCTATGTCTTCACATCTGCCACTCACAGGCATCTTGGGAGGCCAGTCACATGCTGCGCCCAGTCGGCAGTCAGTGCAGAGAGAGGACTGGGTCTTGGTCTGTGTGTCCCAGAGCCTCCCTTGTTTACCCTAGCCCCGGCGCTCCCTCTGCACCAGCCCTGTGGCCCCGACACCTTCCCACCCTTCAGGCTTGCGGAAGCCCTCGCCGTCCCCTCT